>NC_000017.11:80841311-81141721 GCF_000001405.40 Homo sapiens | reverse complement strand
GCATCTGAGCATGTCTTTGAGGACTGATGGCGGCCCTCTGGGGACCTGCCCAGCCACCAAGCTTTCCATGGCACCCCCACCCTTGCTGGGCCTGTCTTGTGTCCCAGGAGGCACAGGGGTTGGGGGCAGACACCACAGAGGCTTTGCTGGGGAGCCCCTTGGAAGGGCTGTTGCATGAGTTTCCTGTGGCCACTGATTACAGATTTCATGGAGTCTATTATCGTAGGTTCTGGAAGTCAGAAATTGAAAGTCACTTACTTTCTTTTCTTTTGGGGGGGACAGAGTCTCTGTCGCCCAGACTGGAGTGCAGTGGCTCAATCTCAGCTCACCGCAACCTCCGTCTCCTGGGTTCCAGCAATTCTCCTGCCTCAGCCTCCCAGGTAGCTGGGATTACAGGCACACGCCACCATGCCCGGCTAGTTTTTTGTATTTTTAGTAGAGACGGGATTTCACCACGTTGGCCAGGCTGGTCTTGAACTCCTAACCTCAGGTGGTCCATCCATCTTGGCCTCCCAAGTGGTGGGATTACAGGTGTGAGCCACCGCGCCCGGCCGAAAGTCACTTTCATGGGCTATAGTCAATGTGGTGGAGGCTGGGCTCTGGGGAGAGTCCACCCCTGGCCTTTCCAGCCCCTTGCATCCACGGCTCCTAGCCCCCACGGCCCCACGGCTCACGGTCCCCATGGTCCCCACGGTCCCCACGGCTCATGGGCCCCACGGCTTACGGCCCCACAGTTCACAGTCCCCACGGCCCCACGGCTCACGGTCCCCACGGCTCACGGCCCCATGGTCCCACGGTCCCACGGCCCCACGGCCCCACGGCTCACAGCTCACGGTCCCCACGGCCCCACGGCTCACGGCCCCACAGCCCCACGGCTCACGGCCCCACGGTCTCCCGGCCCCACGGCTCACAGCCCCACGGTCTCACGGCCCCACGGTCTCACCGCCCCACAGCCCCACGGCTCACGGCCCCACGGTCTCCCGGCCCCACGGCTCACAGCCCCACGGTCTCACCGCCCCACAGCTCAACGGCCCCACGGCCCCATGGTCCCCACGGCCCCACGGTCCCCCGGCCCCACGGTCTCTGATTCTGCAGTCACTTCTCTCATCTCCAGTTCCTGCCTCCCTCATCCAAAGACCCTCGGGATGACCCTGGCTTGCCTGGCAATCCGGGCTAATGGCCCCGCCTCACGTCCTTACCTAAATCCCGCCTGCAAAGCTCCTTTTGCCATGCAAGGCACCCAGAGTCTCAAGTTTCGAGGATCGGGAGGTGGACAGCTCTGGGAGCCGTTGTTCTGCATACACCAGGTGCCCCCTTACCAAATCTGGGGCAATTTGAGAATCAAACTAAACAATTACAGTAACACATTACAGCTCATTGGAATGAAAAGGAGTGCCTAAGTGTGACGTAAATAAATGGGAATGATAGTGTCTTGAGCACTGATACGAAAAAAGCAAGTGGGGGTGAAGGCCCTGCCTTCCCTCACGGCAGAGTGCACACCAGGAGACGCAGCAGGAACAGTAGAAACAGTCACCAGCCAGGCCCGGTGGCACGTGCCTGTCACACCCATCATCCCAGCTACCCGGGAGGCTGGGCGGGGAGGACTGCTTGAGGCCAGGAGTTCCAGGCTGCAGTGAGCTGTGATCACCCCACTGCATTCCCATCTGGACAACACAGACCCCATCTCTAAAACAAAAAGAAATAGAGTCATCCTTTGGGGGTCCTGAGGGTGGCTGATTCAGGGCCAGTGGACAAGGCTGGTGGACAGAGGACTCATGGGCTGTGACAGTCCTGGTGCATTTTACCCACCATGGGTGAGGCCCTGGTTCCTTGTGTGGACAGTGGCCTAAGAAGCCACAGCCTGGACACGTGTGTGCATGCTGGTGTCACGGTGTATCCACTGCAGGCTCACATAGGCACCCTCCAGCCCAGTTGCAGAGGAGGCAGAACTGCCCCCATTCTCACCATGGCCAGGGGCACAGCCTCAGCAGCGCAGTGGAGGGCTGGGGCATCAGCAGGGGTCACCAGGGTTGGAGGGTGTGCTTTGAAGTGACCTTTCAGTGCAGCTACTTGGGCTCTCATAAGGCCTGCGGGAGGACCAGGGACCGCGGTATGGCCAGGCCAGGCTTGGAAGAGCCTGGGGGCCGCGCAGCATGTGTGGCAGCAGAGGGCCGGGCTTGGAAGAGCCTGGGGGACACCATGCAGCTTGTGTGGTAGCAGAGGGTTGAACAGTGGGATGCTGGTTTAAATGGGCTTTCAAGAAGTTTCAGAAACAAAGCCGTGTGCAACTTGTGTCTTCCTGGGCACGGGTTTCTGGGCTGAGGTCCCAGGTACCCCTTCTCGTATTTGGGAAGAGTGCGGCATTAATGAGAGGGACAGGCAAGCAGACCCTACAGAGGCCTCCCCACCTGCTAGTGGGGGCTGGTCCCAAGGAGATAAGTGGGGCCTCCCACGTGGCTTGTGGAGGGGCAGGCATGGCATCTGGAGCAGGGCAGTGGAGCTGGCAGAGCCAGGCCACCCTTTGGGTGTGCTTGTGACATCACTGAGCCTCAGTTTTCGTACTTGTAAAGTGAGGATGATGATACCTACTGAGCAGGCCAGTAGTGGGGACTGAGCCAGGGGATGTGTGTGCACATGTGTGCATTCATGTGTGTGCATGTTTGCATGTGCGGGTGTGTGTGCCTGTGGGTGTGCACACGTGTGGGTGTGTGGGGTGCGTGCATGCGTGTGTACGCACGTGTGGGTGTGGGTGCGCGCGCACGTGTGGGGGGTGTGCATGTGTGTGTGCCTACACGTGTGGTATCTGTCTACGCATGTGTGGTTATATGTGTGTGCGTGTATGGGTATGTGTGCACATGTGTGCGTGTTATCTGCACGCGTGGGGGTGTGTGTGCGCTCACGTGGGTGTGCACGCGCAAGTGGGTATTGTGTGCACATGGGTGTGTGCGTGCATGTGGGTGTGCATGCGCGTGTTGGTATCTGTGTGCGCGCATGTGTGGGTTTGCGCGTGTGGGTATCTGCGTGCTTGGGTGTGTGTGGGTGGGTGTGCATGTATGGATATGTGTGTGGGTATGTGTGGATGTGTGGATATGTGTGTGGGTATGTGTGTGTGTTGTGCGTGTGGGTGTGCACGTGTGTGGGTATGTGCGTGTGGGGGTATGTGTGCACGTGTGTGCACGCGAACGTGTATGTGCACGTGTGTGGGTGCATTGTGTCTGCACGAGGGTGTGTGTGCATGCATGTGTGCATGTGGGTGGGTGTGTGTGCACATGCATCTGTGGGTGTGTTTGCATGTGTATGGGTATGTGCACGCACGTGTGGGGGTGTGTGTGCACGTGTGCCCGTGTGTCCATGGGAGTGTGTGTGCGTGGGTATGTGTGGGTGTGCATGTGTGGGTATGTGTGCACGTGTGTGGATATGTGTGCACATGTGTGGGTGGGTGTGCACGTGCATGTGGGTATGTCTCTGTGCATGTGTGTGGGTATGTGCGTGTGGGTGGATATGTGTGCATGTGGGGGTGTGTGTGTGTGTGCACGCATGTGTGGGTAAGTGTGTGTGTGCATGTGGGCGTGCGCGTATGTGTGCATGTGTGTGTGGGGTATGTCTGTGTGCACACGTATGTGTCCGCGTGTGTGCACACAGGTGTGGGTCCGGGTGCACGGGTGTGGGTCTGTGTGCACGTGGGTGTGGGTTTGCGTGCATGTGGGTGCGTGTACGTGTGTGGGGGTGTGTGCACGCGTGTGGGTGTCTGCGTGTGTGTGGATGTGTGCGTGCGTGTGGATGTGTGCGTGTGGCTGTGTGCACGTGTGCCCGTGTGTATGTGCACGTGGGTATATGCCTGTGCGGGTATGGGTGTGCACACGTGTGATATATACACATGCATATGTGTGTGTGCATGTCTGTGCATGAACGTTCATGTCTTGGCCTGTGTATAGTGTGTGCACATGGTCACACGTATGGTTGTATGCATGCTACGTGTGCATGTATGTTTCGCGTTGTCATGAGGTGTGTGTGCATGTGTGTTTCATGTGTTTTCATGCATGCACATACGTGGGCATTTGTGTGCTGGATTGTTACAACAAGTGTCATGGTTCCCAGGGCACTAGTCCTGGCCCTTGGCATCTGGGGTCAGAGCCTGGTCTGTCTTACAAGCTGACAGCCAGCGGGGCCCAGGTAGCAGGTGCCTCTGATGAGGGCACAGAGAAGGCTCCAGGAATGCAGAGGCGGCGGTGGGTGCACTCGGCTGTGGGTGCCAGGGTGGCCGAGAGCAGGTGGGCCTGAGGGAGGCATCAGCCTGCGGCCGAGAGACTGTGGGAACCCCCCCTCCTCTGCCCAGGGTCCTCTCGTGGCCACGAGGACAGGGCTGGGCGCACTGGTGTCCTGGACAAACCACCTCGCTTCCACGGGACCCAGTGTCCTCATCTGCAAAGTGGGGTGGTAGTAATTCCTTTTTTTTTTTTTTTTAAGGCGGAGTCTTACTCTGTCACCCAGGCTGGAGTGCAATGGTGCAATCTCGGCTCACTGCAGCCTCCGCCTCCTGGGTTCGAGCAATTCTCCTGTGTCAGCCTCCTGTGTGGCTTGGATTACAGGCTTGTGCCACCACACCCAGCTAATTTTTTTATTTTTAGTAGAGATGGGGTTTCGCTGTGTTGGCCAGGCTGGTCTCGAACTCCTGACCTCAAGTGATCCACCTGCCTTGGCCTCCCAAAGTGCTGAGATTACAGGCATGAGCCACCGCGCCCGGCAAGGGTGGTAGTGATTCTGATGAGGGAGGGTCTCTGGAGCTTCGGACAGCCGCTCTGACCCTCAGATGGGAACCGCTGTGGTTTCTGCTGCTCTGGGCACTGGTAGGGGCTCCAGAAACTGACCGCTTCTGTGGATTTGAAAGCCTAGGTGTGCCGTCTCTCCTTGCAACCCTCTGGCTCTGGCTGGCTTGTGTGGACAGTCCCCCACCCCTACACATCCACCTTCAGGGACACAACCTTGTGCTCATGGGCAGGCCTGCCTGGTGCCCCTGCCCACCTCTGCCCTCCACTGAGTCAGCACGTGGTGCTGAATGACCCCCCATGGCCGCCCAGCACTGGGACCTGGGCCTTCTAGAGGGGAGGGGGAACTCACAGCAGGGCTGTGCCCCAGGGCCAGCTGCCTCAGTGCGGGGAAGGACCAGGCATGGGATGGCGTCCTGCTGGGGGGAGCCCAGGGTAGCTGAGGTGGGGTCCTGGAGGTGGGAAGGCTGAGGCCAGCTGCCTCCATTCGGGGGAGGACCAGGGAAGGGATGGGGCCATGGGAGGGGAGCCCAGGGTGGCCGAGGTTGGTTCCGAAGGGGAGGTTGAGGGGGAGGCTGAGGTCGGGCCTCCTGGGGCTGCTCTTTGCCCAGCAGGTGGCCTGTCCAGCCCCAGGGCTCTGCTGGCTCTGAGGACAGGAGGCCAGATCCTGGCCCCAAAAGGCCACAGATAGGTTCCTTCACTCATCCAGTGTGTCCCATGAGGGAAGGGCCCGCCAGGAGAGGGGCCAGGAGGGCATGGGCGAAGGTGTTAGAGGGGTGTGGACTGATGCCAGGCGGGCACCAGATGGAGCCTGGGAGATGGGCACCATGGCAACTTGCAGTTCCGAAGAGCGCTGGCTGCTTTGGAGGGCGGGGCCTGTTGAGTGCCTCGTGAGCCCCTGCCTGTGTTCCTGCCGTTCGGGTATGAGAACACAGCGGGGCTTACCCGGTGTGCAGGGTGTCCTTACACGCATGACACGCACGCCCGCACATCCTGGAAACCTCGCCTGGGATGACATCTGTTCACGGCCCTACCCGTTGGCTCGTCTCCACATGCGGCAGAGCTGGTTTCCTTCCCCGGTGACCCAGGTCTTGCTTTGCTGGCCGCCCCCTGCCTCCTTGTCCCCACGGCCCTGTCTGGTCCTCACTCCAAGCCGTCCTGGTTCCCTCTTCCTCGTGTGTGGGGAACAACCTGGAGACCTGAGCAGGAAGCCTAGGCTGCCCTCACTGTCTTCTAGCTCACGCCACCTCCAGGCAGCCTTCCCAGATGCCCCATTAGCCTGCAGCCCTGGCAGAGCATGCCAGGTGAGGTCAGCTGTGCCACCTCGGGCAGCCCTGCCCACACTGACCCTGTTTCTTGGCTCGTCCAGTGGGGTAGAGATGACAACACCTTTGGGGGTGTGCTGGGCCAGGAGATGGGGTGTTGAGGGGTGTTGGGAGCTGAGAAGTTGCAGGTGCTCAGTGGCAAAAGGCACTGGGGGTGGCCGGAAAATCTCCAGGGCCAAGTGGAGGGCAGCCGGACAGAAAGCTCCTAGGGAAGGGCATGGATTGGAGCTGGGTGCGGTGGGACGGGGCAGGCCCAGGGGATAGAGCCAGCGGGTCAGTGTGCCCTCCCCTGCCCAGGGGACACCAAGGCTGGCCCCCACCATGCCATCCTGTGGGCAGCAGATGGACCGAGCTTCCTCAAAGCCTGGCTCAGCTCAGGTGTCCTGATTTGGAAGCCGGGCTCAGCTCAATACTCCGAAGTTGGGAGGGATGCTGTACTGTCAGTTCCCCTCTGGGATGAGGGGCTCCATGGACCAGCAGCTGCAGAACGGGGTTTCCCCATGGTTCCCAGGACAGAAGCAGCACCAGAGGGGCCTGGCAGTGGGTTTGGCAAGGGGACGGATTCGAGGCAGCAGGTGGCACACGGGAGCCCTGCTGCCTGGCAGAGGCAGCACCACCTTCTCAGGGACAGTGAGGTCCCCGCACCTCAGAGGCTGGAAGGGCCTTGAGCCCCCGCTGTCCAGAGCCTGGTGTGTGGCCAGCAGATAGCAGCCAGCAACATGGTCTCCCGTGTTTGACAGAGTCCATGTTCCCTTCCCAGCCCCAGAGGGGCAAGGTGGGGTGACTGGGATCTGGGAGGGAGATGGGGGTCCCCCTGTAGCCCCTGAGACCCTGACCTCTCAGGGGTATCTGAACCCCAGAATTGGGAACTGGGCAGGCTCTGGTCACTCTGCCAACCCTATGTCCCCCTGGCGAAGCCAGGGTGGTGTCCAGTGGCTGGCTGCAGGACTGCAGGCTCTGGCCACCTCCTCGCCACACTGTGAGGTGTGGGGTCTGGGGTGAGAGGTCAGGGTGCTGAGGCCCAGCCTGGAATGCAGCAAGTCCAGGTGGGGCTGTGGAGCCCAGAGCAGGGGCAGGGGCCTGGCCGGCCCTCAGCCATGGCCACTCTCACCACACTGCTCTCCCGCAGACGGCGCCCCGCTCAGCGAGCTGTCCTGGCCATCCTCCCTCGCCGTGGTGGCTGTGTCTTTCTCCGGGCTCTTCGCCGTCATCGTCCTCATGCTGGCCTGCCTGTGCTGTAAGAAGGGCGGTATCGGGTTCAAGGTGAGGCCTGGGGGCCGCGGGAGCTGTCGTGGGATCCCGCAGGCAAGGCCTGTAGCGTCCACTTGACCCTGAGCTTCCCTCCTTCCTGGGGCCATCAAGGTGGCTGCTGGGTGGCCGTAGTTGCTGTG
This sequence comes from Homo sapiens, assembly GCF_000001405.40. Classification (NCBI taxonomy): domain Eukaryota; kingdom Metazoa; phylum Chordata; class Mammalia; order Primates; family Hominidae; genus Homo; species Homo sapiens. The sequence goes on along the minus strand of NC_000017.11, from coordinate 81,134,239 downwards.
GGGCCACCTGGGGACCACGTGGACCCTGGCCCAGGGACTCCATAGCTCCTCCTCAGGGACCTGCCCCAGCTTCCTCGACTTTGAGGCCCTCTGTGGGGGGCGTGGTCTGACGCTCCCACTCCAGCCTGGGGTTGGGCCCGAGCACTCACGGAGGCTGAGGACAGCCTTGCAGGGGGCGTCGGGGGCTCTGGAGCTGGTGTGGGAGGGGGCTTGCCTCCCTAGAGGCCCGACTCCTGGTGGAGGAGCTGCCTCTGCAAGGGGCTCTCACGTCCCTCCGAATTCAATCTGCAAAGGGGAGTCCGGGCTGCCCAGACAAGCTTCCCGGCACAGGGACCTTCTTGCCAGTTGGAGTCACCTTGCGCGGGGTATCTTCTGCCTTCTGGAGGGGACGATGTGTGATGCTAGAGCCCAGCCTGCTGGTTAGGGAGCCCCGCCAAGGGTGAGGCCTGGCCTCACTAGGCTGCCCCTCTGGAGGCCAAGGCCCCTGGCCAAGGACAGGTGCCAAGCACTGCTCCTCCCCCTGCAAACCCCCAGCCCACCTCCAGCTGTAACTCTGAGCAGCAGGGAGGGCCAGGCAGAAGGAACCCCGGCCAGCATCGCCTCCCCCTCCCAGAGTCTCCATGGGTCCCATTCCTGCTGATGAGCAAATGACACCCTGGCCTGGACCTCTGGTGGTTCACACGCCCACGGGGGTCAGCCCCACCCCTGGGCCAGAGGTCAGATTCCTACGCCAGGAGAAGTCAGGGAGGGAGGAGGGTGGGAGGAGGCATTCTGCAGCGCGCACAGCACCCTGTCTGTATCTCAGGGTGCCTTCCTACTAAGTGACCCATGACTCAGCTGGCGCCACCCCCATTTGGGAGACAGTCCCAGAGTCCTCCCTGCCCCTGGTATGTCATGACGCAGAATGGGCCAAGGAGCTGGCTCTGCCCACCTGTCCCGCTGGCCTGGCAGGTGACGGTGCTGGATGTGGCCTTTTTGCCTTTTCTAAAGGCCACATTTTCCAGCCCATTCAACCTTCCAGAGCCCTCTGAAGTGGCCACAGGCCCCATCAACCAGTGAGGAGCTGCGTGCCTGGGGGGCAAAGCTGTGGCCCCAGGCTGTGGGGTCTGCACTCCTGCCCAGAGCCCCCACCCTGCTCTGGGATGTACCCCTGACCCGCTGGCACCAGGGGCCAGGCCAGGCCGCGCAGGCGCCTTCCTGGGGATCCCGAGGCCAGAGCCTCAAGGTCTTGGCGGGAGCAGGAGTGGAGGTGGGGCCTGGGTGGGACGAGTGGGGCTATTGTATAAGTGGCCCCTCCTTGGGGCACTGTAAGAACAAGGCCCCAAACAAGGGCTGGCCATAGCTCCTCCTCCTGCGCCCTCCTCACCTCCTTGGGAACATGGTGCCCGGAACATTCCAGCACCAGTGTGCCCCTGGGAAGTCCTGCCTCCACACTGGGCTCCCTCCTGGGATTTGGGGACCTGCGCTGGGCTCCCTGGTGGGGAGCTGTGCTGAGGGAAGGGGCTGGGCAGGCCCCCAATGCTGACCCTGTGCTACCTGATTGCACGCTGTATCGGCAGGACCCGGCTGGCCCCCGGGCAGCAGGTAATGCCTGGAGCCCGGGCCCGACCCCAGGGAGAGACAGCATCTGTGTCCTGGGCCCCTCTACAAAGCCCAGATGGGTGGGGCCAGGCCGGGGCTGGGATTGGAGGGCCCAAGAGGGGGCTTCTGGGGTGGTCTTCTGGGTCCCGGGGAGGGGAAGTTGCCCACGCAGCACCTGCGTCCCCCATCCCTGAGTGGCTGTGTGCTCCGAAAGGGCAGGCTGGGCCTGGCCTGCGGGAATACCGACAGAGCCACCTGCCCCTCTCTTTGCAGCCCAGGGAAGGGAGGCGTCCCCAGGGTCACACGTCGTACTTGAGGAGCCCAGGCCTCCCCTCCCACTGCACCTGCCTGTCCTCGGACTCACCAGCCCGGGTGCTGGCCAGCATCCAGCTGGAAGTCCCTTGACTCCTCTGAGCCTCAGCTTCCCCACCAGGGCACTGGGGGTTGTGAGGAAGGACAGAAAGGCTGTACCAAGTGCTCAGGGATTGGGGCTGTCATTGTGTGCCTGGAGCAATTGCTTTCAGCTGGGCCCAGGACTTTGGAGACTTTGGCTCTCAGCGCAGGAATGTGCCCTGGACTTGGGGGTGGGGTATCCCCTATACAGGTGCAGCCTCTACATTTCAAAATAGCAGCCTGGCAGGGAGTGGCCCAGCCCTAGGCTGCACGGGGCCAGGCTCTTAAGGAGTTCTGGGAGCTCCGGAGGTGGTGTGGCCACCAGGTGAAGGTCCAAGGCTGCTGGGGCAGATGGCGGTGGCAGGTGGGCTGCCCAGGGTAAAGGTGGCCGGTTGGCTCTGGGCTCCCAGACATCCAGGAATGCTCCTTGTCCCGGCAGGGGTGGGGGCACTTAATTGCTTCTCCCACAGGACTGTGGGGCAGGGGGTGATGGAATTCCTGTCCCCGAAGCTGCGCCATGGGAGGGTGGGACCCCAGGCACAGCCCGGGGTGAGGGGCTGCTCGGGATGTGGGTGGCTGAGAGGTGCTGGGGGCTGATTCTGGATGGGCAGGGCCAGCTGGCCTGAGTGCCCTCACCTCTGTCCCTTGGTTCCCTGCCTCTAGACCCTCAGGCCCCAAGGTGGGGCTCAGCCTGGGCTGCCCGCCAGGGAGGGATGGGGGAACTGAGGCCAGGCTGAGGCGCTGGTGCCTACAGCTCATCGCGCCCTTTCTGGAGTCTGAGATGGGTCCTCTTGGCTCTGGGATCTGCCTCTGGCCCCTCATGGAACAACTGAGCCTCTGGTCGGGGGCGTGGGGGTCAGCAAGAGGAGACAGATGGAAGGGCAGTTAGCAGGGGTGCTGGGCCATTGGCCTGCAGGGGCGGTGGCTCCAACTCTGGGCCGAGCACCCCCTCCTGCCCTGCCCTGGGAGCTCGGCCCTGGAAGAAAGGGGCCTTTCCAGGCCCAGCCACACCCTTCCTTGACCTGCGAGAAGCCCCGCTCATGCCCGGCCCGGCCCGCAGGAGTTTGAGAATGCGGAGGGGGACGAGTACGCAGCCGACCTGGCGCAGGGCTCCCCGGCCACGGCAGCACAGAACGGGCCCGACGTGTACGTCCTGCCACTCACGGAGGTCTCCTTGCCCATGGCCAAGCAGCCTGGGCGCTCAGGTGAGGGCTGGGTGGGGAGATGGGGTGGCCTCCCTCCGGGGCCCAGGTGCTGGGCGTTGGGTGTGATCTGGGGAGACCGGAAGACTCAGCTCTGGAGTGGGGGCAGCACAGGGCTGGGAGTGGCCTGTGGGGTAGACGCAGTGTGCAGCCCTGGACTCCCTGTGGCTGCGTCACAGGCCGCACTGTGGGGCCAAAGGTGCATGTACCTCTTTCTCCTGGGCCTGGGGGCCGGCCAGGGGTTGGCAGGGTCCAGGACAGCCCTCGGCCTCCAGCCTCCCCTGCCCAAGGGGCTGCTATGCACAGGGACAGGGGTGGGCACGGGGCAGGGGTGGGCACTGGGGCAGGGGTGCGGGCTCTCTGGTCCTGGACATGGCCATGTGCTGGGGGCAGGGGCTCTTCTGCAGTCCAGGGATGCTTGACCCCAGATTCCTGCCCCCTTGAGCGCCAGCCCTTCAGGGACACGGGTTCCATTGTGCATGGCAGGAGGAGGGGCGCTGGTGGGGCCCGTGTGGGCGGGTGGTGAATTAGCCTTTCACTCAGGCTGCGAGGAGGGGCCGAGGGGTGGGGCTGACCCAGGAGTGCAGGTGCAGGCAGGGCCTCAGCCACAGCCTCATCTGCCCCCATCCTAGGGTCCTAGGCCGACCACTCACATGGGGCGGACGTGCTGGGGAGTTTGGGGGTGAATGGCCAGGCTTCAGGACCTCCCAGTTCTGTCTTGGAGCCTAGGTGGTGGGTGCGGGTCCCTCCAGAGCTATCAGATCTCAAGCCCCCTCCCAGGAAGCTTCCAGCCTGAGGCTTCCCCCATCACTGCCCACCCCCAGCTCCTCTGGGAACACAGAGGCAGGAGGGGTATCAGGCCAGTGGGAGGGGCCCCTGCCAGCCCTGTTGGGGCTCTGTTGGCACCAGGGCCTGTTACTGCGGTGCCATGCAGGCCACCTCACCTGCTCTGAGCCGTGCCTGGCTGGACCCTGAGAGCTGGCTATGAACTGTGCCTGGCTGGGCCCTGAGAGCCTAGCCTTCATCGTGGGCTGAGAGGCCCAAGGCACTGGTCTGGGACCTAGAGAGGGCCCCCAGCCCCCAGCTTTGGAGCCAAGGCCTCAACGCCTGTCCTACTCTGCCCCATCTCCTGGAGGACAGGTTCCCAGTTCGGCAGGAATCAGGGCTGGCACTTGAGCTCGAGTACATCTGTGGGCGGGCGCGGAGGACTGCAGCCACCCACTCAGAGCGTGAGGCCCTCGGACCTTCCCGGATGGCTGTGGGGGTCCCTGAGCCCTGTGCTGACCCTGCTGGGAGCTGCCAGGGACCATCCGAGGGGGTACTGCCCTTGGGTCCAGGGGCAGGTGTGTGCCTGGCCCCCGAAGATTCTCAGAGCCACCTCTGGAGGATTGCTGTGGGGACTGGGGTTGGCGAACAGGAGCCCGAAAGAAGGCACTGGTTACCTGTCTCTCTACTTTTGCAGCTCTGGTTTCAGTTTTCTGGGGGAGGAATGTGCTTCTAGGGAGGAGAGAGATTGGGGTGAGGTCAGAAAAGTAGCCCCAGAGGTCAGCGGGGAGAAACCTGGGCAATGGCCCCACCCGCTGGGGACCGCAGAGAAGGACGGCTGCCTGCTGCCTCCGGCAGTGCCCAGGGCCTCTGAACTGTCTCAGCACCCATGGTCAGGACCCCCACACTTGCTCAGGGACAGTGTGGGCCTGGGCGCCCCAGGGTGAGAGAGGGCCGCCCAGACAGGCTGGGCTCAGGACACAGCACCCGGTGGGCCCACACGCTCAATTCTGCCCTGCCCCGCCTCTACATTCTCTGGGTCTCCAGGCCCTGGAAGGAGCCCCCTCCCCCTGGGCTCTCCTGGCAGCCAGGCTCAGACCCAGGCCTGTCAGCCCTCTGGGCAGTTGACGTGGGAGCAGAATTCGGGGAATCCCTCGGGGCGTGGGCAGGCATGAGTGGGCTCTGCCAGCGCTGGCCCCTTCGTCCCGGGCCTCACTGACCCTTCCTCCCGCTGACCTCACCCGGCCTGGCCCTCGGGGAGAATGGGCCAGTGTGCTCCGTGCGGGGCCGTGCCAAGCAGCCCCCAACAAAGGAGCCTTTGGTGCGCCCGGCGTGGGATGCCAGCCTGCGGCAGGGTGGGGGTGGGCCGCTCCAGTGCCCTCTCTGTGCCGTGGCCCCAGCCTCTTGCTCAGCCACACTGCCTGCCTGGTGCAGCCCATGTGACGGGTCGAGCTCCGGGCCCTGCTGTCCCTGGCCGGGCTATCCCAGTGGCTTCAGGCACCTTCTCCAGACCTACCCAGAAAGATGCCCGGATGGATCCTGCAGCTCCGTGGCTTTTCTGGGAAGCAGCGGCCCCTGCTCTCAAGAGACCCTGGCTCCTGATGGTGGCCCCAAGGTTGCCAGCTGGTGCTAGGGACTCAGGACAGTTTCCCAGAAAAGGCCAAGCGGGCAGCCCCTCCAGGGGCCGGGTGAGGAAGCTGGGGGGTGCGGAGGCCACACTGGGTCCCTGAACCCCCTGCTTGGTTACAGTGCAGCTCCTCAAGTCCACAGACGTGGGCCGGCACAGCCTCCTGTACCTGAAGGAAATCGGCCGTGGCTGGTTCGGGAAGGTACGTGTCCCGCCTGGGAGGGAGGACTCCCGCCTGGGAGGCAGAAGGGACACAGGGCTGCAGACCTGCTCCTCCTAGGAGCCACCCCAGCCCCGACGGTCCCTTCTTCAGTCTCTGGGCCCTGCTGGACCCTTCCCCAGGGAGGTCCTCAGCATCTGGCTGCATCCCCTTCTCCCTAGGGGGTCCTGGGGTCAGAGGTACCTGGGGAGGGGCCCTGGGAGGGAGAGGAGCAGCCTCTTGCTCATGGCCTTCCCCTGACCTTGGCCTAAACGAGACACCTGGGTCCCTCTTCCTCACTTCAAACCCCCAGAGAGAGAGAGAGAGAGGGCAGCGGGGGACCTTGTGGGGAGAGTAACACGAAAGACTCAGAATATTACAGCCAGAGGGTTGCCGGGAGGGATCCGGAAGCCATACCTCACGCTGCAATGAGTGGACGGGGCACAGGAGGAGAAGTGTCCTGTCCTGGGGGCCGGCGTGGGGCGGGTGGGAGAAGAGTAAGGCCTGGAAGCCGGGGCCGGTGGAGGCGGAGCAGCCGTGGGTGATGCTGTCTGTCCCACAGGTGTTCCTGGGGGAGGTGAACTCTGGCATCAGCAGTGCCCAGGTGGTGGTGAAGGAGCTGCAGGCTAGTGCCAGCGTGCAGGAGCAGATGCAGTTCCTGGAGGAGGTGCAGCCCTACAGGTGGGAGGCCACCGGGCACAAAGGCCTGTGCTGTGCGGCCCCCTCCTCTCCCTCCCCTGCTCGGCCCGACTCCCCCTCCCCACCTCCTCCCAAGTCAGGGGCCGCCTGTCCACTCCCGCAGGGCCCTGAAGCACAGCAACCTGCTCCAGTGCCTGGCCCAGTGCGCCGAGGTGACGCCCTACCTGCTGGTGATGGAGTTCTGCCCACTGGTGAGCTGCTGCCCGGGGGGATGCTGGGGTCTTTGCTGAGCCGGGGCCCTCCCTTGCCCTGCCAGTGTCTGGTGCCACCCCCTCCTTGGGGGCCTCACATCCTCCCTAAAGCCAAGACCCAGGGACCCTGCCCCCACCACCTTCCAGAGGAGGCGATGGGGAGACCTAGCCTCACCAGGGAGGGACTGTGGGGGCTGGGCACAGAACAGGCCTGGGCTGGGGCTCCCTGCACCCCTGGGGAGCTGCCAGCTGCTTGGTCACCTGCTTGTGTGCCCTGTGGTTCAGGAGGAGGCATCCTGGGCCAACTGGGGGGGGGCACTGGCCCACTTGGGCTCCACGGCCTCACTCAGGCTTGCTTTTGCCATGGGGGGCTGGGCCTGGCCACTTCCCCAGGCTGCCTGGAGTTCTGGGCCTGCCCATCAACGCCCCCCGCCCCGGGGACCTGTCCCCCCCTCCCCCTGAGACCTGCCCATCAACGCCCCCCTGCCCCGGGGACCCGTCTCCCCCTCCCCCGAGACCTGCCCCCCACCCCCTTCCACATATGCAGCTCCTGCACTGAGCCGAGGCTGTCTGTGGCTGGGCTGGATCCCCTGCTGGCTTCCCTCGGGACAGGGGCCCTCACACACTGGCGTCTGGACTCCTGACGTTGACCGTCCCGGGGCTGGGCTTTCGGCAGGTCAGGGGCTGCCGGCCAACCCTCGACCACCAGCCCCAGACTCCATCAAGCAGATCCACTTGGGCCCTGTGTTTCTCTCTCTACCACAGGCCAAGGGACTCCTGCTGCCCGGGGCTGGCTGAGGGGCAGTGGAGAGGAAGCCTTCAGTCCAGCCCAGCCCTGGGGGACACGGCCCCCCTCCAGGAACTGCTGGGTGCTGGCCACTGTGCAGGGCACGAGGCTGCTCTGGGCAGCTGCTGTCCCTCAGCTGTGGGTAGGGGTGGAGGAGTTGGGGAGGTAGGTGGGGACCTCCCAGGGTGGCCAGCCCCCAGCCTGCTGGTGACTGCGCCACACCCCCTTTCTGCAGGGGGACCTCAAGGGCTACCTGCGGAGCTGCCGGGTGGCGGAGTCCATGGCTCCCGACCCCCGGACCCTGCAGCGCATGGCCTGTGAGGTGGCCTGTGGCGTCCTGCACCTTCATCGCAACAATTTCGTGCACAGGTGAGGGCGGGCGCGGGCCAGCGGCCGGGAAGCCCTAGGCCAGGCCCCTCCCCTGAAGGAAGGGCATAGGGCGGGTCCTGCCTCAGGGGGCTTGCGAGGACCGGCCAGGTTCATCTCATGCAGCATCAGACAACCACTATGCAGAGGGATTTTATGACGTTTTTGAAAAATTGGGAAGACAATGGTTTGACACCCACTTTGCAGGTTTAGACGAAGAGATGCGTACTGTCAAGCTGGCCTGTTCTCTGTCCCCGAGGCAGTCAGCCAGCACCCTGCAGCCCCGCGCCAACCCCACACTCTGCTAAGCCCTCGCTTTGGGGCTTGAGGGAGACAGACCCTGCTTCGAAGGACCCTGGAGGGAGGGTTCTGTCCTGCTTGGGCCAGGATGCCCAGCCCCTGGGGACCCCGGGGGGACATGCTGGAAGAAGTGGCGAAGGACACGTGGCCCCGTCAGCCCCAGACGCCGCACGGCTGTCCTCTCCAACAATATCCTGGTGCTGAGTGATGACTCAGGCGACTCCAGCATCAGTGATTTTGTTGAAGAGGGCAGCTGCCAGCCTCCCGACCTGCCTGCCGGGCCCCAGCTGCCCTGCCCCCAACCCCAACCCACCCCACTCCACCCCCTAGGCCCAGGACACATGGCCCTGTAGCGATCCCCTGGCACGCAGACATGGGTTTTATGTGGGGAGGGACAGGCTGGGTTGGCCTCTGTCCCCACCCTGAGTCCTGAGCACAGAAGTAATACGGCAGCTGTGGTAATATCTACCCAGTACCCTGTGCCTCCTCACACCCACGTGACCAGCCAGGCAGGGTTCAAAGCCAGCAGCCAAGGCAGGCTGGGTTGGAGGTAGTGCCAGGCGTAACCTGCATTCTTTCCAGACCCTACCCAACCCTGGGGCCAGTGGTGGCTCAAGTGAGAGTGAGCTCCAGCTCTGAGTGGGCATGGCAGGGCTGGACCCTAAAACTGGACTCCGGCAGCCGGCAGGACCCCTGGGACACTCCAGGCCTCAGTTTCCCCATCAATTCCCACCTCCTGGGGAGCCGAGAGTGATAGTGTAGTAGAGCTAGGAGGAGAGGGTCCTGGAGAAGCGTGGACCGGTCCGGGTGGGTTCCGGCAGGTTCTCACCCTCTCTAGGCCCCATTCTCCTCTGCACTGTAACATTTGAGGCCCACGCACACAGTCCCTCCCCAGGTCTCAGGGTTGGGCACAGAGTAGGGCCCTGGGCAGGGATGGGGGGTGGCAGTGTCTCCAACGCCCCTTCCAGCCTGGACTGTGAGCCATCCAAGTGTTGGCAAAGGACCCTGTGCTGGATGCCCCCGCCCGGCACACCCCACTGACCCTCCCCCTGCCCCCACCCGGCACACCCTGCTCACCCTGCTCACCCTGCCCCTGCCCCTGCCCCTGCCTGCAGCGACCTGGCCCTGCGGAACTGCCTGCTCACGGCTGACCTGACGGTGAAGATTGGTGACTATGGCCTGGCTCACTGCAAGTACAGAGTGAGTGGGGTGGGGTGGGCTGGGCTGGGCATGAGGGGCAGGGCCTGCGCCGGCAGGGGTGACCCGTCCCTGTGCCAACAGGAGGACTACTTCGTGACTGCCGACCAGCTGTGGGTGCCTCTGCGCTGGATCGCGCCAGAGCTGGTGGACGAGGTGCATAGCAACCTGCTCGTCGTGGACCAGACCAAGAGCGGGAATGTGTGGTGAGTGCGGCCCTGGTGGCACCGTGAGGGGCCGAGGCCGAGTGCCACCTGCCCACCCATGTCAAATCATGGCCATGAGTAGTGAGGTCAGGGGGCTGCCGGAGCCACCTGTAGTGGCCACACGCCAGCAGCCCAAGTGGCTGGTTGGGTGGCGACCCCACACCGGGGGAGATACCACCCTGACAGGGTGCCCCAGGGACCCCATGGTGGGGTCAAGGCATACGTACAGGGCCAACGGCCCGTCTTCAGCATGCCGGGGGGTCTGTCCTGAGACGGGGGCCTTGGTGAGTACCTGTCCCTGGGGAGAGGGTCTGGGTGGGGTGTTGGCTGCCTTCACGGGAGCGTAGGTCGGGCCGTGCCAGGCAGAGGGGCTGACGGTGGTGCTGGGATCTCCCACGGCCGCAGCCTGGAAGCCCCTATCCTGAGTGCCTAGCCCGGAGCGTTCATTCACACCTGGTGTAGACTCGGAAGGGGCAGGGCCGAGCCGCCAGGGGAGTGGTCCGCCCCGGGGTGGGCGCCCCTCCCTGCCTCACCTCTGCTGCTTCCCCAACCGCCCCCACCACTCCCGGGCTTTGGTCTGGCCGCCTTCTGCTTCTGGGGAACTCTCAGATCCCACGGGCCAGGCCCCCTCCCTGAGCTTTTGGGGCCTCCCCTAAGCCACTTGACTGCCCCATCATGGACACTGTCCCCTCCTCACCTCTCCACCAAGGTGCCCCTTCCTGGCCTGCCCACCCACTGCACGCTGGCTGGGGTCTCCAGTCACAGGGCTCTGGCCAAGGTCATGGTGACGTCTTGCCAAATCACCTCTGTCTCACTCTGCAGCCTCTTGGGACAGCCAGGGACCAAAGTGGCTGGGTGAAGCCACAGCCCACGGGGAAGGAGACCCCAGTTACCCTACCCGCCTGCACGCTCTGTGCACCCCTGCCTGTTACCCAGCCCTGCCCATGCTGGCCTGAGGCGTCCCCTCTCTCCCCTTCCTTCCCCCTCCCTCCCCCTCCCTCAGCCCCCTGCTGGTGCGGGCCCTACTCCGCTTTGGGCTCCACGCCCGCCCTCCAGCTCCCCCAGGGCAGCTCCCACACCGGGCAGTGTCTGGTCTTCAGTGCATCAGTGAATGAATGAATGAGTGGACAAGCAGATGGATTCGGCCAGCCCGGCCTTTATGTGCAGGCTCCACAGGTGCTGGGCTTGGGCCTGGCAGGGTGCACATTGCCTGCTGAAAGGACGCGCTGTCCTCAGGGAGGGGCGGCTGGTATGGTACCAGGCCCCGGTCCTGAGGCACTGGCGTGATGGCGGGAGCTGCCCCATTCGGCGCCCCGGGGATCCTGCGCGGTCCTTGCTGTGGCAGGCTGTGCCCAGCCCTGGCTCACGGCTGTCGCCCCACAGGTCCCTGGGCGTGACCATCTGGGAGCTCTTTGAGCTGGGCACGCAGCCCTATCCCCAGCACTCGGACCAGCAGGTGCTGGCGTACACGGTCCGGGAGCAGCAGCTCAAGCTGCCCAAGCCCCAGCTGCAGCTGACCCTGTCGGACCGCTGGTGAGGGCCCCACTGCCCTGTCCCGGACAGCCAGGCCGAGATGGGGTATCCTGATCCCCAGGCAGAGGCGGCTCACCCTGACCCCCTGGCGTTCCAGCCCTGCCTGGTCTCCCCTCCCCTCTGGTAGGGCCTCCACCCGCCACCTCTGCACCCCTGTGTACAGGGAGGGAAGGCTTAAGGATAGTGCCCAGCCCACCTCCTGCTCCCACGCTGCTGGGCTTGCCTTGGCAGATTTGGGGTGTCAATTAAGTGGGAGATACCCTTAATGCCCCCAAGACACTGGGAGTTAGGGGAACCCCCATCCCTGCTCCAGGGACGCGTTCCTGGCCAGCGTTGCCTCTGACGTGGCCCCCGGGGGACCTCCTCGCAGGTACGAGGTGATGCAGTTCTGCTGGCTGCAGCCCGAGCAGCGGCCCACAGCCGAGGAGGTGCACCTGCTGCTGTCCTACCTGTGTGCCAAGGGCGCCACCGAAGCAGAGGAGGAGTTTGAACGGCGCTGGCGCTCTCTGCGGCCCGGCGGGGGCGGCGTGGGGCCCGGGCCCGGTGCGGCGGGGCCCATGCTGGGCGGCGTGGTGGAGCTCGCCGCTGCCTCGTCCTTCCCGCTGCTGGAGCAGTTCGCGGGCGACGGCTTCCACGCGGACGGCGACGACGTGCTGACGGTGACCGAGACCAGCCGAGGCCTCAATTTTGAGTACAAGTGGGAGGCGGGCCGCGGCGCGGAGGCCTTCCCGGCCACGCTGAGCCCTGGCCGCACCGCACGCCTGCAGGAGCTGTGCGCCCCCGACGGCGCGCCCCCGGGCGTGGTTCCGGTGCTCAGCGCGCACAGCCCGTCGCTGGGCAGCGAGTACTTCATCCGCCTAGAGGAGGCCGCACCCGCCGCCGGCCACGACCCTGACTGCGCCGGCTGCGCCCCCAGTCCACCTGCCACCGCGGACCAGGACGACGACTCTGACGGCAGCACCGCCGCCTCGCTGGCCATGGAGCCGCTGCTGGGCCACGGGCCACCCGTCGACGTCCCCTGGGGCCGCGGCGACCACTACCCTCGCAGAAGCTTGGCGCGGGACCCGCTCTGCCCCTCACGCTCTCCCTCGCCCTCGGCGGGGCCCCTGAGTCTGGCGGAGGGAGGAGCGGAGGATGCAGACTGGGGCGTGGCCGCCTTCTGTCCTGCCTTCTTCGAGGACCCACTGGGCACGTCCCCTTTGGGGAGCTCAGGGGCGCCCCCGCTGCCGCTGACTGGCGAGGATGAGCTAGAGGAGGTGGGAGCGCGGAGGGCCGCCCAGCGCGGGCACTGGCGCTCCAACGTGTCAGCCAACAACAACAGCGGCAGCCGCTGTCCAGAGTCCTGGGACCCCGTCTCTGCGGGCGGCCACGCTGAGGGCTGCCCCAGTCCAAAGCAGACCCCACGGGCCTCCCCCGAGCCGGGGTACCCTGGAGAGCCTCTGCTTGGGCTCCAGGCAGCCTCTGCCCAGGAGCCAGGCTGCTGCCCCGGCCTCCCTCATCTATGCTCTGCCCAGGGCCTGGCACCTGCTCCCTGCCTGGTTACACCCTCCTGGACAGAGACAGCCAGTAGTGGGGGTGACCACCCGCAGGCAGAGCCCAAGCTTGCCACGGAGGCTGAGGGCACTACCGGACCCCGCCTGCCCCTTCCTTCCGTCCCCTCCCCATCCCAGGAGGGAGCCCCACTTCCCTCGGAGGAGGCCAGTGCCCCCGACGCCCCTGATGCCCTGCCTGACTCTCCCACGCCTGCTACTGGTGGCGAGGTGTCTGCCATCAAGCTGGCTTCTGCCCTGAATGGCAGCAGCAGCTCTCCCGAGGTGGAGGCACCCAGCAGTGAGGATGAGGACACGGCCGAGGCCACCTCAGGCATCTTCACCGACACGTCCAGCGACGGCCTGCAGGCCAGGAGGCCGGATGTGGTGCCAGCCTTCCGCTCTCTGCAGAAGCAGGTGGGGACCCCCGACTCCCTGGACTCCCTGGACATCCCGTCCTCAGCCAGTGATGGTGGCTATGAGGTCTTCAGCCCGTCGGCCACTGGCCCCTCTGGAGGGCAGCCGCGAGCGCTGGACAGTGGCTATGACACCGAGAACTATGAGTCCCCTGAGTTTGTGCTCAAGGAGGCGCAGGAAGGGTGTGAGCCCCAGGCCTTTGCGGAGCTGGCCTCAGAGGGTGAGGGCCCCGGGCCCGAGACACGGCTCTCCACCTCCCTCAGTGGCCTCAACGAGAAGAATCCCTACCGAGACTCTGCCTACTTCTCAGACCTCGAGGCTGAGGCCGAGGCCACCTCAGGCCCAGAGAAGAAGTGCGGCGGGGACCGAGCCCCCGGGCCAGAGCTGGGCCTGCCGAGCACTGGGCAGCCGTCTGAGCAGGTCTGTCTCAGGCCTGGGGTTTCCGGGGAGGCACAAGGCTCTGGCCCCGGGGAGGTGCTGCCCCCACTGCTGCAGCTTGAAGGGTCCTCCCCAGAGCCCAGCACCTGCCCCTCGGGCCTGGTCCCAGAGCCTCCGGAGCCCCAAGGCCCAGCCAAGGTGCGGCCTGGGCCCAGCCCCAGCTGCTCCCAGTTTTTCCTGCTGACCCCGGTTCCGCTGAGATCAGAAGGCAACAGCTCTGAGTTCCAGGGGCCCCCAGGACTGTTGTCAGGGCCGGCCCCACAAAAGCGGATGGGGGGCCCAGGCACCCCCAGAGCCCCACTCCGCCTGGCTCTGCCCGGCCTCCCTGCGGCCTTGGAGGGCCGGCCGGAGGAGGAGGAGGAGGACAGTGAGGACAGCGACGAGTCTGACGAGGAGCTCCGCTGCTACAGCGTCCAGGAGCCTAGCGAGGACAGCGAAGAGGAGGCGCCGGCGGTGCCCGTGGTGGTGGCTGAGAGCCAGAGCGCGCGCAACCTGCGCAGCCTGCTCAAGATGCCCAGCCTGCTGTCCGAGACCTTCTGCGAGGACCTGGAACGCAAGAAGAAGGCCGTGTCCTTCTTCGACGACGTCACCGTCTACCTCTTTGACCAGGTGGGCCGCCGCCACCCGGGGTCTGCCCGGGGCTGGGGGTCGCGCTCCCGCAGGAAGGGGTGGGAGCGGCCGCGGCTCCTGGCGGCCGAGCTACCTGGTGCTCTCTGATTCCTCCAGGAAAGCCCCACCCGGGAGCTCGGGGAGCCCTTCCCGGGCGCCAAGGAATCGCCCCCTACGTTCCTTAGGGGGAGCCCCGGCTCTCCCAGCGCCCCCAACCGGCCGCAGCAGGCTGATGGCTCCCCAAATGGCTCCACAGCGGAAGAGGGTGAGCAGGGGCGGGGCTGGGCCCGTGACGTCACGGGAGGCAGGGCCTGGTCCGTGCTGTGTGGGAGGCGGGGCCTAATGTGTGACATCATGGGAGGAGCACCTGGTCCTTGACGCGTGGGAGGCGGGCTTTGGCCCGTGTCGTCATGGGAGGCGGGTCTGGTACGTGACGTCACGGAAGGCGGGGCCTTGTCCGTGCTGCATGGGAGGCGGGGCCTGGGCCCGTGACATCATGGGAGGCGGGGCCTGGGCCCGTGACATGATGGGAGGCGGGGCCTGGGCCCGTGACTGTGGGAGCGGGGCCGGGCCGGGGTCCCAGGCTGTGAGCGCGAGTGACGCCGCGACCTGGGCTGCAGGTGGTGGGTTCGCGTGGGACGACGACTTCCCGCTGATGACGGCCAAGGCAGCCTTCGCCATGGCCCTAGACCCGGCCGCACCCGCCCCGGCTGCGCCCACGCCCACGCCCGCTCCCTTCTCGCGCTTCACGGTGTCGCCCGCGCCCACGTCCCGCTTCTCCATCACGCACGTGTCTGACTCGGACGCCGAGTCCAAGAGAGGTGAGGCCTGGGCGGGGCTGTGGCAGAAGGGCACGCGGGAGGCAGGGCACGGAGCTCCGAGGGTGGGGCCCCTCCGTCTAGGTCCTGGGCCGGGCCAGCCCCGGCTCCGCTCCGCTCCGCTCCTTCCCGGCCCCGCTCCTTCCCGGCCCCAGACCTAGCCTGGACCCCGCCTGGCCCTCGCCTGGCCCTCACCTGACCCTCACCTGACCCTCACCTGACCCTCACCTGACCCTCACCTGGCCCTCACCTGGCCCCTGCACTCGGCTCTCCTCTGCCTGACCCTACCCCGCAGACCTGCGGCAGGCCCTCTCACCGGAACCTTCCCAGCCAGAAGTCCCTGCAGACCCAGGTCCCACGGTGCCCCGGCCCCACGGTGCCCAGGTGGAGCCCTGCTGGGGGCCTGAGCCACCGCTCCCGGCCATGGCCCTCCACTATCCGCCCCACCCCAGGCTGGGCTCATCTCTGCCAGGTGTCCCTACCCCTACAGCCTCTGCCCACGTGCCTGACAAGTGCCCACCTCCTCGGAGAAGGCCCCCTGCCAGCTTCCTCTTCCCTAGCTGTCCTGGCCTGTGGCTGCAGCCCTGGGGGAAGGGCCTGTCAGCCTCACCCCTGGTGCAGGGTGCCCCCTGTGTGGCTGAACAAGCAGGCAGGTCACCAGGAGGCCACTGCATGACCTTGGCCATCCCCTTCCTGTTCAGGCCTCAGTTTCCTTATGCGTAAAACAGGACTCGGAGGCATTTGCTGAGAGTTGTTGGCCTGAGTCCAGTGACAGGAGTGGGGGAAATGGGTCCATCTCTCACCTAGACACAGCCAGATCTGCTGCAGGGAAGGGGCCCGGCCTGTATGTGGGCCAGGGATGGAGGCCAGGTGGGAGTTGCGGGGGAGGCAGCCCTGGTGTCTCAGAACCCTGTGTTCACTTTGTTGTCCTGCTTGCCAGGACCTGAAGCTGGTGCCGGGGGTGAGAGTAAAGAGGCTTGAGACCTGGGCAGCTCCTGCCCCTCAAGGCTGGCGTCACCGGAGCCCCTGCCAGGCAGCAGCGAGGATGGTGACCGAGAAGGTGGGGACCACGTCCTGGTGGCTGTTGGCAGCAGATTCAGGTGCCTCTGCCCCACGCGGTGTCCTGGAGAAGCCCGTGGGATGAGAGGCCCTGGATGGTAGATCGGCCATGCTCCGCCCCAGAGGCAGAATTCGTCTGGGCTTTTAGGCTTGCTGCTAGCCCCTGGGGGCGCCTGGAGCCACAGTGGGTGTCTGTACACACATACACACTCAAAAGGGGCCAGTGCCCCTGGGCACGGCGGCCCCCACCCTCTGCCCTGCCTGCCTGGCCTCGGAGGACCCGCATGCCCCATCCGGCAGCTCCTCCGGTGTGCTCACAGGACACTTAAACCAGGACGAGGCATGGCCCCGAGACACTGGCAGGTTTGTGAGCCTCTTCCCACCCCCTGTGCCCCCACCCTTGCCTGGTTCCTGGTGGCTCAGGGCAAGGAGTGGCCCTGGGCGCCCGTGTCGGTCCTGTTTCCGCTGCCCTTATCTCAAAGTCCGTGGCTGTTTCCCCTTCACTGACTCAGCTAGACCCGTAAGCCCACCCTTCCCACAGGGAACAGGCTGCTCCCACCTGGGTCCCGCTGTGGCCACGGTGGGCAGCCCAAAAGATCAGGGGTGGAGGGGCTTCCAGGCTGTACTCCTGCCCCGTGGGCCCCGTTCTAGAGGTGCCCTTGGCAGGACCGTGCAGGCAGCTCCCCTCTGTGGGGCAGTATCTGGTCCTGTGCCCCAGCTGCCAAAGGAGAGTGGGGGCCATGCCCCGCAGTCAGTGTTGGGGGGCTCCTACCTACAGGGAGAGGGATGGTGGGGAAGGGGTGGAGCTGGGGGCAGGGCAGCACAGGGAATATTTTTGTAACTAACTAACTGCTGTGGTTGGAGCGAATGGAAGTTGGGTGATTTTAAGTTATTGTTGCCAAAGAGATGTAAAGTTTATTGTTGCTTCGCAGGGGGATTTGTTTTGTGTTTTGTTTGAGGCTTAGAACGCTGGTGCAATGTTTTCTTGTTCCTTGTTTTTTAAGAGAAATGAAGCTAAGACAAAAGAAACCTTTGTGTGTTGTCTTCTGAGGTCTGCCGATGATAAAGTCCTGGACAGGAGGGGCTGTGCCAGGAACCCGATGCCAGCCCTTCCTGGGGCCAGGAGGAAGCTGCCCCTCTCCTCTCCTCCCCACTGTCCTCGGCACACCCCGGTGGAGGGGATGGTGTTCTGGCCCTACTGTGTGTGGGGGCGCAGGGGTAGCGCCCTGCAGGTCTCCCTTCCTGCAGGCCGAGTTGGCCTGGTAGGGACGGGTGAAGAATGGACCTACAGGCCTCTCCAGGACAGCCTCCTCCCTGCCCTTCTGAGGGCAATGTCTGTCTGTCCCTGGGCCCAGGGTGGAAGGCGGAGGCAGGAGAGTTGAGCACAGCTGGGCTTCCCTGCACCCTCCGCTGGCCAGCTCTCAACTGCCCTCCTGGCCCGCCAACTCTACAGCTTCCTGTCCCCGGGGTGTGAGTGGCTGTAGGCGGGAGTGAGCTCTGCTGGAGACACCTCCCCAGCCAGGTAAGGGCTGTTGTCACCAGTGCAGCTCACCACACTGTATTTCACCTAACAAACAAACAAACAGTATGGAAGAGCACAAATCTGCTAATGAAGTTTTAAAACCCCCAATTCCAGCAGAGCTCCCCAGTGCCTGCAGGAGTCAGCGGAGGTGGGGGGGGGAGGTCCACCCAGGAGTCCTGGGGCAGACCCCGGAAGCGGGGAAGCCCCCACCTGCCAGCGGGCACTCTGCTGGTGACCCCGCATAGCACCTGACAGCTGGCCTTTGGCCGCAGGAGCGAGCTGGGAGGCCCTGGCAGCAAGGTTCTGGATGGGAGGTTGGGTAAGGAGGAGGGCTGGGGCCTGCCCGAGGCAGGAGGGGCCTGGGGAGGCCCTTGTGACATTGCCAGTGGGAGTGAGGGGCCCAGGAGAGCCCCACCGAGGGGCATGGGGAGGGACCAGGCCCCACACTCCAGGTGTAGCTGCCGGACCTGCAGGGAATTACGTGCTTACGGGAAGTTCATCTTCCAGCCAGGGTGCGGGCGCTCCCATCCCCGTGCTCCCGGCCTTCTGGCCCTTGGGCGGACAGATCACACCTGGTGCAGGAGAAGCCTGTTTATTAGGCAGGAGAAGCAGCAGGGCAGCCAGGCTCCCCTCCCAGCCACCAGCTGGCCAAATGTCCTCCCTTAACTCAGGGGTACCCAAGGCTCCATGGCCATGTGACCAGAGGCGTGTACCCTCAAGAGGCGGCCCCTCAGCCCTGGGCAGCCCAGCCACTGGGTCTCGCCCTTCAGGGGCCTGCGCCCCACTCTGCCCGGCCCTGCCTAGAACAGCTGGGATCCAGTCCAGGCCAGACTCAAGTGGGGCAAGACCAGGCAGCCGGGGCCTGGATGTTCTCTACACAGGAACGCACAGATGATGACAGAACAGGCTACATGGGAAGGGCGGGGGAAGCCACCAGATGGGCAGCACTGCAGATGTGGCCATCAGCTGAGGAGGGGGGCAGACCTGTCGTTGGTCACTGTCGGCTTCAGCTGGACGTGGGCAAAGGGATTCCTGAAAGAGAAAAACGTGGTTTTAATTTTTAGGGCGGAAGCCATGGGTGAATTGTGCCACCTGGGCTGCCCGATGCCCCAGGGATTCCCCAGTGCTGGATGCCTACGGTCCGATCTCAGGGCACAGAGCTCACAGACAATATACGCTGCTTTGCGGGGCAGGGAGGACCAGGCGCTGTCTGCAAGGCTGCCTGACCCCCAAGTCCACTATGTGCCCTAGACAAGGCAGGGTGCCCCCACCCCGATCCATCACCCTCCCAGCAGTGTGGGCTGGGCAGGGCAGGGCGGGGTGGGGCGGGGCAGGCCAGCCACAACCTCCCAGTGAGGGGCGGACATCACCACTGAGGCTGGGGATTCAAGACAGGCCTGAACCGGGCACACACCAGTTTGGTGGCTCCCCCACCAGGCCAGGCCCACACCCAGGGACACAGCGTGGCAGAGCGTCCAGCCCAGCCCTGGCATGGGGGCATCCAGAGAAGGCAGGTTAGGCTCACGGCTCCCGCAGGGCTGCAGATGGACACCCATGGGCCCTGCAGAGCAGCTGGCCATCCCCTGGGCCAGACAGTGGTTCACCTGCTGTGGGCTCAGCCACCTGTCCCCCGAGGGGTGCCGCGCCCTCCCCCATATCCCCGGGGCCACAGCTGATGCACAAATACGACTCAAGACAAGAAGTTGAAATGGAACAAGATGAGCACGGATGAGAGGGATGCCTGAGCCTTTCTCTTTGGAGTCCCCACCCCCGGAGGGGACAGCACAGGACAGGATGGGGGATGTCAGGCAGCTCCAAGGGTGACAGCACAGATGGCACGTGGACATGAAGACGCAGCAGGGACGGGACTGTGCTCTGGCAAAGCTGTGCTTGGACTCTGGAGCCATTACCTGGAGCAGAATCACCTCTGGCACAGCTGGGTCCACAAGAGCCCGGGCAGCCGGGAACAACCCTGGGGACGGGCAGGCAGACTCCGTCCAGCTACCCGGGAAGAGGCACAGGCAGCCGGAAGCAAACCCTGGGGTGGGCAGGCAGGGTTCCGTCCAGCTGCCCAGGAAGAGGCACAGGGCAGAGGCAGCTCCCTAAGCTTTCCTGAGGACTTTGTGTTTTCTAAGAACTTGAAACACTACAGACTGAGTTTTTAAGAGAATAAAGTACGTGGAAGAGACTGACAGGTCTGCGGAAGGCTCCCAGACTCCCAGATGGCGTCTAAGCATTGGCACCCTGCTGAAAGGATCTTTTGATCTACTCTCAACGTGCTGGAGCCTCAGGGTCTGCTGGATCCCCGGCTTTTTTCAGCTTTGATCGGTGCAGCTTTGCCCTTCCTGGGGCCTGGGTAGGGGCTGCCTAGGGGCCCGCTGGTGAGGATTCCACCTCCATCACTGATGTCTGCCCATGCCCTGTCTGCCTGCCAGGCTAGACCCACTCCTAAGGAAGTGCTCTGTGGCCCGAGTTCCTCCGCAGGCCCAGGGTCCGGAGGGAGCTCTGGGGAGATTAGAAATGGGGCTGGCTGGGCATAGTGGCTCCTGCCTAGAATCCCAGCACTCTGAGAGGCCAAAGCAGGAGGAACCACTTGAGCCCTGGAGTTCAAGACCAGCCTGGGCAGCAAAGCGTACCCGTCTCTACAAAAAAAAAAAAAAAAAAATTAGGCAGGTGCGGGAGAGTGGTGCATGCCTGTGGTCCCAGCTCCATGGGGGGCTGAAGTGGGAGGATCGCTTGAACCCAGGAGGGCGAGGCAGTAGTGAGCTGTGTTCCCACCACTGCACTCCAGCCTGGGTGACAGAGTAAGACCCTGTCTCAAAAAAAAAAAAAAAAAAAAAAAAGTGGGTTCCCAGAGAAGGGTCCTAGATCTGGCCCAGACCACAGCCGAGGGCAGTGCAGCCGCGTGGTTCTCACTCCTGCCCCGAATCACAGCCGATTCTCATCAGAAAGTCAGTGGCAAAGGCACATCGCTTGCCTGGACCCCACGGGGAGCTGCAGGGGTAGGAAGCCCTCCACTGGTGCAGGCCTGTTCTCTAACCTGCATTTTTCTCTTCTTGTCTCCCAGAACAGTGGGACCAGGTGGAGCGTGCTGAACCATCCACACTGGGTGGCTCTGAGGACCCTGGGGCTGGGGCTGCAAATGCTGTGTCCAATCTCAGCCTGACGGGGGCAGGGGGGTCGGCGGGGATGGGGAGAGCGCAGGCCAGAGCCCAAGGCTGGCTGGGACAGCAGGCCCACAAGGAGGGGCTGGGCGTCCCTATTTCCCCACCCTGGCCCCCACCCCCCAGCTGTCTGGGAAAGACGCGCCCAGGAGGCCGGCGGGGAGCTCGCTGTGCTGAGTGGGGGCCTAACTGAGCCAATAGAATATGACAAAGTCTGCAGCCCAAGGCCACTGCAAGGTCACCACACGTTAGCCACAGACATTGGTCCCTGCCGGAGGACACGTGCCAGGCCCCACCTCCTGCAGGACATGGCCCTGGGCAGCGATTGCCACGAACTACCCAATGACACCACCAGCACCTCTCCAGCCAGCAAAGGAAAGTCACCAGACGTGTCCAAGAGCGGAGGACCCTGAGGAGGGCCTGCGTCATGTGTGGGGGAGCTGTTGGGCGGGCAGGGCGCTGGCCTCAGAATGCAGAGGCCTGGGCTCTGTCTCCTCACAGAGAGCCTCCCCTCAGAGGCCCCTAAGCAAGGCCGCAGGGGAGACCGGTGGCTTTTCTAATTTTTAAATTGTATTATTATTTTGAGACAGGGTCTTGCTCTGTCTTCCGGGCTGGAATGCAGTGGTGCAATTGTAGCTCACTGCAACCTCCACCTCTGGGCTCAAGCAATCCTCCCACCTCAGCCTCCTGAGAAGCTGGGACTACAGACGCGTGCCACCATGCCTGGCTAATTTTTAACTTTTTTTTTTGTCAAGATGGGGGTCTCCCTAGGTTGCCCAGGCTGATCTCGAACCCCTGGGCTCAAGAGATCCTCTCGCCTCAGCCTCCCTAAGTGCTGGGATTACAGGTGTGGGCCACGGCGCTCGGCCAAGCGGCAGCTTCACCAATGACTTGAATGTGAAGCAGAAGGATTCCGAGAAGAAACGGAGCCGTCACAAATGCATTTCGACCAGTTGGGTGACTCCAGACCCAGAGCCGGGCGGACAGCACCTGTTTTCTGTCTTCTCGCGTCAGCTGTTTCTTCGTGTCTTCAGAAGGTGGGCCCTTCTGGAATCGGGTCCAGCGTGGGCGCTTGGGCCTCCGCTGACGAGTATGGACAGCGGCCAGGGACGCTCGCCCCTCCACTCTCATTCCAAGGCCCCCTTCCCAGGGCCCAAAGCTGGGGCATGACAGGGTGGCAATGGGATTGGGGAGTCTCTTGGCCAACTGCAAGTGGCTTTCGACACCCCCAATCCCAGCTGAGTTGTCAGACCAGGCAGACTGCGTGGCCGGGAAACTGGCCCCTGGCACTGTGGAGTGGTGCTGGGGCTGAGCACCACTGCCCCACCGGCACTGCTACCCAGGGTCTCTGCCCTCCAAGGGACGTGGTCCCTGACAGAGGCTGTGCCAGCCTCATCTTTGAGCCTTCACCCCTTCCAAGCCTCACCAGGTAAGGGCAGTTCAGCCCCCTCAGCTCAGAGGGACCTGGGGGAGTGGGGGGGTCTGGAGGCCTCCCAGAAACAGCGTCTCGGAAGGGAGGAAGATGGAGGCGGAAGGCAAGGTGGTGGCCAGGGCCAACCCAGAGCATCTCCATCCAGTCCCCAAAGTTCAGGAGCATTTTTCTACCTAATCTTCCAGAATTTGTTGCCGAAAATCAACAACAGAAAGGCAGTGAAAGAAGACAGATCCATGATCTGCCTGTGGCCTGGCTGCCCGTGGGCCAGGATGCCTGCTGTGACCACCAGGGAGACACAGGGACCAACGTCCTTTGTGAAGGATGCAGGCACTGGCTTTGCAGAGCCGCCCTCCTAGCAACTTGGGGATGGAAGGGTGGTGGGAAGCAGGACCCGCCCAGACACAGGTGTAGGCGATTGGAAGGTGTGGGCAAGGGCCCCCTATGAGGGCAGAGGGCCTGCTCCTGGACACCCTGGCACATCCCAAATATACACCAGGCACCAGGGGAGTGGCCCACTCAACCCGTGAGGAAATGGACTCAGACCCGGACTCCAGAGTCCCACTGGAATTGGACCCATAATGGCCCTGTGGTCCCCGGAGTGAGCGTCAGCTCAAACCTGGACCCAGCAGCCCTCCAGGTCTGCAGATCCACACTAGGGATGGAGCCAGTGTCTTGGGTCCACGTTGTGGGGCTTGGGGGACAGAAGAGGCAAGGTCAGACTAACAGCACAGCCCGGTCCCCAGTGGGCCCAACACCTGGCTCCAGTGCCTATGGAGCTCCCCAGGGTTCTCCCCAGGACCCTGACCTCCAGTCCCCACAAGGCTGTCAGCCCCAAAGGCACACACACCCGAAGGAGCCCAAGCTGGCGCTGCGAGTCAGGCGGGAAAGGCCCGGGCTGCAGCTGCTTGCCGGGGTCACCCTTTGACTATAATTGAAGCGCCCAGCAGGGCAGGAGAGGACCACACAGAAGGTCAGGGCCAGAGCCACACCCAGCAGTGAGAGGAGCCCCGGGCACAGCCAGCCAGAGCCCACAAGCTTCCGGGAGGGGAGAAAGATACCATGAACCCAAGGAGGGGACCCAGTAGAGAAGGCCCAGCACCCAGAGTGAGAGGCAGGCTCAGTGGACCCCTGGCCCCGCCATGCAGCCGGGCCCTCCCCACCCAGGCTGCGTGACTGAGGCCAGAGGGCCCGTGGAGAACCACTGGAGAGGCCAGTGACTGCACGAGAACGCCAGGCAACTTACTAACTCTAGTCAGGCGGCTCAGAATCTGGCCACTTCCACATCGGCGCTGCAAGGAAACACAAGGCTCAGTTGGAGGCAGCATGGGGTCTGAGGACTCGGGGGTGCAGAGGAGGGGGGACCACGGGCGAGCTGCCAGGAGACCTAGAACCCTGGAGCACTCGGAGTCGGCACACAGCTGGGGCTCTGGCTCTCCCTGGACGGCGCCTGCGGAGCCTGCCTCACTTGCGGGCCTGGAGGGAGCCAGGAGCCTGCCTCAGCTGCAGACGGCCCCCCGCAGAGCCCGGGCAGAGTGAGCGACTGTCACTGGGGCCAGCACCGTGTGCAAGCCCAGGTTATCTAGCAGGCGACTGAGTGCCGAGAAAATACCTGGCAGAGGTGGGCACAAGGCGGGGCCCCCACGGCAAAGACGCACGCCGGGAACCGGAAGGAGGTCCATACCCAACTCGTGCAATAAATAAAACTTTTATTCAAACAAGTAACTGCAGTACAGGGCACAATTCAGATTTTTTAAAAAAAAGGAAAGGAAACAGGAAAAAAATATGTTCAGCACTTTACATCTTCATACAAGTGTTGCTGTTTTGTGTCTACATTCATCCATTGAGCATGGAATCCCCTGGATTTGAAATCTTTAGCGGAGCGGGAACGCCGGCGCGGAAGGGTCTCTACACAGGGCCCGGTCCGCCCTTGAGCTCTCCTTAATGTCACGCGGTCCGCGTCTTGAGCTGCTTCCCACACAAACACTACCAGCCACGTCCCAGGCCACGGGGAGGTGTGTGGGAGGCTTTTACTAAACCACATCAGATAAAGGAGCGCCGCAGCTTCCCAGGGGCTCCCACCAGCGGGCAGGCTGAGCCGGGCTGTGCCCTGCACTCAATTCCCCAGAGTTCAGTGTGGGAAGAGACAATACCAGTAGCCACTGAGTCCACTGTGTTTGTTTCTAAAGTCACCAAGACACACAAAAAGACGAGAGCGTTTAGGAAGAACCGGGCAGGAACCGCCTGTTTCCCCCAGGTGGGGGGCGTGGGTGCGGCGTGCCCAGAGCTGCCCTCCCCCAGCCGGGCCCGGCCCGCACACCCTGCCCAGAGCAGCCAGGTAGCCCGGGGCAGCATCGATGCCCTCACAAGGCTGGTCAAAGGAATGTGGGGGTGGGGTGGTCTCTGGAGGTCTTTGGAATGTCCGTGTGCGGCCAGCTGGGCAGCGCCTGCCCCCGACCTTGCTCCCGCCAGTGCCCGACGGGAGGTGAGGCCACTGTGCCGCGCTGCTCTATGTACACCTGGCCCGCAGTGTCCAGAGGGAGAAGCCCTCAGGTGCCCGGGCCCGGCCTCCCTCACAGGAGCGGCCGGCTTCCTCAGGAGGCCCCTCGAGCTTGGCACGAGCCCCCTTTCTCTGTGCACCCCTCCACAGGGGCCGGGGCGGCCAGGGACCCCAGCACCTTCCCTGTCCGGACAGAGGCCATCGCACCGGGGAAGTCGGATGCGAGATAACAGCGCACACCGGAGTCCATGCAGATCGGTTTTTGTTTTTCAGGAAAAAAAAAGTCCTTTTTCCTGTTTTTCTTTTTTTCTTTTTTTTTTTTTTTTTTTTTTTAAGATTTTTCTTTTTCTTCAAACTTTAGACCTGGCTCACGGCGAGCCTTAGAAAAGCAGTGAGTGCCACAGACACTGCAGGGTGAGGCCGAGGGTGCCCCGCACGGCCCAGCAGGTCCTGCCTGGCAGTTTCTGCTCAAAAGGCTGGGACACACAGGATGGGGCGCGTAAACACAGGGGAGGGGGGGCGGATGGAGCAGCACCATGGACCCTGGGGGATCACAGAGTCTGGGGTCACCAACCAAAAGGCATGGGGCAGGTGGAAAAGAAAAACAACCCAAGAACAAACCAGCGAGAGCTGAGGAGGAAAACGGACGAGACCAGGGGGAAGGCGCGGAAGCTCTTCAGAGCAGCGGCTGCCCGGGGTCAGCGTCCTCACACTGTGGACACCAGCGTGCCGCTGCCACTGTGAAACAAAGCACAGGACGGCTGCCTGGCTGCACGACGCTGCCCAGCCACAGGCGGCGAGTCCGCCAGCACCGAGCAATGCCCCTTTCAGCAGCTCCCGTTGGCCTCCTGACCCTCCAGGAAGACCCAGGACAAGGGCGGAGCACAGATTGGGGCAGAGGAGGCTGCAGCCCCAGCCATGGATGCCAGCCTCAGCTACCCTCCCCAACCTTGCCTGACAGGGATGGATGGGGCCGGCCAGATGCGATGAAAGAGGGGCAGGGCCCAGGGGGGTTCCCGTGTCACTCGGAGAAAGCAGGACGCCCTAAGGGACATCCCCGGCTCTGACAGGGGTGAAGGGCCAGGCTGGGCCCTAAAGGAAAAGAGGTGGCCCCAGGTCCTAGCAGAGGGACCTGCCCCACCCGGCCTCTTCACACCCACCCACGGTCCCAAAGACAGGTCTGAAAGTCCCCTTACCTGCTCATGGACCGCGCTCCATAGTCATCCAGGCCCTGGGGGCAGAGGCAGAAACATGTCAGGCCGGGTGACGGGGCCTGTGGTCACCCCCACCCGCTGCCTGTACACACCCACAAATGGTGATCCTGCCTGGACAAGGTTCAAACCGTGTTCCTTTGGAAGGCTCCCCATCTCCTGGCTGCAGCACTCAGAGACCTGCCTGGAGCCCTGGTCCCAGTGGTAAAGTAATGACTGCCCAAATTAAAGGGGATACCTCCTCCAGCCAGCGGCCACCTCAATTTGTGTGCTTGTTGCACACTCCCAAACAGATGCAAGACTGGCCGCCTGAGACCCCTCCTCCTGCCCCCAGGGAGCCGAGGCCCCCGCAGGGCACCTGCAGCACCTCACCCATGCCTGGGCGGGCCCCTGGGACTCCTCCGCCTGCTTGTAGGACCCAGGACCAGACCCAGACCCCAGCTGCAGTTTCCTGGAAACTTGTCACATGTACCATCCCGGCCCCTGGGAGGGTGACACTGCCTGGGAGGAGCGCCCAGGTGTGGCGCTGGGGCTGGCTGTGCCCTTCATCTGCCAGCATGGCCTGGCCCGCGGCCTAGGGCAGATGCAGACCCCTCCTTGGCTCTCCCAGCACTGAGCCCACCCCAGAGGCTGACCTGTGGAACACCCACGGCCCAGAGCCCAAACCTCTCCAGGTTGCCTCCTGCGGCCTCAGCTCAGGCTGTCAATCTAGGGACTCCTCACTTGTGGGTCAATAGCTGAGTAGTCACCCAGGCTACCTGTTATCTCGGAAAAAGGTGGGTTCTCTTCTTCTCTCTACTCACTGCCTGAGGCCCAGCCCTGGAGACCGGCCCCGGGAACAAAGCTGCTAGCCCAGCCAATATCCCACAAACTGGACCTCTGGCTGAGGAGCCCCAGACAGACAGGGGTCTCCAACTCTCCAACCCCAGGAGCCTCCCTGGACGGAGCGGGCTGGAACCCGGCAAGTTGAGATGCACGCTCACACCCTGCCCCAGCCTAGATACCAGGACCGCCATGATCCCGGGTTTCCGAGAACCCACACCAGGGCCTAGGACCCAGGCCCTGATCCTCCACCTCTGGCCTCCCGGCACCAGATGGCCCAAATCCAGGGTCACACTGACTGGAAGGGGTCCAGCCACATGCCAGGGCTGAGCAGCAAGCACTCCCATCTCATGGATGTGACTGAGGGAGCCCCGTGGTTCTCACGGAAGAGATCCTGCCCCCCTGGCTCTCCCAAAAGGCGGCGGCGTCCAGGCCCACCTCTAGGCCAGCCACTTCCCAGCCCAGACGCTGCCCCCTTGGACAGAGCAGTGAGTTGCCCGTGGCTGGCTGAGGGCACCATGAGGGACAGGCTGACCCCAGCCCCAGCATGCCGACACAGGGAGCCTGCTGCGGCGAGGCGGGCAGCCTGAGGCCGAAGCAGGGGTGTGTACACATTCCCAAATCATGCAGCCTTCACCCCAGGGCTGTCCAAAGACCCAGACCCCCAGGCGCCCCGCCCCTCAGCGGAGGCTCCAACGGGGGACTGCAGGCTGAGCCCACTGTTCCACCTGCGGGCCCCTCCCAGCCCCGGCCCCGCCCACTGACCTGGGAGAAGGCGGGCACGGCCACACTGTAGGGCCTCTGCTTGAAGCCGCTGGCCGTCTGGGCGGGGAAGGCCCGGGAGGCGGCGCCGTAATCGGGGGGTGGGATGGCCAGGTCGTCCTTGTCCAGGAGGTTGCCCGTGCTGCTGCTCTTCCCTTGCTGCAGGCTGTAGGGACAGGGACTCAGAGGCGGCCCAGCAGGCCGGATGCCCCCAACACCCCACAACCCTGTGGCTCCCTGGACTGCCCGCCCTCACCTAGCCCACGCCACATGCGGGGAGGCTGCTCTCAGGCCAAGGCGGCAGCCCTGGGGACCATGGGCCGGGCCAGTCTGGCCTCCCTTCCTCCTCCTGGCCATGAAGCTAAGCCGGGAGGACTCCAGAGGGGCTGGGCTGCCACAGCAACCCCTGACCCTCCCAGTAGCCATGTACCCCGCTTTCAGCTGCGATTCTCTGAAGGCTGGGAGAACCTGGAGGACCTGGGACAGCCAGGTCCTTGCACACCTGGCCCCCAGGAGCTGCCCCCATAGCACCTGCTGCCTGCTCTGGTGTCCCCAGGGCTCTCGGGCCCCACTGCACAGGGCACCACCATGCCTCCACCCTGAAGGCCTCAAGCGTCCAGCTCTCAGGGCCACTGGGGATGGCCCTGCGGTAGCAGACAAGGAGCCGGAAGCCCAGCCGAGCAATCCAAGCCCAGGGACCTGGTGTCATCACAGCCCCTCTCCCGAGCTGGGGATCTTACACTCCCGTTGGGCCCAGAGCTCACCTCATGTGCAGCCTGTCACTGCCATCGCTGTCCAAGACCCGGGTGTAGGAGAAGGGAAACCAGCCCCGCCTGGAAGAGAGGCCCCAGGTAAGAGCCACGCTCAGCCCAGAGGCTCCCCATCCCCCACCGACCACCATCCATGCACAAGTCCCTCTAGCTCCCCAGCATGGCTGCGCGGCTGTCTCTGGAGCAACAGAGACAGTGCTCCAGGGAGACAAAGACCGCAGCCCGCTCCCACTGTGTGCTCAGCCTCAAGGGCAAGGTGGCCCGGGCTGTCCTCAACCTGGTGGGAGCTGCCGGCCCCACCAGACCCAACTGCAAGGCCCCAGAGCCCGGGCAGAGCAGTTGCTCCTGCCTCGCAGCCCCAGTGTCACGCTAAGCCACGGATGGCACCAAGATTGGAGTGGCCACTGGAAGAAAGATGGAGCAGCCTCCTGGGAGACCCCCTGCCCTCGGCCCCCTCCTCAGAGTGATGGCTGCAAGGCCAAGCTTAGGAAGGCACAAATGTCAGGGCCTTTTCCCATCTTGCCAAGAGACACACCCGCACAAACACAGCCCTGGGAATGCAGCCCCCAGGTCCAGCGAGGGTGGCACCCTGGCCCAGCCTCTCTGCAACAGCATTCAGTAAACTGAGGAGGTGTGGCCCATCTGACTCCATAGGTGACTTCTAGAACTCCAAACTGGAGAGCCCGTCTGGCATGTGGAAGAGCTGAAAGCCACAGAAAGCCTGCGGTCTCAGGATGGCCAAGCCCTGCTCTGCACCTGCGAACTGTGGGAAACTGATGCCCACCACAGGGCTTCGGCTGGACGTGCTGAGTGTGTACACGTGTGGGATGCCACACCCTGCGGCAATCTGAGTGGCACAGGGAGGCGATGGAGCAAGGTGGTCACTAGACTCTGTGGTGAAAGACCCCAGCCATGGGGGAAGACAACAGCCATGTGGGGGAGACCCGAGCCATTGGGGGGAGACCCCTGCCATTGGGGGGAGACCCCTGCCGTGGGGAAAGACCCCTGCCATGGGGCAGACCCCTGCCACTGGGGGGAGACCCCTGCCGCTGGGGGGAGACCCGAGCCATTGGGGGGAGACCCCTGCCATGGGGAAAGACCCCTGCCATTGGGGGAGATACCTGCCATTGGGGGAGATCCCTGCCGTTGGGGGGAGATCCCTGCTGTTGGGGGGAGATCCCTCCTGTAGGGGAAGACCCCTGCAGGGAGGTGGTTGGGGCGAAGACCCCTGCCAGGGGAGAAGACGCCTGTTGGTGGCGAAGACCCCAGGTCACGCTTGCTCTCACTGCCCAGGTCTTCTACGGCGAGGACCCGCAACCTGCACAGCCACTCTAAACACAAGGTCTCAGTGCACTTGAGTGTCGCTGCCCCACACACTTGCTGAAGGCAGCGGCTGCCTGGAGCCCGCCCCCGAGAAACACTCACATCTTGGTCTTCTCACTCTCTCCGTAGTGCCAGCCATCGCGGGCCTCAGGCACCAGCAGGGTAATGAGGTCACCCTCCTTGAAGCTCAGGAGGGTGCTGTTGTCCCCAGCAGCGTGGGAGAAGATGGCCTTCACCCGCATACGGCCATTGCGCTCCAGGCCGGCTGCCATGGAGCTCGAGCGAGGCAGAGTCTTGTTCTCGGCTGCTGGGACAAGGGACAGGTAAGGGGACTGCCCCTGGCTGGCGGGGCAGCAAAGCCCAGGGAGTCTGGTTGAGGTGCTGAGAGCACAGCCGCCTGTGCCCCAGGTGGGTAAGTGGGCTGGCTAAGCTCTCCGCAGCAGCAGCTACCTGCTCCCAAGTGGCTGCTGCCTGCATGAGCCTAACCCTGTACCCCACTCATGCCCCCACTGAGCACCAGAGGCTTGACAAGAGGGAGCTGGATGCTGGGCAGGCACACGTGTGTGTACCACATGCATGTAGGTACACACGGTCACATAATTGTGAGCCTCAGGGTCTCCCAGGCCCCTATTGAGGGTTGTGGCATGACTGTAGGGTCTGAGGAGGCACGTCCAGGGACCCCAGCCCAACACCCCAGCGGAGCCCTTACTGGTGGCATAGCTGTTTTTTGGGGTCACGCTCTTGCGCACGGGGAGTGTGTTGGAGTAGGAGTCGCTGAGCTTGCTCTGAGACTGCGGAGGAGACAGGGATTTGGGCTGGGCAGCCTTGCGGTCAGCCCACGGGCTGTAGTCCTCGCCATCCGGGCCTGTGACGCCGTTCATGATGGGTGTGCTCTCCTGGGCAGACATCCGCTGCAGGGAAGCAGGCAGAGCAGGCTGTTGCTGGAGCCCACCCCGGGCAAGACCAGGGGGAAAGAGAACCCTCCGCCCCCTCAGCAGGGGCCCCTGGACTCTGCACCCTGGCGGCCCCCCGCCCTGACAACAAGCTGCCCTCCCACCCACACCCGTGAAGCTTTCCAGAGGCCACAGACTCACCCCCACGAACGGTGCCAGCTCGGGGGGCACCGGCAGGGGCTTGGCCCCCGGAATGGGGTCGGAAATGACCAGGTTGGACTTGGAGGCCGACAGGGCGCTGGGGAGGGTGGCGCCGTTGCTGGCCACCTGCTGCATGAGCTGCACCGCGCGCTCCGGGATCTTGCTGGGGTCGGCACAGGCCTGTTGCCACAGCGGCAGCTTCTGCGCCAGCAGCTCCTTGCCCTGAAGTGGAAGCAGCAGGAAGGGAGGGGTCAGGGCCGGCTCAGTCTCCTGCAGCCAGGCACAGCGCTGAGGGCCCTCCCTGAGCACTCTCTGGGGCTGGAGGCTGCTCTTCACCAGGTGGTACCTCTCGGCGAGACAGGCCACCCGTGAGCCTCTGACCCCAACCCACAGAAGCGGCTGCCGGTAAAGGGCCGGGGATGGACCACAAGCCATGCAGTCGGGGGACCTCCAGGGATGAGAGCAAACCCAGGCTCAACGCCCGCGGGGCCCATCAGGGCCTGGAGGAAGGAGGAACGGACAGGGACGCACAAGGTCAAACTCCGGTGGGCAAACCCCAAAGTGCCAGGAAGGCGCCCCAGATGGCCGGGGGAGGGGGTGGTGCTGCCCAGTGGGGGTCAGGCCTGGCTGCCGAGGGCAGGAAGGCAGCCCCGTCAGACACACTGAGGCTCACTGCTCCAACCACTGCCCTTGGGCCCAAGAGCCCGCGCTCCCTCGGGCGTACTCTGCGGCCTGCTGGACACAGACCAGCTGAGCACAGTGGGGACAAAGGAGGAGGAAGCCACAGGCATGGAGAAAGGTTCTGGGACTGGGAGCCGGCCGGGCCTGGGTCCTGGGAGCTAATCAAGTAACCCCTGCCCCTCCTGGCCATTTGGCCTAAGCAGGCTGCAGGGCCTGGATTCCCGGGACCCCCAGACCCTTAAGCTGTGGGCCAGAACTGCTATGTCTCTGGCACCTCTGGGGGCCTCTCCGGCTTTCACTGCTCCCCCCAACTCATCCCCGTTCCCTTCTACATGTGGCTGGGCACCCACGCTGGGGACCCACGGAGGATGTTGGACGACAGCCATTCTGAGCAAGTCCTCCCCATGCCACCCCTACCCCTCTGCTGCTGGCTCAGACCAGGGGTCAGCAAACCACAGCCCGAGGGCTGGCTTCCTGTTTTGTAAATAAAGTTTTATTGCAACACAGCTGTGCATCGATTTGTGAATCATTCATTCATGGCTGCCCTCACATTGCAGTAACAGAGCTGGAGACGGCACGGCCCACAGAGCCAAAAGCACAAACTTTGTGGCCCTTCAGAACGTCTGCCGAGCCCTGGCTGAGATCAGTGGTAGAGGAGTGAGTCTTGGGTGGCGCGGAGAGGCCAGCAGGGACCAGCACTAGGGCAGACGGCCGAGGGACACCGACCTCGCAGCGGCACGGCCCTGACACAGCGGCCACGAGCCAGCGTCACCCCCGCACCCTGAGAGCCCCGAGGCAGGCCCAAACCCAAGCACCAGGGAGCTACTACGAACTGCCCTGGGAGGCTGCCCTCACACCCTGGCCCCCAGCCCAGAGGCTCGTCTCTAAGTGGGTCTGTGGGACACAGGCCTCTTCCACACACGCCCGGGGGCCCACGAGCCCAGGAGGTCAGCTGCTGCCACCGCAGGCACATCCCGCAACCCCTCCTGGGAGACCTGCGGCAAGCAGCCTGGCTTCCCCGCCCTCCATCCCTGCAGGCAGCACCCCAGCCACTGACAGCCCCGCTCTCACTCCCTGGCCCCGTCATGGGGCCTGGCCCCCGCCAGAGGGCGCAGACGCCCGCCACTGTCCTGGGTCTAGCAGGCGGGAGGCCTGCGCTCCACAGCGCTCCCTGCCTGGCAGCTGTGGCAGCACAGCCTGTCACCGCTGAGTCCTTCAGCAGCGAGGCTGCCTCCAGGGGTCAAAGGTGCTGCTGCTGTCCTTGCCTGCACCTGCCCACAGTGCCCAGCAGGCCCAGGCCGGCAGGAGGGGCCTCTCCAGGGAGGGAAGAGCACTTGTCTCCTGGCTGTCCCCAGGCTGTGGGGACTGGAGCACTGGTTCTGTATCACGTGCGTGTGTGTGTGTGTGCACGCACGCGCACGTACATGAGAGTGTGGTGGGTGGGGGGAACAAGTGTCAAGGTATAGCCCGTGGATCCCTGCAACCCTTTATTTTAGAAAGACATGACCAGGGCCTCCCTGGTGGGCTTGGCTCCGGAACTACATCTTCGAAACTCTTGAAATGTTCCAGAATGTTCCAGGGGACACATGTGATCCCATCCCAACTCCTACCCATGGACTATGGGTGAACAGGGGCCTGCTGGCCCTGCCTGTTCCCGGTGGGGAGTCTGGCCTCTGGGCCTTGCCTGCTCTGGGGGCTAAGTCAGCCTCCTAGGAGGGGATCCCCTTGCTCACATCGGGGCTCAGGATATCCATGGAGGGGGCTGCTGCAGCCCGTCCCTGAGGAACTCGCTCCTGGTTCAGCAGGGCCAGGCTTGGTCCTGGGACATGGCGGATCCCAGGGCGGGATTCCCCCACAAGGAACGACAAGGCTGGGGATGCCGGAAACACAGGGCTGCAGGACTGTGCTGGGGGACGCCTAGCGGGAGACACAGGGCCGCAGGACTGTGCCGGGGGACACCTAGCGGGAGACACAGGGCCGCAGGACTGTGCCGGGGGACGCCTAGCGGGAAACACAGGGCCAAGAGTCTACCGGCCCAAGGAGGGGCCCTCAACAGATGACGGGCAGAGGGGTCTCTCAGAGGTCACGAGGGCAGCAGCATGTGGCCACCACCCAAGGCCCCACCTGGGACCACAGTGGCTCAGGGGTGCAGGCAGAGGTGGTAGAGGCACAGGTCACCAAGAGCCTGGGAGCCAGGGGAGGACCCTGTGACCAGGTTTGAGTCCCAGGGAGGCCACTCTGGAGCAGTGAGGGAGGGACTGGGGAGGCCACCTGAGAGCCAGGCAGGGCCCCTGGCTACCCAGGAAGCAAAGAGATAGGGCAGGTTTGGGTTGGGTGAGGGGTGGCAGGTCCACGTACGACAGCCGAGCTATGGCAGCTGCTGGACCTGGGGCCAGTGTCATGGTTGTCTTGGGTGGCCTAGGGGCCCAGTGGCACAGTGGTCTTGGGTGGCTGGGGACCCAGGCTTGGGGCTGGGGGTCCTCAGTGCCTCGGGTGAGCAGAGCCATGAGCCCAGAGGCTGTACCCCAGGACTGTGGATAGAGGGGCCACAGGAAGAGCAAGTGAGGACACAGAGGCCACCCACCAGGTGTCCCACCGGGACTCCGGCACCCAGCACGGAGCATGACCGTCCCCTGCCTGGCGTCAGCCTGCACCTGCCCAGGACATGGCTGTGGCAGAAGAGCCAAGAACATTCTAGAAGAATGTTCTAGAAGGCCTTGAAAGCCCATCAGACTCTCCCTGGTTGCAGGTGGCAATTTCTAATGTGAGTCTTCAAAATGCCTGCACCCTGTGACCTGGTAATTCTCCCAGAACTTCACCCCCAAGAAAACCCGAAATAAACGAGAGTTCGAGCCTGGACACTGCCCCGGTGTGTTCACGGGGCTGGGGCTGGGGCAGGGGCCTGGGTCATTTCTGCCAGCAAGGCCCAGCGCCGGCACAGCGCAGCCCCCAGCCGCCTCACCTTGGAGTGGTAGGCCGCGGAGTTCTTGGCCACGGCGCACTGCTTCTCCACCAGGAAGCAGAAGCGCCTGCGCTCCTCTGTCAGTGCGGTCTTGTAGCCGTCGGACACGTAATTCTCCAGCTCGCCCTGCTTGTTGCTGATGGCGTCGATGTACTGTGGAGGGAAAGGGAGAAAGGCTCAGCCAGCGATGGAAGGACGCCTGTCAGGACCGGTTTGGGGCAGCCCCACGGACTCAGTCAAAGGACACGTCTCATTCATGCAGAGCAGCTGGAAACAAAACAGCATCTGCGGCCACTCAGGAGACAACCACGCCCCCAGGAGGCTTCAGCTACCCCGGGACCACTCAGGAGATGCCCGATGGCCACATCCCCAGAAGGCTTCCCTGCCCCGGGACCACTCTGGGTGAGTGGAGGGTCCTGCCTCCAGCAGGAGGCTCTGGCAGGGGGCCAGCCTCATCTCAGGGCTCCTGCTGTGGGGTGGGGTCGCGTGCACCTCCCTGTGGCCAAGGCACAGAAGCCTGGGTGTGGATGCGCCCCAGCTCCATGGGCCCCAGGACAGCTTCTTGGTCCTTCCCCCTGTTGCCTGGAGCACTCTCACCTGTGCCTCTGCCTCCAGGGCCCCTCCATCTCAGCCATCTCAGCCATCTCAGCCCCAGCACGAAAGGCAGGAGAGCTGGAGCCCAGGACAGTGGCCAAGGACCCCAGGGAAGCCCTCTGCTGCAGAGGGGACTCCGGGCGCACCTCATCTCCTCTCCCACCCGGCTCCGGCTCTGAATGACGGGGAGCGGGACGCTAAGACACCTGGCTGCCTGGTTTCCGGATAAGCGTGCACCAAGGGAGAACGTGAGAAGGAAGTTCGTGGGGAGGATCAGACAAGAGGTCACCGAGCGGAGACTGGGAGCCCAGAAAGCAAGACCAGCGTCCACGGGGACAGCAAGATCAGATCCACAGGTCACGCCTTTCGGAACAGGGTGTGCCCAGGTGAGGGGCCAGCACGGAACCAGGAATGAGAAGTAGGCCTGATTGCTGCCCTTCCACCTTGGAGCTGCCTGAGTGCCCACCCGGGTGTCCCCGTGGGATGGGGGGATGGGGGGATGGGGGGATGGGGGGATGGGGGGACGGGGAGAATGTGTCCCAGACAAACGCGGAAGCTTTGGAAAACCCTCAGCCCTGGCAGGTGCTCTTGGGCACAGGAAAGACAGGTAGTCAAGCCAGACCCTAGAACCAGGGCAGCCAGCAGGCGGTCCCCACCCTGACCCGGCGGTCAGCCGCTCGGCAGCCCTTGCGTCTGTGGCCCTGGCTCTGACCATGGCGGCTGTCACGTCTTGGCCACTCTGTGCTTCTTGGTGGACACACAGTCGGCCCAGAAAGGGTTCCAGCAAAGACGACAGAAGCTGCTCCAGCCAAAATGATTTCCCCAAAAGGAAAACTGAGTCTCAACCTGACAGAGCTTCCAGATCCAGCTACCGATTCTGAACACACCAGGACGGAGGGTACTAAGAGCTTTAGTTTGGGAAGATGGAAAGTTCTGGAGATGGATGGTGGTGGTGATCGCACAACCCCATGAATGCGCTAATGCCGCTGAACTGTGCACTTAAAGATGGTTACCGTGGTCAACTGTATTAGTTACGTGTATTTTATCACAATTTAAAAAAAAAAAACTTTAAAAGAAGTAGTGCAAGCAAAGCCAGACCAAGAAACTGTAGCTGAGCCCAGGCCTCTCCAACGTGAGCCTCGGGAGGAAACTGGAGAGGGGGAGTTTGGGGGAGAGAGTGGCGAAGAAGCTGAGGGCGGCCGCTGCCTCCCAGGCCCCGGACTGTGCTCCCATCCTGGGCAGAGGCGCCTCCCAGCCTGCCCATGGGTGCAGGGCTTGTTGTATGACTCACCTGACCAACAGGGCTGTAGGTGGAAGTGACAGTTCCAAACCCCAGGGCTCTCTGCCTCTGTCCCTCTGGGAGGAGCATGCCTCCCCACCCCCCGCTGGCCCCTCCATGACCCCAGCTGGCCTGGGGATCATGTGCCTGAGGTCTGGGGTAGCGCGTGACACCACAGCCCTATGGCACAGCTGACACCCGGCACCCGGGGTTCCCGATTCCAGAACCCCAGCCCGACAGTGGGAGGGCTCGACTGGGACCCTGGATGTCAAGGGCTCTCCGGTTTTGTAGGCTGGAAACTTTCCATCCCAAAACGCTGATGAGGCTGTGGGTGGCTGGTGAGGGCAAGGGAGGAGCACCCGAGGCACAGACCCTGTCCCCAGGGACACACCCAGGCCCCTCCTGGGAGGCCGCAGGAGGCTAGCTGCTTCAGCAGGGAGCCAGCTTCTCCTCTGCCAGGAAGGTCTTTCCAGCTCTCCTCTGTCTCGCCTCTCCTCCTGTGCCTACCTACCTTGGGCTGAGCCCCTACCGGCCTCAGGCAGACCCTCCACAGCAGGACTCAGACCCCCCGTCCACCGGGATTGCCCGTCAAGGAGTGGTCAGTTCAGAATCGGCTCTTAAGAAGATGCGGCCTCCGCAAGGGGGCGGCCTCCCCTGCCTGACTCAGCCTCGCGGCCGCCCCGCCTACAGCTCTGACTCAGCGTGGGTGGGCAGTGCCGGGCCGGGTGGGCGGCGGGGAGGGGAGCGGAGCAGCCTGTTCCCTGGCTGCCTACCCCCGCAAGCCTCCACTACAGGGGTGAGAACCAGCCTGGCAGGGTGTGGGTCGGTCCCAGCACTACCACCGGGCACTGGCTCTGCCTGCTGGCCAGTGTGAGCAGACCATGCTGTCCCCAAGGCCAGAGCCTGCCCAGCCACATCCCCCAACACGGAGCCCGGCGCTCCCCTGCCCTTGCAGCCCACCCTGCTTTCCCACACTAAACCCCACCTGCCCCTCAAAACAACGGGCTTGCTACTCCTATCCCCAGTAGGCCTTGACCCTCCAGAGGCGCTGTAGGGCCTGGCCACAGGGTCACCTAAAGGGGACCTGAGATGGCATTTAGGAAGTGAGAAGTTTGATCACAGGTGAGAGGCCCTGCAAGGCAACCTTAAGCAGACTTTCCAGCAAGCTCTGCTCCATGCTGAGGCCTCTGCCGCCACCCCCACTGCCGCTGCCTCCTCCTCCTCCTCCTCTCCTTTCTCCTTCTTCTCCTCCTCTACTTTCTCCTCCACCTCCTCCTCCTCCACAGCTGGAGCGCGAAGTACTTTTCCTCTGGTTATGCAACATGCACCTACCAGGGCTTCCTGCTCCTGCTCCCAAGAACCTCCAGTGACCTCTGAGGCTCCTTCTCCAGGAAGGGGTAGAGTGCGACAGCCAGATTCAGGGGTACCCTGGGGCCTGGGGAGGGCATGATGGCCGTGGCCAGGACGCCACATACTGCAGCCATGGAGGAGGACACCTGAGCCCGCTGTGCTCCAGCCTCAGCCTGGCTGCTGGACTCCTTTCCTGACCTTCAGGATCAAAGGGACTGGGTGGGGAGGGTGTGCTCCGAGAAACAAGTGGGCTTGTGCACAAGGAGGGGCCTGGAGATGAGCACCCACCCATGCCCCTGCAACACCACTCAGACCAACACCCAGGCCTGTTCCAAGGCCGCCTGCAGGGTCCTGCCCCGCTCCTCCCGCAGGGAACTGCCAGGGATGCTGGGGTGCGCCTCCAGGCTCTGAGTGGCCTGTGATGGGGGTGCCTGCTTTGGAGGGAGCTATTCGGTGCCCAGAATCCCTTAAGTGGGGCAGCCTCAGGAATGTGTGTGAGGTTCCATGGAGAAACCCCCAACGCACCCCATCATGAGGATTCTGTGCCCTCCCTGGGGACTTTTCCAGCGGTGGCCGGCCCGGAAAGCATGGTGGGCAGAGAGCTCAGGGCCAGAGAGCACTCAGCAGGAGATCCAACGCCTGGCAAAAGAAACTGAGGCACTGAGAAAAGGCAGGCCCAGGGGGCTGCCCAGAGCCACGGCCTCCACACTGGTTGCTGTCTGAATAGGACTCGGGGGAAGAGAAGGTGCTGCTTGGAGTGGTCACCCCAGGACAGCAGTGTAAACTAGGCTGCAGGGCCCCCTGGGTCTCCTCACCCTGAGAACGGCACCTTCCAAACTAAGGCCCCTGGAGCTGCTCCGGTTGCCCACCCTACAGGCGGTTTCTGGGTTTTTAGGCTACGGTACTTTCTCACGCTCATGCTCAGTTCCCCAGGGGAGAGTACAGCGAGGGGTACTGGCCTCATTAGCAGGGTACGGCAGCCTCCCTGGCCGGGAAGAGAGTTGGTGTTTTATTTTTAAGTCTTCCACTTACTCAAAGGAGCCCCGTAAATGGCTGGGAGTGGCACACAGGTCACAAGAGAAACCCAGGGGAAGTCGGGGGAGAGACAGAAAGTACGGCTGCACGGTGCTCTGGCGGGGCCCCTCCAGATCCTGGGGACAGGGAGGAGAGATGTTCCCAGAGCAGCAAGGCAGGGATGGCCAGCCCCCGAAGGACGGGGGGAGCTGACACCTCCTGCCTTGGAGCCCCCACATGAGCATCTGGCTATGGCAGAGCCTGAGTCAGCGCATGACATGCGGCTGCCACTCTGTCTAGG
Source organism: Homo sapiens (assembly GCF_000001405.40). Lineage (NCBI taxonomy): Eukaryota > Metazoa > Chordata > Mammalia > Primates > Hominidae > Homo > Homo sapiens. The sequence continues at coordinate 81,095,542 of NC_000017.11, read as the reverse complement.
AATGACAGCTGCCTCTCCTCACCTGCTGTTCCAGGACACTGACTCCTCATACAGAGAGGCCACGACTGTACAGGGCAGATCCTGGAAATCTAGGCCAGGCAGGAGCTTCACCACACAAGGGGCCGGTGCGGGGACGGGGAGGAGAGGAGGTGGCGGCCAGCACTGCAGGGCCCGGCCAACTGTGACCTGCTGTTGGACGGGGATGACCTATACGGGGCACGTCCGAGCTGTGTGGAAAGTGCAGGGGACAGAGCACGGCCTGGTCTGTACCTCCTACCTGGCAGCCCGGCCATTTACAACGGCCCTGAGCCTGCCCCATGGGCAGGCAGTCCCAGTGGCTGGCCCCCTCCAGTCCCCGCCCGCCGCTGAGCCACCGGCTGCGTGCTTAGCTGGGTGCCATGGCGACAGCACTATGGAAACACCCAGCTGAAAGCATTTAAGACCCACAGAATGCTCCCACTTAGTCACCCTGGGCTGAACAGCCCCGTGATCAGAGAAGACAAAAGTGATCAGAACACATCTCTCCTCTCCGCAGCATGCGGTGACTCAGAGTGGGGGAGGGGCATTCCAGAAAAAACCAAGGCGGCTTTGGTTTACCTCATCCGCCACGGCTGCTGCAGCTTTCCCACGTTCTTTAACCCCCCAGGTCCCCTGCAGCATATGAATGAGAACGTAATTCTTGGCCTTCAGCTGTCACCATGGGTAACACTTACTCGAAAGGATGCGGCTGCGGACCGGTCAGCTGTGGTGTGTGGGGTGAGAATCAGGTGCCCCAAGTAGCACATGGTCACTGGCCACCTGCAGGCTGCAGCCAGTGGCTGCTCTAAAACCCACTGACCAGGCCTCCCAGGCTGATGGGCACGGTACCCAGGCAGAGGAGGGAGGGCAGCATGGCAGGTGGTTAAAAGGAGATGGGAGGACCCTTAAATCTCACGCTGAACACACGTGCTCTGAGCAAGACCCGGGCTGGGCTGAGCAGAGGGTAAGCCGCACCCTCTGGCCCCGGTGGCAGGTGGAAGAGCTGGTCATTCCGCTCCCCAAGGAAGGCATTACAGGAAGATCCTCAGGAAGGGAACAGTGCCACTTTGGCAGGATCAGGGATCCATGAGCCCTGACGGTCCCCATTTTCCTGGGAAAAAGGCCCAGAGCTTTCAGCAGATTGGCAAGGGGTGCCCAGGAACAACAGGTCCCAACAGACCCACAGCTTGGTATTGGGATGGACAGTCTGGTGAGCACATGCCCACGGGCACAGGAGACAGCAGGTCGCTTCTGTCCACACCAGTGGGCTAGACACACAAACAGGCTAGAGGATCACAGACCAAGCTGTCCCCAAGAGCCAGCAAAGGGTTGGCAAGATGCAGGAGAAGTGGGGGCTAAGATGTTCGAGTGGCCCAGCCCTGAGGCTTGGGGAAGCAGAGTGCCCGACCCCTGGCTGCCCTGGCCCCGGGGACACTGAGGGTCCCTGTGTCAGCTGCGGATGCAGAAGCCCTGAGAGGGCTCCGTGGCTCCTGGCTCCTCACACTCCTGTTTTTCCTGGTCAGGACCCCTCAGAGATGTTACTCCAGAGAAACATGGCCACACGGCTGTCCTCACGGGGGTGGTGGGGGGGAGGGGTTGTCCACAGACAGCCTTAGCCTGAAGAGCTTTGTGAAAACGAGGATGGGCTTCACACCCCCCGCACGTCGCCAGACTCCACGCTGGCGATCACCGGCCCTGCTATTATCTTCTCTGAAGATCTGAACGAGGGTGCTTTGTCTCTGCTGTGTTAATTATACACCCTTTAAATAGCACGCATCTCTCCCCTTTCTCAGACCTCAATCCAGGCTATAGGCCTCGCACACCCAGAGATGGGGGGCAGCCGGAGGGGGGATCCTGGGGGCACCAATGCCCCCCACCAGCCCCCTGCATTACAGTGAGCAGAGCACCAGTGCCGCTTCCCAGGACCCCCACGATGATCCTGCCGGTGCTACGGAGCCCCCATGGTCTCTGGGAGGCAGCATCCCCAGGGATGCGGGGCCATCTCTCCCTCCTCACTCACGACCGGCCAGCGAGGGCTGCACCTGCCTCACCTCCCTCCTCCCCCATCATCTCAGAAAGGGAACAGGGGAAGGTAACCCAGCAGAAACCCTGGCTCTCCTTGTAGCCCCGGGCATCTCTGTCCAGAAAAGCCCCAGGAGGTGGTGAGTGGACAGGGCAATGCTACCCTCCTCTGCAGCAGGAGTTTCAGGCCGCTGAGGAAGCCTCCAGAGCTGGCTGAGCAGGGTCGTCCCAGGGCCAGCAAGTCGAGCCCATGCCCAGTGCGATTCTGAGCAGGGGCCCGGCTGCCCCACCCTCAGTGCACATGGGTTAGGAAGGACAAGTTGCATCCAGCGGGCCGGGGCTCCCTCCTCACACTCAGGTCCTCGTGCCCACAGCCCAGCCCAGCCCAGCCCAGCCCAGCCCAGCCCAGCCCAGCCCAGCCCAGGGAGTGGGTGGGCCACTCGCCTCCCACCCTGGGTTCCAGATGCAGGATGGGGCATGTGGACACGTCCCCCGGGCCCTGCTCCCTGCCCCCGAGCGGTGGGCACAGGCTGGGCTCTGCTCTCAGCCCCATTCCGGGCCCTGTGGACACAGCCACACCCCTCTGTTCTAAGGAGGAGCTGGACCAGGCTGTGACCACGCCCCGCGGACACACTGATAAACCCACAGAGAAGGTGTCCCCTGCCCCAGCATGTCCACCGTGCCCCGCGTGGTGTGGAGAACATTCCCTCCAGGCAGACGGGCACGTCTGTCAGCACCTGGCCCAGCAAATGTGGCAACGACCACGGTCCTGGGGAGTGAAGGTGCCGCTGCCCAAGGCCGTCAGGGCGGTGCTCCGGGCCGGGCCCCTTACGTAAAGCTCTCCCGTCCTAGTTAACAAACACCCCAAATGCTTCCTAGCCCCAGTGCCCTGACCTATAACTAAAATTACTTCTTTTCATGGAAATCCCAAAACACCATCTCAATTACAAGCAGTTCTTGAACAACAGGAGGCCCCCGGGCCCAGCCCCGCTCAAGGGCACCCTGGCAGGCAGACAGAGAAATCCACTCTGCCTGCCTCTCTGGGGCAGGGCCTGGCCAACCTCACGCCCACCCCTCCCTGCAGCCCCACCTCTGCCCCCAGGGCCTGGTGTGGTGTGTCCCTGTTTCAGCTCAGGCTGAAGGCCTGGCCGCTGCCACACAATGAGCCCGGCAGTGGAGGCGGGCAGTGCGCATCGGGGGCCTCGGCCTCGTAGGCACCCTGGAGCATGAAGCCGCCCCTCACACGTGCCATGGGCCCAGCCTCGCTGCCCAGCAGCCTCACAGCTCCCAGGAGCCTGGTGCTCCGCATACATGCAGCTCAGGTGGGGTGCAGCTGGCGCCAGGTTTCTGAGCCCACTGGAGACCCCGGCAATCACTTCGAGACACCCAGCTCTTGGGTCGCTGAGGGAACCCACATCTGACAATGACACAGCATGCTACACCCCCAAAGACCAGAGTCAGGCACCAGCCACCACCTCCCCTTCATCAGCGGCAGCTGAGGTGGGGGGCCCTGTAGATGGGGGCGCCCGTCCAGCCCGTGGAGCTGCCTGAACAGCCTCCACCTGCATGCACCACCCACATGGCTGCACCACCAGCCAGGCCCCGGCCAGCTCTAGGCTGCCAGGTGAGGGACATGCAGGGCCAGAGACCCCAGAGGCACTAAAGGGTCTCCAAGGGAAAGGCCTCTGTGGCAGGGGCAGCTTGGGAACCGCAGGGAGGCATCTGCTTCTCTGCTACTCACGCCCCTGGCTGGACACTGGCTTCAGGCCACCCTTGCGTGGGGTCACTTCCACTTCCGGCAGTCCGGCAGCCCCCTCCTGCCCGCTCAAGAAAGCAGCCCCAGGAGCCCGAATGGGCCAGACTCCTGCCCTGCACTCCAACGACGTGTGGGCACACCTGCCTCTCTCAGGGTCTTCAGGATTGGGGACAACTGCTATGGTCGCCAGTGACCCCACAGGGCATACACTGGAGACAGCTAGAAGAGCTGGGGGCAGGCAGGTCCAGGGACCGAGGCAGGGATCTCAAGGGGGCACCGTGAACTATACTCTCTGCGTAGACACCCCCGGGCTGCCCCCAGCATAGGGTGCAGCTGCTGGGCTGGTCTGTAGAACAGCTGGGAAGCAACCAACCGCTTTAGGAATGGAGAGGCCGGTGAAGAGGTCTCTGCTTCCCCCAAGAGTACTTCCAGCAGGCCCTTTCCCTGCAACCAGCAGGACTTCGCTGACAACCTAGGCCCCAGGACAGTAGACCCCGCGAGGCAAGCCAGGAGTTAGGGACAGCTAGGAGGCCTGTGGGGTGGGGTGGGGTGGGGTGGGGCCACATAAATGGGGGTGGGGTGCACTGGAGGGACGGGGCCTCCTGCACCAAGGGGTGGGGCCACACAAGCAAGGGCAGGGCCTCCTGCACCACACAAGTCGGGGCACACAAGTGGGGGCGGGTCCACACAAGTGGGGGCGGGGTGGAATGCACTGGAGGGGCGGGGCTGCACATGAGTAGGCGGGGCCAGCCAGCCCAGTTCCCCAGCCCAGGGTGCTTCCTCTCTTCAGAAGTGGAGAGGACATGCAACAGCTGGGCCCCCAGCGGCCACACCCTAAAGTAGAAGTCCCACAGAGCCCGCTGGCCGGGTTTGCAAAGGCAATGGGAACCAGCAGGAACAGCCCTGGGTGGGGCAAGGGGCCTGGAGCAGCGAGGCCGGCAGCACATCCCAGCCAGGCAGCCACATGGCACTCACCCCAGGATGGTGGCCGCAGCCTCCCCGCAGCTCGGGGGGCGCGTACGCAGCCACATACCAAGTGCCCCACCCCCTCAAACTCCGATGTGGGGCTGGGGATGCTGACGGCTCCGAGGCCTGGCCTCCTGGGCTTCCAGGCCACTGGGGAGCAGAAAGCACACCGGGGTGTGGCTCCCTCTGTTTCCCACCCCAAAATGTTGTTTCGAAACCACTTAGCACTTACTAGCTATCTGCTGCGTGACCAGCTTGTGCTTGGCACCAAGTGGGACGCAGGAGAAATGAGACCTAGCCCTTCCTGAAGAAACTCGGTGACTTGGGAAAAACCACAAAAATAAAACACCTGTGTGGTTAAGAGTTGAAGCCCCGTCTCCCATTGACAGAGGAAGGAGGCGGATGGGGAGGAGCAGAGGCGGAGGTCCGTCCAGGAGAGCCCCCACGCAGGCACCGTGAGAAGGTTGATGTCGGCTCATCCTGGCTCTACAGCCCTTCCCGTCAGTGCTCAGAAGAGGGAGAAAGCCAGGATATTCCCCCTCACAAATGGGGAAACTGAGGCTCAGAGAAGCTCTGGGGCTTGCTGCGGCCACATGACCCATAAGGGACAGAGCCAGATCCAAGCCTAAGCCTGACACCAGGGCCTTGAGGCTGTGCCCAGGTGGGGACAGTCCAGCCTGGGGCCACCCACAGGTCCCCTGGTGAGTGGGGAGGAGCAGCTGCAAGTTCTAGAGAAAGGAGGCTGCTCAGCCAGGGCTGGGGAGCCACAGCAGGGCCCCTGGGACCTGGGAAGAAAGACCAGCACCACACATCTCCCAGGAGGGGCCCTGGGAGGCCGAGAAGATGAGGCTCGCCAAGCGTCTCTGTACCGGGTGGCAGAGGCCTTTCCAAGGGGGCTGCTGGGCCACCCTCACCTCACACCCACTGCAACCTCCACCTACCATGCGCTTCGGGGCCCTGCCTGCCCTCTCCGCCCACATGGTCCCCGCCCAGACCCACTCACAGGTGCTAGGGGGACCATTTGCCTCGGCAACTAGCAGCCACAGATGGGAATGCTGCCCTCATTCCTGACCCTGCCGGGCTCCGGGGTCTGGCCCATCAGGACGCAGACAGCCTGTAAGGCCACGACCCCCTCCCTCTCCCCCTCCGCCTGCCCTCCTGCGGACGAGGGGGGCTTTGTGACGACTGTGGCAGCCGTTGGGAAACAGGTGCTGTGGCTTACTCCCAAAACTGGGTCACCTGGCTTACCACGAAAGGGCACTCAAGGGGCCCCAGGACGGGCCCAGCCACCAGCCACCTTAGTTCTGTTGCCAAATGGTTCAGTCAGCCCCTGGGGCACCCAGCAGCGGCCCCTTGCCCAGACCGTGGACCACAGCACTGAGGCAGGGCCAAGGCCCCTCGAGTCACCGCCAGGTCCAGCCCCCTGTGGCTGCGAATCAGGTGACCCTTGGGCCAGTCAACGAAGGGTCCACCGAGGCACTGGAGGTGGCTCACAGCCCCCATGAGAAGAACAGATGGGACCTGCCTCCAGGGCCCCTGAGGCACCAACATGGTCCCCCAACAGACCTCAAAAGTGCCAGGACATGCAGCAAACAGACAGACCAGCCATCAGCAAGGAGAAGGTCTTCCAAAACCCCTGTGTGGGATGGGCTTGAGGAGCTAGCTGTGCACACACAGCCTCGGGAGTAAATCCCACCACCCGGGGCCCACGGCAGAGCAGCGCGGAGGGCAGGCAGAGGCCAGGTGTGCGGTCAGGGCCCTCCTGAAGAGGCCTGGCAGTGGGAGGCAGGGCACCTGAAAACCAGGGAGCTGGTGCGGCAGGGCCACAGTGACTGCGTGGGGGCCTCAGGCCTCTGGCTCCAGCCTGCAGGAGGGAGGGGGAGTGGCTCCGACAGCCCCCAGCCTCTGCCTTTGTCCGGCCCTATGCTACCCCGCCGCGATCTCCAGCTCCCAGCGAGCTCAGCCACAGGGCAGTACCGGCCGTGCCAGGGAGACGGCCCTGGCCCTGAGCAGGATGGAGCCTCCGGTACCCACACGATGGAACACGATTTAGCCATGAAAAGGAAGAAAGGCTGACCCCCGACAGTAAGAGGGGAGGAGGCTGGCGCAGGCTACGGCACGATGAGCTTTAAGAACCCTCCGTGCCACGTGAGCCACCAGGCACCAAAGGCCGGACACTGTGGGATTCCAGCTACGCAGAATGTCCATAACAGGCAAGTCTACGGAGGCCAATGGCAGGCTGGTGACTGGTGGGGCCAGGGGCCCAGGAGTGACTGCTGATTGAAAAATGCTCTAAAACGGACTGAGTGATGGACACACAGCTGCAAACACTCATAACCACTGGACTGTGCCCGTGAAATGGTGAACTGCTGGTGATGTGAATTATATCTCAAAAACGCTGTTAGCAAAAACCCACAGAGCCTCGAGGGCAGAAGGGAGCTCAAGCTCCTGGACCCCCAGCAGGCAGCTGAGCCCTCAGTGAACTGGCCTCAGTATCCCCATCCCCAGAACACCAAGCTGGGGACATTCCCAGGAAAGTCCCCCTTAAGACAAGCTCTCACACCTGGCCTCGGTGCTCAGGGCTGGCTCACACCTGCACTGTCCTGACCTGCTCGGAGGCGGCTATGGCCCTCCAGGCCGCAGGGGTGCCGTCCGCTGCTTGTCTTCAGAAAGCAAAGTAGCAAAACGTTCCACGGTGGGAGGAAGAAGAAAAACAGACACAGTGTCTACCAACATATACCTATTTCTCCTCCTCAACTCCCCATGCCCACTGCTCAGGTTCTGTTCACAGAAACAGCTTGAGGACGGCTCGCTGCAGCAGCCTCAGGCAGGAATACTAAGGCCACCATGATGGGCCCATCATAGAAAGACCCATGATGGCAGCTTACCCGGAGTGCAAAACGGAAAGGATCAAAAGACCCATCACAGCTTACCTGGAGTGAAAAACAGGATCAAAACAAAGGCTGGGGACACGGGAAGAGGTGGCTGGAGAGGGCAGGGCACCCTAGAGAACGGCCTGAGTTGCGTCCCTGCAACTGTGCACCAAGCATGCCTGAGTGGGAGGCTGCAAACAGCAGCGGGCACCCGAGGGACCCCCAGCTCCCCCGTATGGCTGTTTCCACAGACTCTCACTTATCCTTCTCATCTGCCCCTGGCCTAGTCCCGTCCTCTCCTTTGGGGCCGATCCAGCTCCACCAGGCGACCCCACACTGGAAATCTTCTGGCTTGGTCTGCAGGGTGTGGGCAGACCTGCTTGGCTTCCCTGCAGTTAAGCAGGGAGCGGGGGCACAGGCTCTGAGCAGGAACCGGCCTCCCAGTCCCAGGGCGAGGCCACAGCCACTCATGAGCACCCACATCCGGCACCAAGGAGACGGTCGCACACACACACGCAGACACACGCACACGGGCAGGTGTGTGCGGGGCTTGCCAAGGCTTGAAAACCTGACTGCCAGCAGGAAGGGTGCGGCCTGGAGGCCCGGGCTTCACCCACAGCCACACCTTGCCCACCCCAGGGTGCAGCCCAGAAGCTTCTACCTGGGTGACTGGCCAGGGGTTTTCCTGATGTTTCCTTTACACACGACTGGGCATCTTGTTTTGTGTTTCTTTCTCTTCTGTATCACTATGACCCCAGCAAGTGGGCGAGGGGTTTCTGGGTCTGGCCTGTGTCAGCCACCATCCAGGTTCTGGTGTACACACATCAGGCCGTGCCTGTCATCGGCCAGGCCTTCCTACGTCCCAGCCCACTCAGCACGCAGCACCGGTGACGCCGGCGGGACGGTGAGAGAAACAACACCGAAGCCGCTCCCTCGAGGAACCTGAAGTACCACCTTCCCTCGAGTGGCCAGCCCTGCAGGCGGAGGCCACGACCGCTTAGAGGAACAAACTGGGACCGGACTCCCGGGCAGGGATGGGGAGAACAGAGGGGAGGACTCCATTTAGGTTTCTGCTCCTTCAGCCAAGAACCTTTCAGTGACCCTGGGAGGCTGCAAGAGCAGGACAGAGCCCCACAGGTGAGCCGACCATCCCACCGGCCTGGGGGCGTCAGGCCCACCGCTCCCGAGGTCTACCAGGGACACACAGCCTGCCTCTGTCTGATCGCACCTGGGGGGCTGCTGTCCACTCCCTGTGGACGAGGGGGGCCGAGGGGTGAGCAGTCCCAAGGTGGCAGGAGAGGCACCACAGCGGGGGTGGCGGGCCTACCTGCAGCTCCTTGTCCGAGTACTTCTGAGGATTCTTGCTGCCCTGGCTCTTCTTCCGAAGCTTCTTCAGCTCAGCCTGACACTTGTCCAGGGCGTCGCCTTTGCTCCTTTGCTCAGTCTGGTATTTCTTCAGCGCAGCCTGAGATTCAAACAATAAAACACAAAACCAAGGCCCATGAACCCAACGCAGCGCGGACCACTGGCAGCAAAACCGAGGCCCATGAGCCCAACGCAACGGGGTCCCCTTGCCAGCCCTGCCACTCCCTTCCTGGCTCGCTCTCTGGCCGTGCATGCTCAGCTGCAAATCAGAGTTGGGGAGAGCCCAAATGAAGCCTCAGCCCGACCCCACCCAACCCCATAGCAGCTCTCTGGTCGCCCAAGATGAAAATCACACTTGGAAAAAGTGGCCGAGGCCCACCCCTCCCGCCCACCACTGAGAGCCAGAGGTGACCCTCAAACCCTCAAGCAGTGCCTCAGCCCCAAGCCTTCCTGCCAGCGGACAGGAGTGGCGGTGGGGCAGGACGGGCCGAGAGCCCAGGGAACTGCAGAGGCCAGAGAAGGAGCTCCTGCACTCCCCGGCAGCAGAGTCAGGCACCAGCTTCACCGCAAGTGGCCAAAGCCGGGGCATGGAACCAGGCATGTGGGGCGTCAGAGGCAACGGATTCACCCACAGGTTGCATTTGGGGCACACCAGGGGCACTCGGTCCCAAATGGACAATAAAGTCAGAGCTGGGGCCCATGTGGACGGGGAGCTCGGGGAAGTGGGAAGCCTTCAGGCCGAGGAAGGAGTGGCAGGCATTTGGGAGAGCCGGAGCCCAGGCACAGGGCCCAGCAGGCACGGCCAGGGTGCACTTACACTCAGATACCTGGAGTCCAGCTCCACCTTCTGCTCCAGCTGCGTAAGCAGCTCGTTGTGAAAAGACTTCAGCTGGACATGGAGAGAAAACACATCAGCCGTCAGCTCCAACACATGGACCCGGAACAGGAGGCAGGGCAGGGCTAGAGCGGATGGGCACGAGACACCGGGTGTCCCGGCTGTGCAGGAGGGGCCCCCTCCCCCTGACTGATGAGCTGTGGCCCCGCATGCCCGTGTGCACCCTCTGGAGCCAGGAGCGAGTGCTGAACAGGAGTCTGGAACGTCGGACAATCTCGCCTCCAAACAGCCACAAGGGAAACAAACGGCCATCCCCTCCTTCCTCTGCTGTCCCATGCTGGGGATCACTGCGACACAGGCTGAGAGGTCGCAGGGCCCATGGGCCTGAACTGACACCAGGGTCAGACCCCTGGCTTTAGACAGGATGCTGCAAACCAGCCGCCAGCAACGTGCTCTGGTTGTGTGGGGTCTGCCTCTGCCTACAGTCGGAGAGGCCAGGGGAAGTGTGCCTTGCAACCTTGTGAACCCCAGGAGTGGGGTCTGGCTGGGGCTGCGATCAGGACTCTCCCTGGAGCCCAGCGTGTCATGGCTGCCACTGCAGCCAGTGAAACATGCGGCCGCGGTCTGGCCTGTGCCCTTTTCTCCGACGTCCTCCTTCGAGTGTGGCTTGTGTGCTGAGCCAGGGTCCCTCCCTGCCTCCGAGTGTGGCTGGACAACTGGGACTGTTCCCAAGTGGACACACGGCCAAGGTGTGGCGCCAGCTCTCCCGTCGCACCTGCCCCTCCTCGCAGGGCCACGCTGGGGGTGGACTCACCATTTCTTCCAGCTGATTCTGGATCTGCCTGTGGACTTCAGCCATCTGGAAGAGAACGTCTCCTGGGAAGCAGAACAGCAGAAGGAAGGGGAGGGAGTCAGGTGCTCGCAGTCACCACCGTCATCCCACTCTGGGCTGACAGCCACCCAGGGAAGCCCTGTGACCACAGGCAGCAGGGCCCCCGGGGTGTCAGGGCCAGAAGGGAGGGCGGAGAGGGGACACCAAAAGGAAACAGAAAATTCTAGAATGAGAAGGGACTCCAGACCTCAAATGCACAGCACGCCTGGCATCTTTGGGAGGGAACTTGAGTCTCTGCAAAGGCGAGAGACAGGAAGAGCCCGTGTGTGCTTCACCCCAGGCGTGACAGTGAGTGACAGTGAGCGCAAACACGCGTCCTCATACGCATCCGGCTGTCGTTCGCAGAGACCCAAGAGCTCCGAACCTCCTACCTCAGGCCAGGTGGACAGTCTGCTGACCCCACACCACAGCGCACAAACCTCCTCTGGGGGACACCCATGGGCACACGCTGGTCACAAGCCTCTCTGACTCCAAGACACCTCACTACCCAGGCTGCAGACCCACAGCACCTCTGAGACCTTCACCCAACATCTCCGCTTTGAGCCCCAGAGGAGCGCGGTGGTCTGAGGAGACCTGGCCCCATGGGATAGGCTCACCAGGCAGCCACCCTGGTGCACGCTGGCCTGGGCTCGCCTTGCCATCGCTGAGGGCCCTGGGGACACACGGGCAGCGCTTGGGGACACTGATGTCTCCTCGGCCCGTGTGCAAAATGCAGATTAAGAAATCAAAATCGTGGCGGCACAGGGTAAGCGCCGTCAGAGGCCTTTTGCAGCCTGGACATCAACGAGACCCGGCTCAAGTCCACCTGCGGGGGGGCAGCCCCAGGGGCGCAGGTGTCTGGGCTACCCTGATGTGGGTCTGAGTCCCCCACTCTGTAAGGGCCTCACCACATTGCTGCATCCCTACCTGCTTCCACCAAAGAGAGGGGCACAGAGAGAGGAGCTGAGGGGCCGAGGCCTCGAAGACACAGGAGCACGGCCCACTTCCTTTTCACCCAGATGTTTCCCACCTTCCTCTGCCAAAGCTCCCTCGGAGCTGTGATCCCATTTGAGACATGACCGCCAAGGCCAGCAGGTGCGACCACACCATCAGCCCAGGGGGCTGGCTAGCCGTCCCCAGAAGCGCCCCCAGAGTGCAGCCAGCCTGGGTTCCAGGACCCAGCCCTGATACTCATCAGCAGAGCCCGAGACCCACCCCCCATCAGCACCACATGGGACAGAAGCATGCCACAGCCCCTCAGGGCTGTCCTCCCGCTAACCCTGGAGTTGGTACGAGAGACCCACCCCTGCGGCAAATGGCTCCATTTCCTGGTCTGCAGAGGAGGGGCCGGAACTGGGTGGTCCGGCCCCCGTACTCCTTTGACGGACAAATATTTGCTGAGCTACTGTTTCCAGTGCCAGGCACTGACCACGTGCTGCGGACACAAACAGAGCAGGAGGGCCGCCCCTGCTGCTGGCAGGTCACTCTCGGGTGATTCCTGTCCCTCCCTGAATGGCTGCCTGAAGCAGGACTTTCCTCCTCTGCTGACGTCCAGGCCACCGCCGGTCCCACGCCCCAGAGGGTCCTCTCGCTCCAGCGAGCAGAACCCCCACTAGGATCGCCCAGTGCCCAACAAGTTCAGCCAGAAACCAGAGCAAGGCCCCCGGTGACACGCAGGAAGCCCTAACCGGGCGATGCTGCCTCCCAGGACCACGGCTGGGCTGGCCTTGGGTCACTTCCCCTCCTCAAAGCACAGCTGAGTCTGGCAGAGGAAGCCTCTCCGGGTCCTCTCGCCCTTCCAGGAGCTGCGGGGTTCTTCTCACCATGACCACAGACCCTCTGAGCACTGACCAGGGCCAGGTGCTTCACAGATGTACCTCCCTTTAATCAGCACAACCCACAAGGCCGCCCAGATGAGCAGACAGAGTAGGCCACGTCAGCGGCTGGTGAGTGGCCGCAAAGCCAGGGCCCAACCGCCTGTGCCAGCCTCCACCTCACAGCCATGCCCTCCTCCCGGGTCAGCACACACAGGGCTGCCTCTCGAGCTATCCCAGGCATCTCAGGCACCTCCTGGCCACCCAGACTCCCAAGTCATTCCCGCCCTCATGCTGGCAACTGCTAGGCCTGTTCCCAAAGCCGAACGCTCCGTGTCAGGGGCACAGATTTCTGTGGAGGGAGAAGAGGAAAGGGATTCATGCACCCCTGAGGGGACCCAGAGGTGACAGTCACCTGGCTCCTGTGACACGTGTCCCGCTAAAAGTAGTGCTAGGCCTGGCTGCTTCTCCAGAGAACAGTGCCCAGGGCTGGCAGGATCCCATCCACCGCAGGGCAGGGGTGGGGGACGCACAGAGCCCCGGGCTTGGCTTCCCTTTCTGGGAAGATACGGAAGGGCTGCCTGGCACACAGTTGCTCACCCTCTGCCTGCGAAGATGACATGCCTGGGCCTGGCCACCGTGAAGAGGGATTCAGCGTGAGGAAAGCAGCACTGCAGACCCCGGGGAGGTATCACATATGTGTGCGGGCATGAGCACATATGTGCGTGCATGTCTACCTATGTGAGTGGGCACGCACAAGCGTGAACCGTACACGGGTGTGCTTATGCGGGTGAGCATGTGTGTGTGGCTGTGTGTGCCTGGCCGTGACCCGAGTCTCCCTCCACTCTCACAGCCGCCCTGGATGCCGCTACCCACTCTGGCCACAACCACAGGGCTCACGGGGACGACAGGTAGGTCATGCTGGATCAGTCTCCAGGACCACGCTGGCCCCGGGGCCAGGAGGGAGCAGGACAGGCAGACACAGACCCCAGAGCCCAGGCCCTGCCACACACAAACCACCTAAGACGCGCCCTGGCACACCCAGTACCTCCACGGATGCCAGCCCCAGCCCTGGCCCAGGGGCCTGCCCCTGCCTGGAAATCACTTCCACCGGCTCCAACCATGGGTGTGACTGCCTGGTCCCTGCTGTGTGGCCCTGTGGAGTGGGGCAGGGCCCAGCGATGGCCCCCTGGGGCTGCACTGCGGTCAGGAGGGAGCTGCACCACTGCGGTGGCCTCTCACGGTCGGGATGAAGTCGAGACCTCTGGGGATCAGCGGCAAACCACACAGACGGGTGGGGTGGGGGCAAGTCTAAGGTTTACCAGCCTCGGCAGGAGAGGACATGGGCCCTACCCCAGGCTCACTCGACCTAGGGTTCAAGGTGTGCAGGGAAGGGATCAAGGACAAAGAGGACAGAATTTGGTATAAAGGAGCCTGGCTGAAGGGAAGCCACTTGGACGTGAGCAGGCGCTGCCCAGGGCAGGGGAGGAGACGGGAGCACGGCCAGCAGCACAGACCCCACAAGAGAGGGAACCCCAGCTAGGGCTGGCACAGGCCCACAGCCACGTGGCCCCTCCACCATCCACCCTGGGTGGCCAAGATGCTGCCAGCCTGGCAGGACACCATCCTACGAGCCAAGGACAGCAGACGCAGGAAGCTTCAGGCCGGGGGCAGACTGCCCTGTGCTGAGGAGCAGGATCAGGAAGCCTGAGACGGTGGGACCCCGGGGGAGGCAGCTCCAGGGCTCCTCGTGCTTCTCGGCGTTCTTTGGCATCCTATAAATTCCCAGGATGGACACCACGACCTCTGGGCTCAGGAAGCCTCCAGGGAACTGTCCTGCGGTTTTCATGGTGTTCCTGTGACTGAGGATCCTGGATCCACCTCCCAGCTCTCGGGCCCCTTGGACACTGGGAACTGGCTTCAGCCGAGTTGGGGTGGCAGGTGACAACAGGCACAAGGTCTGGCCTGAGAGGGGGAACCCACCCAAGCCTGTGCCCTGGCCAGTGCTCCCTCAGCCCCGGAGTGTCCACACGCACCCAGCCTTTGCGAGGTCGCCGGCCCCCTATCCTGGCGTGGGGGCCAGCAAGTTCACAAAGAGGTGAAGCAAAAGGCCCAAGACAACTCAGCTGAACTCTTCACGGCTCTTGCCATATCCCATTTTTTTTATTTTTTGAGATGGGGTCTCACTATGTCACCCAGGCTGGTCTCCAACTCCTAGGTTTCTGTGATCCTCCCACCTCAGCCTCCCAAGTAGCTGGGAGCAAAGGCATGCAGCACCGTGCCTGGTTCCCGCCACATTCTGCAGCCCCAAATTATAAGTGAATGTCAAGACCAGATAACAAGCACGTGTTCCCCTAAAAGGCTACACACAATGGAGTCAAGAGGAACATCTGGAAGACAACAGCCAACAACAAATCCTTTGAAAAAGGGACTGCTGAATCCAAAAAGAAAAAGAGTATGTGGAGCTTCTCAGGGGGTTCTGGCCAGGTGACGGTCATCACCACCCGCCCGTGCAGCTGCAGCACTCAAATGTGCACCCCAGCATCCCCGCCAGCCCGAGCCCCCAGCCCCACAATGTGCGGCTGGCGCACACACAGGGGAGGTCCAGGCAAAGCTGCACAGACCAGGCGTGTGCCCGCCCTGAGCTTCGAGCGGCGGCTGCACAAAATCATCCCATGCCTTGAATTTTTAAACTGCACCTTACAGGCAGCTGCAGGAAACCACGTGGGCATGGAGTGTGAATGTGTCCGGCCACCAGCACTTAACCCCCAGGGTGCCGCAGGCGCCCCAGCCGGGAGCATGAGTGTGTGCAGCCACCAGCGCTTAACCCCCGAGGTGCCAGCTGGAAGGACGGGGCACATGGAGCACCAGGCCCCTAAGGAATGCCAAGACCCTAAGATCAGCAGTGAGAGGCACCGGTAGGGGCAGTGAGTTCCGCTGAGCAACTAAGTCTTGTCCGCGGTTGCCTGTGTCCTTCAGGGGCCTGAAGACGGAGTAGCGAGGGCTCCACAGCCGTTGAGAGCCTCCCTTGGGGTGAGACGTGAGGCCATGCGTTCTCGGGCTCCCTCATCTCTTCATCTCTCCACACTCCCTCCCATGCGGCGGGCAGACTTACCCAGGCCCACCCTGCTGAGGGACAGGGTGTGCCAGGCTTCCTAAGCAGCCTCACCTATCAGATGCCCCCCACTCACTGGGAGGCCCACGTCTGGTCCACAGCACAGGTGGGACCTTAACTCTAAAGACGAGGTTCAAATGTAAGCTGAGTGCCAGCGGGCCAGGGCACACAGCACATGAGCCAGAACAGACCGGCAGAGCCGTCGCCATCAGAAGGATCCGGGGATCTGGGGTGTTGGGGGTGATGGAAAGCAGGTGGCCACGCCTCAGGATGTAGGTGTGGGAGTGCAGCAGCGTTGCACCCAGGCTGATGGGTCAGCCAACTCTGGGCAGCTCACCCCACCAGCCCAGGGCTGCCTAGGGATGCTGGGGAGTGAGGAGGAGGAGGAGCATCGGAGGGCTAGAAAGGGGGCACACATGGGTGTCACGGGTGATGTGTCTACACAGTCATCCTGAAAACGAGGCCTCTCTCTTTTCAACCACCTACCAATGCACCGTGATGAGTGAAGCAGCAGCCGGTCCACACTGGGGTCACCGTGGGCCTCACCCCACCAGCTCTACCTCCACCTCAGACGGGGCGGTCGCCAGGCTAAGAGTGAAACCCGCTCCACGGGACTGCCTGTGACCAGGGAGCCCAGCCTCCTGTGGACAGGTCTGAGCGCAGCTGATGGGGACAGGGCTGCCTCAAGACCCCGGCTGGGCCCCTGCTCCCCAGCAAGGAAAACAGCACCTGAGTCAGGTGAGGCTGAGGAACCCAGGCCCCAGGCATGCCCGGCCAGCATCTTTCTGTCCTCGGGTTGGTTCTGCTT
This sequence comes from Homo sapiens, assembly GCF_000001405.40. Classification (NCBI taxonomy): domain Eukaryota; kingdom Metazoa; phylum Chordata; class Mammalia; order Primates; family Hominidae; genus Homo; species Homo sapiens. Next base: position 81,079,099 of record NC_000017.11, on the reverse strand, counting down.
GGGCGCAGCACCTGGCGGAGAGGGCCCTTTCCATCTGCTGAGTCCCCAGCTCCTTTCTGGAATCCCAGCAGAGATCGGTGAGACCCCACAACTGCCCTCCATCTCTCCTGCAGGCTGAGCCTGGTCTCACTCCCCCCAGGTCTTACCCCAACCAGCATGGGACTATCACCCCACTTTGCAGGGGAGAGACCTGACACCCCCACAGCTCAAAGGTGACTCGGGGCTGAGCAGGCTGGAGGTCAAACACCCCAAAACTCAGGAGCCCTGAGAGCTTCCAGAGGCTGCATCCTCAAGATCTGCTGCCAGCCTGGAGCAGCAGAGAGCACAGCCAGAGAGGAGCGGAGGCTGCAGTACAGGAAGGCAGACGCCCAGCTCCCACCCGAGATGACACCAACAGCCGCAAACACGCCCAGCTCCCACCCGAGACAGCACCCGCACCCACAGCACCCAGCTCGGAGATGGCACCTGCACCCACAGAGCCCGGCTCCCACCCAATACGGCACCCGCACCCACAGCACCCAGCTCGGAGATGGCACCTGCACCCACAGCGCCCGGCTCCCACCCAATACGGCACCCGCACCACAGCACCCAGCTCCGAGATGGCACCTGCACCCACAGCGCCCGGCTCCCACCCAATACGGCACCCGCACCCATAGCACCCAGCTCCGAGATGGCACCTGCACCCACAGCGCCCGGCTCCCACCCAATACGGCACCCGCACCCACAGCACCCAGCTCCGAGGTGGAACCTGCACCCACAGCGCCCGGCTCCCACCCAATACGGCACCCGCACCCACTGCATCCAGCTCCGAGGTGGAACCTGCACCCACAGCGCCTGGCTCCCACCCAATACGGCACCCGTACCCACAGCACCCAGCTCCGAGGTGGAACCTGCACCCACAGCATCCGGCTCCCACCCAATACGGCACCCGCACCCACAGCATCCAGCTCCGAGATGGCACCTGCACCCACAGTGCCCGGCTCCCACCCAAGACGACACCCGCACCGGCACCCAGAGTGCCCAGATCTAAGATGGCACTGGCACCCACAGTGCCTGGCTCCCACCCAAGATGGCACCCGCACCTGTGCCCACAGCACCCAGCTCCGAGGTGGAACCTGCACCCACAGCGTCCGGCTCCCACCCAATACGGCACCCGCACCCACAGCATCCAGCTCCGAGATGGCACCTGCACCCAGAGTGCCCAGATCTAAGATGGCACTGGCACCCACAGTGCCTGGCTCCCACCCAAGATGGCACCCGCACCTGTGCCCACAGCACCCAGCTCCGAGGTGGAACCTGCACCCACAGCGCCCGGCTCCCACCCAAAACGGTACCCACACCTGCACCCGCACCCACGGTGTCTGGCTCGCACCTGAGACGGCACCCGCTCCCACAGCCACCCGCATACTCAGCACCACCAGCCTCAGGACGGGCGGGAAGCCCAAGCATCCGTCCTCCCAGCATTAGGCTCTTTTTTTAAAATTGAGAAAAATTCACATAACATAAAATTCACCATTTTTACTTTTTTTTTTTTTTGAGACAGAGTCTCTGTCACCCAGGCTGAAGTACAGTGGCACTATCTCGGCTCACTGCAACCTCCGCCTCCCGGGTTCAAGTGATTATCCTGCCTCAGCCTCCCGAGTAGCTGGGACTGCAGATGTGCGCCACCACGCCCAGCTAATTTTTGTATTTTTAGCAGGGACGGGGGTTTCACCGTGTTGGCCAGGCTGGTCTCAAACTCCTGACCTCAGGTGATCCACCCACCCCGTCCTCCCAAAGTGCTGGGATTACAGGCGTGAGCTGCCATGCCCGGCTAAGAAATTGGGACTGTGGCCGGTGTGGGGATCGAGTCCACAACTGTGGCATCGTCAGCATCATGCGCTCACCAGTTGAGCTAGCTGACTGCCCGGACACTTTCATCACCCCGAAGAGAAACCCACGCCCACCAGGAGTTGCCCCCTAGCTCCGGGAACCAGTCTCACGGCATCTCTGTGGAGCGGCCTATTCCCAACACTTCAATCACTGCAATCACACATGACCCTCTACATTTGGCTTTTCTCCCTGGGCACAATGTCTTCAAGCTCCATCCATGGTGCAGCCTGCCTCAGAGTCTCCTTCTTGTCTTTTTAGAGCCAGGGGTCTCACTCTGTCACCAGGCTGGAGTGAAGTGCCACAATCATGGCTCACTGCTGCCTCCAACTCCTGGGTTCGAGGGATCCTCCGGCCCCAGCCTCTCGAGGAGCTGGGACTACAGGGGTGTGCCACCATGCCCAGATCATTTTTAAGATACTTTTGTAGACATGGGGTCTCACTATGTTGCCCAGGCTGGTCTTGAACTCCTGGGATCAAGTGGACTCCCAAAGTGCTGGGATTACAGGTATGAGCCACACCCAGCCTGTCCTTTGTGGTTGAATACAACTTCACCCTATGGATACACGAGGCGTTTCTGCCGGCATCCACTGAGAGGTGCGGGCTGTTTCCCATGTGGCCTTTTGTAACAGTGCTGCTGCAAGAACAGCTCTTTCAGAAGCAGCTTCAGGGGATGACAGCCCTGAGCCCCACCTGCACACCATCTGTCTTCCTGATGTGTGTTCTGGAGGTATTCTCGCCTGCTTATAGCCGAAATGTCTCCTGGCAAGCACAGCCCCGGGGAGCAGAGCAAACTGCGGCGTCTCACCGGCTGCCAGCACCCTTGACCTTTTGGGAGGTCAGAACATCAGGGCTCTCTCAAGCATCCTCCACAACCTAGACGGGGCCTCCGTTGATGGAGAGGCGGAGCTCAGTGAGCCCCTCCCAGGTGTCCATCTGCCATCTCCTGTCTGCCCCAGGCTAGACCTGGTCCACAGGGAAGATAAAGCAAGAATGAGTTAAGCTGCAGATGGTTAAGCTTAAAATGAGTTAAGCTGCAGATGGTAACAGGGATTGATTCTGGAAGGACTGTGCCTCCCGGCAGGACCTGAGACTCGGCACTCCCCCCAGCCAAGCAGCCAGGCCTCTCAGGCTGTACTCTGGGGAGCCCCTGCCTCACTGCCCCTGACCCCAGCAGGAGCTGGCTTCTACCAAACCTCAGGATTACTAGCAAGAGGGAACACCCGGGTGCAGGCACTTCTGCTTCTCTGCGTTATGCATTTTATTCATCACCACTACAAAAAAAAAAAAAAAATTCCCAGCAGACCCAAAAAAGTATACACAGACCCTGGCAGAACCTCCGTGCCAGGACAGAGATGGCAGTGCCCAGCTGGCCTCATATGGAGCCTGTGGCTGGCCAGTGCAAAGGCTGGGCAGTACTGGGGGCCCCAATGTGCCCACGGAGGGGAGGAGCAGGACTTGAGGCCCACCAAAGGCTGCCATAGTGTTCTAAGTGGCCCCTACCTGGGGGAGAAGGGCACAGAGGGAGTGTGGTGATACGCGTAGCACTGAAAGGGTTAAAGGCAAGGAGGGCTGGTGGACAGGTGGAGGTAGGGTCCTTGGAGAGGGTCACTCAGGACGCTCTCAAAGGAGCACCCCACAAGGTTAGGGCCACAAGGAGGCAGGCACTGCTCTGACACAGCCGCGTCTAGTGAGCAGATGAACGAGAAGGATTAACTGCTCATCCCTGAAGACAGCACGGCATGCAAGCGGCCCACAGGAAGGGAGCCCACCGGAAGGCGGCCCACTTGAGGCGACGGCCGAGCTCCTTCCGATCGCTTCACACGATTCAAAGATTGAGGCCAAACCGGGGATGCCCTGGGTGGTCATCTGCTGAGCCCAGGAGACTGGGAGGGCTGGGGAGACCAGAAGCACAGGGGAAGGGATGGGGAGGGAGGTGAGGATGGTCCCGGAAGAGAGAGGGCAGCAAGGAAGTGCCACAAGATGCCCCAGACCCAGCACAGGCGCAGACCTGGCCGCCGGCTTGAAATCACAGGCACCAGGAAGTTTCCCCCAATGCCAAATGTGGGCACAGCCGGAATGCAAATGTGGCTGGAGACAGCTCTGTGGGTGAGCTGAGCCGAGGCTGGCTTCACAACCACACCCAGGGGTTCCCACGAATGGCTCTGGCTCAACACAGTGGGAAGGTGAAGGAGACAGAAAGCACTGTCAGTCATGGCTTTGCCAAGCCCATTCTTCCCTGTGGTTTAGAAAACAGAACTACATTATTCTCTTCCCAGCCCAACCTTTCCAACCTGGAGAGAAGTTGCAGGGATAGCAGAGCAAACACCCATTCACTTCGCCGAGGTTCCCTGGCGGTGTGCTTTGCCACAATCGCTTCACCACTCTTTCTGTGATGTATAGGTACACCCACATGCACTCACACGCATCCGTACATGCACACAGACACACAGGCACTTATGCATCCGTGCACACACACAGGCACTCACACGCATCTGTGCACGCACACAGACGCACAGACACGCATCCGTGCATGCACACACACAGGCACTCATACGCATCCGTGCACGCAGACACAGAGGCACTCAACGCATCCGTGCACGCACACAGGCACTCACGCATCCGTGCACGCACACACAGGCACTCACACATCCATGCACGCACACGAACAGGCACTCACACATCTGTGCACGTGCACACACACAGGCAACTCGTACGCATCCATGCACGCACAGACACAGGCATTCACATGTATCCGTGCATGCACACACACTGGCACTCACATGTATTTGTGCATACACACACGTACTCACACGCATCCATGCACGCACACCAGCACTCACGTATCCGTGCACGCACACACAGTGACACATGTACCAGTGCACGCACACTCACACGTATCCGTGCATGCACACACACCGGCACTCACACGTATCCATGCATGCACACAGACACACAGGCACTTTTTTCAGCCCCTTGAGACTCAACTGCAGACATCAGACAATGTGATGCTGCCCCTGCCCCCAATACTGCAGCTGTGTCCTAAGAGCAAGGACCTTCTCTGCCTCATCACGCCTCCATTGTGACACACAGGAAGGTTACCACAGACGCATCCTCCTCTCATCAACAGCACACACCATGCTCCTGAATGGCCCGACGATGCCATTGACAAGCTCCTCCCTGATCCAGGTTCTCATCAAGGGTCCCGCTGTGTTGCGTTGGCACGTGGCTTTAGTCTCTCTCATTTTAGGAAAACAAATCAGCATTCCACCTATTGGAAGACTGCTCCATAAGCACTTGAGACAAATAAGTGATACACGGGCTTAACCGTGAGCGACAAGGAACTGGCGCCTGCCAGCTCCCAGAGGACTCTCACCCTTCCTCTGGGGCGCTGGGCATCTTTAGTCCTTTAACCTAGAAGAGCCCCTCACACTTCGGCTTTCACAACAGTGACATTTTAAAGATTTGTGCCTTTTTTTACTCCAGAAAATACAACGTGTTCTTATAGTCTGCGAGTGACAAGAACCTGAGAGAGAGCGTGAATCTCAGAGACAGTGAAAAAGACTGGGGGAGGGAAGAGCCTGGGCCTCGGATGCTCTCAGCCCAGGGTTGGAGGCAGATCTGTGCAGATCGTCGTCCTCATCTGCGAGGGCAAACAGCAGCTCAGACCCTGCCCGAGGGTCCCCAAATGCTTGACTCCGAATCCCAAATGGAGCATAAACAGCATTTCATGATGATTTCAGTTAACACTCTGCTTAGTCAGTTAAAAGATCATTTCTACCAAAGCACGGCCCGAGACCAGCTTGGTGACTGCTCCCAGGAAGAAGGCTGGCGGCCCTGGCTGAGCCCAGGGTGAGGGGAGCAGCACAGCCTCCACCTCCCCACCCCGGCCTGGTACTCCTACAAACCAAGAGGTCCGAGTATCTGAAAGGCACCCCAGGTGGTAAAAGTTCTGAACTCCTGGGTAACCAAGAGACTGCACAGGAAGCTGGGACCACAGTGGTGGGGAAGGTCCGAGAAGGAGGCTTCGATCTCTGAGGAGCAGGGGTGCTGAGCCCTGGCATGGGGAGGGGCCGCTGGAGGGTCATGGGGACAGAAGGCCCCACGCCACCTACGAAGAGAGCTTCAACCCACTGGGGCCACCAGGGCCCCAGAGCAGGTACCCTCCACCTGCTACCTGTCTGCTGGCTGGGGGTCATCCTGGAGGTGACAGGCACCCAATACCCAGGGCTGTGGGAAGGGGCTCCAGGCCAGATGCCATTTTCTCATCAGGGAAGCGTGCATGTTTGTACCCGGCACCCGGGATTAAATCAGTAAGATGCAGGCTCATGACCACAGACAATGAGGTCCGTGAGGCCCACGGGACAGCCCGGCCCCAGAGCAAGGACTGGGGGTGTGTTCACCTGCTCAGCAGACAGCCCCACTCTGACACCAATGGCCCCTTCTCATACACCCACCTCCAAGCAGAGGACGCTGGGCGAAGAGGTCAGGAAAAATGAAAGAAAGGCAGAGCCTGCCAGACAGCGTCCGCCCGCCTGTGCTCAGAGTGGGAGGCGTGGCCTCTGGGCGCAGGTGTCTGCAAAGGTTGAAGACCCCACGGACTTGGGTCAGCACCTGCCAGAGCTCTCCCAGGAGGGTTAGCCTCCTTCTCGGACAGGGGCCAGGAATTCAGGAAATGCCAGGTTCGGGTGGGGACGTGGAGACGGCTGTGAGGCTGTGGCCCAAGTGGGGCCTGGAGCAGATCGTCTGCTCTTGGCACCAAGGTGAAACTGACGAGTGTGGGCGTCAAACAGGGCAGGAGAGTTTTCCACTGGACCCTGAGAAGTGCTCAGGTGGCCACAAGGCATGGACATAGGGACACTGAGGAGAGCCCCTCCTGTTCCCTGATTACATGGGTCAGGCCGGGCTGCGCAGGAGGAGGTGAAGGAGCAGGAAGCCGGAGGGAATCAAGGAACATTGTTGTGGACTGAGGTGGGGCCTGCGCAGGTCTCCCAACGCTGCCCTGGGGCACTCCAGCCATCTGGGAAAAGGGAGTGGCAGCCCTTGGGCAGGTGGAATGCAGATGGCCCAGCCCACCCTCCCCAAGCTTCTGAGGGCTGGAGCCAGCCGGGGAGGGCACGGCACCCACAGCCCGCAGGGAACCCCAGCCCTACGTGGGCGCTCGAAGGAGGAGCAACAGGACCAACACAACCACGATGATGGCCCAAGAGACTGGGAAGGCCGGGGAGGCCGGAAGCAGAGGGGGAGGGGGGGATGATCACGGACGAGAGGAGAGGCAGCAAGGAAATGGAACAAGATGCCCCAGACTCTGCAGAGGCATAGACCTGCATGCTCCGGCGCCTCCGTGCCACGCTGGAGGAGGGGACCGGCCACCCACAAGGCCCTACTTGGCGTGGGAACTGCTCCAATTCTCGGCTGCCTCCTGGACAGAGCTCGGATGGCAGAATGTGAGCCACAGCAGCTCGTGGCGGTGCGGGATGGTGCGGAGAAGGCATCCGACCCCCGCGCTGAGTCTGCCGGGAGCTGGACGTGAGTCCCTCAAACAGAGGCTCAGGGACGGACGGGCGCTGCTACCGAGTGGTCAGGGTGCTCTTTTTGGCCAGTGGACACTGAGGGCACAGAAACACTCGTTTCCTGGATATTTCTGTTGCTTCCGGAGGCACTGGAACTCTTCTCCTTTCTCTGCTGGTGGAAGAGGGGCTCTGTGCGAGAGGTCAGCTGCTCCAAGCTGGCTGTGAGCATGCATCACCTTCCAGAGCCTTCTGAAGTAGCTATCCACAACTCTCAATTATCCTGGTGGCTTCCAGAGCCCAAAGGCACCTCGAGAGCTCATCACCACCCACCTGGGCAGGGCTCGAACAGAGCGCCCTCATCACGGGGAAGGACAGATGGCCAGGGGGCTGACAGGACATCTTGCTATCAGAGCCCCCACAGGGGCCAGGGGACCAGATCCAGTGCTGACCCAAAGCCCAAGGACGCCACCTCGGGGGTGACTCCCAATCCCGCCCCTTCTCTCTGCTGCCCTCCAGCCACCAGCTTCTCCTTGGGAGAAGCAGAGTTCTTCTCCCACCTACAAAAAAGGCAAAAATGGAATGTGGCCAGCGGGTAACCAATGGGGGAAAAAAAAAAAATCAATGTCTGTGTTGCCATGGTGATGACGGTAGCTGACGCTGCTTCCCCACACACAGTTCTGAAACCAAGCAAGTCCAAAGAGCCACCTTGGTGTCAAGGCTGGGTCAGCATTCAGATCTTGGACATGGGGGTGGAGGGAGAGCAGAGGCCGAGGCTGCCTTCTGTCATCCACCCCCACTGTCCTGAGCCACCACTCCAACCCGCCGGCTCCAAGGATGGGCCCTGGACCAGCAACGCACCATCACGCTGGGATCAAGGACCCTCAGGCCTGCCCGGGCCTCTGGCACCAAATCTGCTCACACACTCCCAGCGTCCCAGGCAGACGGGGGCTCCCGGGTCAGCGGCCATCCACCCGGGGTGGCTGGAGTGGAGGCTGCAGAGGGCCCCTACGTGACACACAGGGGTGGAGATGAGGCTCTGCGGGGGCTGAGCTAACCCGACACCTTCTCCCCACGGGTTGAGCGACCTGGCCAAGCCCAGCTCCCACAGCTGCAGCGGGACAGGCACGCCAGGGCCTTCTCCTGCCCCCGCGTCCACTAGGAACCCCTCTGCAGCAACCCTCCCTGTGCCTCTCTCCTCCCTCCAAAGCACCTTTTGCCTCTTCCTTTGCCCAGTGTCCGCAAGGAGGTTTAAGGTCTGACGGGGCAGAGGGGTTTCTTTCCACATTTCCACCTCCCTTTTGGCCACAAGTGACCAAGGTTGCCCGGCAGAGCACATTCAATACCCAGCCCGAAGGCTGCCTGGACGTCCGCTCAGTGTGGAGGGCAGACCCAGGCCACAGCTTGGAGCAGGGCCTGTTCCTTTCTTCATGGGCAAATTTGCCTTGCAAGACCAACCTCTGGCCAGGCACGGTGGCTCGCGCCTGTAATCCCAGCACTTTGGGAGGCCGAGATAGGAGGATCACTTGAGTCCAGGAGTTCGAGACCAGCCTGGGCAACAAAGCAAGCTCTTGTCTCTACAAAAAGTTTAGAAAGTATACAGGCGTGACAGCACACACCTGTAGTCCTGGCTACTCAGAAGCTGAGGTGGGAGGATCGCTTGAGCCCAGGAGGCTGCAATGAGCTATGTATGACTGCGCCACCACACTCTAGCCTGAGTGACAGAGTGAGACTCTGTCTCCAAAAAGGGGGAAAAGACAACAACAACAACAAAAAACCAAGAAAACAAAAAACCCTCCAATCTTCCTGGGTACAACAAGTGCATCTCCAAAGACCCTGGTCACCTCTGCTGCCTGTTCAGGTCCCACGGCACAGCATCCTCCCAAGGTGCCCTGGGCATGGCTCCCACGTGACCGGCGAGACCAGAGGTGTCCACCGAGGAAGGCTGGGAGGCGAACTGAACCTTGCCTAGGAACGTACTGGCCAGACTGAGCTCGTGAGTGGACAGTCCTGGCGGGGGAGAGTCCCCCGAGTGGGCAGAGGGAGCTGCCATGGATGGAGAACCACGCCCCCCGCCAGGCTTTTCCAGGGGCCTCGCAGACTACACCTCCCGAAAAGGAAGGGGCTACTGCAGAGGCAGGGAACAGACTCGAGAACTCCCAGCAGGCGTCCTTGAAGCCAGCCCTGGACCCCAGCTGCCCAGAGTCCCATGGCATGAGCGGGGGCCGCCGAGAAGCCAGGTGGGCAGTTCAGACCGGCCGCCCCGTGGACCACTCCCCAGCCTCTCTGACCACCTTGCCAGGGGCCACTCTCCCTGTCACCCCTCCAGCACTCCATGGAGATGGCATGAGCGCCGCCCCTCGGTACTTGGATCCAGGACTATCTGTGCCCGCGTGCGTGCTCTGGCTGGGTGTGTGCACGTGTTCAGTCTCTGCCCGGGACACAGTCCAGTTGGCCCTGCAGTGATGTGACCGCCTGCATGTGACTGCTGGTAACAATTACAAAAATGCTTCCAATGTATAAACTGTACCTAGGAGACCGTCACGAATGCCCGTGGACCCACCATTCGGAGCTACCAGAAGTTGATGCTCTGCCGTTTGCCCTTCAGACGTTTAAACAAACAAGCACAGTGGGGACAGCCGGAGGACCCAGCGCATCCTTCTAAGCCCAGCCCCTGCCACCGGGATCACCCCTGGGGCTGCTGAGACCCTGTCCTGTCTGTTTCTACGGGGCCCAGTGCCAGACAAGTCGTCAAATGTGTGACTGGGGAGTGGAGGAGCCTGGAGCAGCTGGAGCTCGGCAGCGGGCACACAGGAGCATGTCTGGGACAACGGTCACAGACACTGTGGGCAAGGGAACCCACTGGCACCTCCCACAGCCAGGAACGCAAGGCTGGACAGAGACACTGGCAACCAGATATGGCCCCCCATCCTGAGAAAGACACCTCCCTGGGACCGGAGTCCCCCCAGGCCCTCCCGCAGGACTTCATGTCACAACCAAGGAGCCACCGAGGTGGCCTTCTCTGCAGTACCAGGCTTGGGGGCACCCTCCCCAGGGCAGGGAAGCGGGGACAGGGGACACAAGAGCGGAGCCACCTGAGACGGGCTCCAGTGCTGGCTCCGTCTGTGCGGCTGCTGACTGCGGGGTCCTTGGGTCGTGGGCTTTGTTTCACACTGATCCTGGGGTCAGGGATTCAGGAGCGGCTTCTGGTTTGGGCCCTGCATCGCTGCCCTCCTACAGCTGGGGCCAAAAGAACACCCGTGACCCGGATGGCACTGACCAGGGTCCTGGCCTCCGGGGACAGACCCCCTCAGACAGCTGCTCTGCAGGGGACAGAAGCCATTCAGACCTCCAGTTCCTCACGCGTGCCCGAGGGGGAGACCCCTGCCATGGGCGTGGTCTGCTCCTAACCAGCCTCGCCTATCTGTGCTCACTGATTATTGACCAGGAGGGAACATTGCTCCTGGGAGAGAGTTTCTCAGCCACTGACTCGCTCCAAACCCTACAAGATGCAAACAGGAGCAGAGGCCGCCCTGAGAGCACCGGCCGTCATCTCCCTGCGTGGCTGCGACCAGTGTCTGCCAGGCCTGACGTGCCCACCCTTCTGCCAACTGGCACCACCCAAAGTGCATGGGACCCACGTCCCCCAGGACCCCAGAGATGCAGACACCTGCCCACAGAGGCTCCTGAGCCGGCACCTGTGCCCCCAGGCCCCTCGGCCTGCGGCCAACACTGTGTGGGGCCACATCGGAGGCAGCCAGCACCTCAGCAGCTCCTGGCTTGAGGAGGAAGGCTGAGCGGCTCCTCTCTTTCCCTCCCTAGGGAGCACTGGTGACAGTACCGAGGGACGGCAGGTGCCATCAGCTGTGCCCCAACCGGGGGACAGGCAGCCCCGGCATCTCAGGGGAGAGACCAGCTGTCCTCCCTGCTCTGGCCGGCTGAGGCCTGACGCTGTGGCGTGAGCGCTCAGGGAGGGTGCCTCCCCGCTGCGATGCTGGGCCAAAGGGAGCAGCAGCAACGCCGGCAGAGGACACCTGGCCGGGCCTCAGAGCCTCTTGCTGAGTGAGACTCCAGCAGCCCCTCTGTGGGTGACGCTCGGAGCTACTGATCACCAGCAGGAAACGGCTCAGGATCAAACCACGAGCAGCCAGACCAGGGGCCCACACTTGGCTGCCGCGGCTGCAACACGGCCAATCCAATCAGGACGGCTGCTAATCTCCCTGCAGAGCTCAGCCTGCACCGCAAAGCTGTTGGCAGGCGGGCAGGGCTGGGCCATCCCCAGCCACAGCCAGAGGGGAACAAGGCCCTCCACCCGCCCACCATGAGGCCCCCCCGCCCCCTTCCCCTGCTCAGGTGCTGGAGGGTCCCCACAGAGTTCAGCAGGAGCACGCGCCTCTGCGAACAGGCGGTGGGGGCCTGAAAGATCCCCATGGGGCGGGAGGCAGGGCCCAGGGCAGCGTCCTTCCCAAGCATCCTGGTGGCTTCTTCAGGTGGCTGTCTCTGGAGCACCCCTGCCGGAGTCCTACTGTAGGGAGGGAGGAATAGTGTGGGGGGGAAGGGAGGTACAGGCAGGTCGGAGCAAGCGGTTGGGCTCTGGAAGGGAAGCCCCCAGGCTGGGCTTGGGCCAGGGGCATCTCGCTTCCCTCTCATCTGCAGGCGCCGCTGTGCTGGAGGTCCGGGACCAACCAGGGACCTCCGTGTCAGGCCCCCTCGGGGATGTAAGGTTGATCTAATTAAGGCCTTCAAATGGTGTCTGTCAGGAAGACTTGGCAGCCTACAAGGCAAGGCCCTGCCGTGAGGGCCTGAAAGCAGGTGTCATGCCCATACACTGCTGTCACAGTCACTGGCCCAAAGGGAGGCTGCGGCCTCCACCTGCAGGAGGAGGCTGGGACACATGGGCCCCTGGGTGCACTGTGCATGGAGCCGCCTGAGCCCAGAGGGGCCGTGACACAGCCTGGCCTCACAGAGAGCAGGAGGCCCTACCAGGTGAGTGACATGAGATGGTGCTTCCGAGCCACTTTGGCCAACGGGAGCCACTGGGGACAGCCCCGAAGTCCCCTTGGGGTTCACATGACCAAGGACCTTCCCTTCTGCACAGGGCCCCACGTTTCAGAGACGCAGAGATGCCGCACACACGGAGGGAGCCACTCAGTGCCTCTAAGAGGGAGGCCGACACCTGCGGGGACAGGAGGGGCACCACCTGACCTGTGGGGGCCCCAGGCCCCAGCTCTCCCAGGTGGGCATTCAGAACACCTGCCTCACTCTGGACAACGAGGCGTGCACTGCAGCCAACAGCTATGGGAAGTTTCCAGGCCACACCTTAATTCAGTGACTCAGTGACCAAAATCCAGCCCACAGTTTCAGGCAGGGACAATGCCCCCTGCCAGCTAACATCCTCATTCTGAGGCTGGCCCAACAGGGAGCTCCTGCCACTCTCCCGGGCACCTGGGGATGCCGGGCAGCTGGCAGAGGACAGGCCCAGTGCGCCCAGCAGGTACACACACGCCCTGTGATCACAAACAAGCATGCTGTGGGCACCAGCGGGTACACAGCGGCCTCTTCAAAGGACAAAAACACACCAGAGGCCTCCAGAGATGGGAAAGGGCTGAGCAAAACAGCCTGGCTCAGGTGTTCCGTGGCAGGGCCACAGAGCAGTTGGACAAGAAACACAACAGGCTCAGGGCCCCAGATAGACAGGCTGGACATGCGGGTCTGACCACACAAAGGAAGTGCAGTGCTCTCTGCTGGGGAGGGCTGCGGCCCCGCTCACTGCAATGACAGCCCCCCTCACTGAAGACAGGGCACCGTCCTGAAGAGCCGACAACTCTCTACAGGGTGATTAGACCTTAGCCTCCCTGCACAGCCAGGCCAAAGGGCAGCTACGTGACCCTCTTTTCATACAGACGGTTCTGGCACACAGTGCTAGAGCCACCTGCCCAGGTGTACACGTTGTACCAGGACCCCAGGTCACTGGGACTCTGGCCTGCTCCTCCCATCTGCCTCTCCCGTTGGCCAGCATAGACCCAGGCTCAGCCCAGCTCTGTGCGCCCAGCCTCGGGTGGGGGAGCGAGAGGGCCTGGGCCATAGGCAGCTGTCAGCAGCAAGGGGGTGGAGGGGTGTGCTCAGGAGTGCAGTCACAGGACACTGCAAACCACAGCTGTCGGTGAGGCAGACTGGACAGCTGTCCTCCACCCGCACAAAGAACCAGTGCCACGTCCACCCAGGCACCCACACGGCCCAGCGGCATGGTGAGCACCTGCCCTGCCCTCCACCCTTGGGTCTCCACACCAGCCCCTGGTGGTGCCAGCCTCCAGGGAGGTGCCCAAAACAGAGGAGGAGCCACTCACACATCTTAGCAAATTCCCCAGATTCCTGAGGCTCTCAGCTCAGGACCCTGGACCCCTGCAGGGGGCCGGGACGGGCACAGCACTGCTTCTGTGACCAGGCTGGGCCCGCCCTCCCTCGGGTCACCTGCCAGGCTTGCTCCTGGGCCACAGGGACACTGAGTGTCTACACATGCCAGGACTGGCCTACAGGACTCAGATCCAGCCGGCCACTCCAGTCTCCCCGAGCTGCCAGTCAACCCAAGCACAAAGCCCAAGAGGATGAGGAGCAGACGCCCCTGGGAAAAGTCTAACCCAGGCACTGGCTCAGGGGCTTTGAGAGCAGTGGGTGTGCCCCGGAATCACGCCTGCCGGAGCTGGAAGGGAGAAACACCATGGCGGGGATTGGAAAACCAGTCAGCCAGCAGACAGCCAAGTGTGGGTGGCTGCCGGCTAGGGGATTAGAAGGGCTGTGAGAAGCTTCCGGAACTTGGAGCTGCCACTCCATTCCCTGACTAAGCGCTTGCCATATCAAAGCAAAGCCCTGAGAGTTAACTGCAGAAACTCTTTCACTGCAGGGAAAAAACAGTCTCTGACTGAAGACGGGAGGCCCTTCCGTCTGTGAGGTCTGCAGGCCACAAAGCCCGAGGCTGCCTCCCCAGCTGTGTGCCAGACGGCCAGAGCCACAGGTACAGAAAGACCCACATCACCAAAGGCCGGCTCTGACCCAGCCACTCCTCACTCCAGGAGAGAGAACAAAGGGGCAGCCCCAGCTGCTCATTTAAAGCAAAAAAAGACTCTCTGGGCTTTCACCCCTGGGCCAGGCTCTGGTTCAGAAGCATGAAAGCTCACGCAGGCCAAGGCTGGCTCCCGGCTCCGGAGACCTGGGGCTCACTTGGAGCAGCACGCTTGGCTACAGTGAGGGGGTGCTGCCAGGACCCTCACTCTTCCCAGGAAGAACAGAGCTCAGGGCTCTGCAGGGAAAGGGGGAGCGGGCAGCATCATCCACAGTGATTAGCCGGGAGTCAGTGCAGCCGAATCCTCGTCATCCTGACGGGGCTGAAGACAGGACCTCCCCGTGAGGGCTACATAGCCCGAGGCCACCTCCCCGGCTGTGGGCACTACAGGGCCAGAGGTGCAGGTACAGAGAGACCCACAGGACTAAAGGCAGACTGCCCTGTGAGTAGAGCAGGTGCCACATGGGAAAGAAAAGGTGCGAAGAATGAAAGTGGGGAAGGAATGAGAAGAGGAGGAAGAAGGGCAGCCAGGGTTGGCACCACTGCTTGCCTGGCAACCCTGGCCCCATATGGCCACAAGGCCACACCCAGAGGGGCCCGGGTGGGAGGCCAGCAGAGAGAGGACAGGCTGGGGCCCTGCTCGGCCGGGTGTCAGGACCAAATCACTGAAAACCACCTCCCGGCCAAGCAAGGGGCTGGTCTGAGCTGAGCACCTCCACCCCAGCACAGACCAGGGCTCTGCCTTCCTGGGAGGGGCTCCACCCACTGAGGGCCTGGCTCATTCCCAGAGAGCAGGGACAGCACCTTCCATCCTCCCATCCTGGGGCAGCAAGGACAGCTGGAGGAGAAGGTGACCAGAAATGAGCAACGTCCCCGGGGCTGAAGAGGAAGAACAGGAAACAAACTCAACACCCAACCAAACGAACCAAAAATAAGACTGTTCAGGGCCAGAGCAAGCCACCTTGCGATAATAGGGCTCAGCTCAGGAAGGCACACCCACACACACGCACTTAATAACACAGCCTGCAAACACAGAAAGCAAAACTCCCAGGGCAACTGCTGAGCCCCCGGCCTGGGGAGTGAGACGAACGCCTCCTTCACTTACTGCCCAAGTGGCTGCCGCACAACCCCACGGGGCCTTGTGGAATTCATCCCGCAGGAGAGCTCAGCCTCAGGGCCCCTTGGGCCTCGAGCTCATCCAGAAAAACTCACCAGGGGTAACTCAACTGCTCACCGAGGAGGACAGAGAAACTGTTACACGTTTATGGAATATTCTACAGCAGTGAAAACGAAGGCATCCGCGTGTGGCAAGAACACAGATGACAGATGGACCCTAAGACACAGTGAGAAAGGCAGGTTGCACAAATCCATCTTCCTGTGGCACCAAGCCTGGAATCTCTACAAGGCCCTGGGCTCCTCAAAGCCCTGCCTCCCCTCCCAGCCTCACCCCCTCATACGCTCCAGACCTTTCACATTTCTGCAAAAGCCTCTTGTTTCTGTCCACCTCACACCTTTGGACACACCCTTTGCCCCTCTCCTTCACCCCTCCTCTTAACCCCTGCAGTCCTCCTCGCTCAGGTCCCCGCTCCTGTGGGCCCTGGAGGCTGCACACCACTCTCAATCATGGAGTGATGCTGTTCACAAGCCTCTCAGGACCTGCCACCACAGGAAAGATATCGGCAGGAAATTCCTAACACCCCAGCACAAACATCTCCAGAGCTGGTGGGGGCGGCGGGGGGGCGGGGGGGAAGTAACACTCACATAAAATCAGCACCAAGGTGGCCCTGAACACAGCAGCGGTGGGAGCTGGAAGACGACGGTGTGAGGCCCTCAGACTCTGAACACAGAGCATCTTCCACCTGCAAACTCCAAACCAGCTAAGCCACCAGCAGAGACAATGGCAGACACGTACTGGCTCAAACACATTCCCCGTTCACCCACTCAGAAACCTAACCGAAAAAAAAAAAAAAAAGGAAAGAAAAAGACAATTCCCCAAATGGTGGGAGTAATACAGGAACAGTAAAGACACAGGACCCAGAAAACACGGGGCTCTGACCCGGGAGGAGGAGAAGCTGACTCTGCACGGCCGAGCAGCCCACGAGGGAGCAGGGAGGCTCCAAAAGGAGAAGAAACAGAGACTGACCTCCCAGCCAACAGCAAAGCCAGTGCAAGGGTGCAGCTGAGGCTGTGGGGAGAAATTCGTGATGGCGCATTGAAAATGAAGCGAACCAAGACGCGAGACCATTATTAACTCCAGAAAAGCAAAGGCGTCATAATAAATACCACAGAGTCATAATAACAAAAATCCATGAGCTATAATACCAAAAAACTGTAATACCAAAAAAAAAAAAAATCAGTCCATTGAACTACATTAAAATTAAATACTTTTGTTCTAAAAACACTATTACAGATCTGGGTGCGATGGCTCATGCCTGTAATCTCAGCACTCTGGGAGGCCGAGGCAGGCAGATCACTTGAGAGCAGGAGTTTGAGAGCAGCCTGGACAACATGGTGAAACCCCATCTCCACTAAAAATATACAAATACAAAAATTAGGCGGGTGTGGTGGCCGGTGCCTATAATGCCAGCTACTTGGGAGGCTGAGGCAGGAGACTCGCATGAACCTGGGAGGTGAAGGTGGCAGTGAGCCGAGATTGCACCCCTGCACTCCAGCCTGGGTGACAGAGTGAGATTCGGTCTCAAAAAAAACTAAAACCACTATTACAAAAAGGAAAGGCCCACCAGACTGAAAGCAAATATGTGCAAAATAGATTCCTGGCAAGGGACTTCCATCTAGAGTATACAGAGGACTCTCGTAACTTAAGAAGACAAAAGCCAAGTGAAACAAAGGGGGAAGATTCGAACACACACTTCACCAAGAGAGATCAGTGGTGAACAAAAACACAAAAAGATGCTCCACAACATCAGTTAATTAAGGAAATGAAAATTTAGGAACGCCCCAAGCTAAAAACACCCAGGTGTCCATCAACAGATGAGGGTACGGCCAAACTGTGGCACCTCCGCACAACAGGACCCTGCAAGCGACGAAATGCAACAAATTCCTGACGCGCGCAGCAGGAAGGCAGCTCAGAATAACCACGCACACCCGAGGAAGCTGGACAAAAAAAGAAGACACGCCGTATGGTTCCATGTATGTAAAACTCCAGCAAATGCATGCTAAATTACAGTGACAGAAAGCGGATCAGTGGTTGCCTGGAGATGGGGAGGGAGGGCCCGAGGACTCTTCGAGAGACGGACAAGTTCACCATTGTGATTGTGGCCACAGCTTCACAGGTGTACACACGTCAAAACTCATCACACTGGACACTCAGACACCTCGATGAAGTTGTACAAACAGTCATCATAATACACCGTCTGCCTTAGCCATGAAAAGAATTTATATCATCAGATAACACCGTACATGAGTTTAAACAAATACTGTGATAATTATACTGGGTGGGGCAAGGGACAGCATAAAAAGGCTAAGTCCACATCTTCCGTAATAAGAATCCTTTCGATGATGTCTAAACTTTTTTTTGAGACGGAGTCTCGCTCTGTCTCCCAGGCTGGAGCGCAATGGCACCATCTCGGCTCACTGCAACCTCCGCCTCCCAGGTTCAAGCGATTCTCCTGTCTCAGCCTCCCTAGTAGCTGGGATTACAGGCGCATGCCACCACGCCCGGCTAATTTTTTGTATTTTAGTAGAGATGGGGGTTTCACCATGTTGCCCAGGCTGGTCTCGAACTCCTGACCTCAGGCAATCCACCTGCCTCAGCCTCCCAACGTGCTAGGATTACAGGTGTGAGCCACCGCGCCCGGCCCTGTTGGAGGTAGAGGAGGAGGAGGAGGAATGGCATAAACCTGCCCTCTTAGACACGCAGCCGAGGGAGCCGCCTCTGTGCAGTAGGACTTGGCCACACTAGGAGGGTGGGAAGTGGCTGACTTTGTTTGAAACAAGGATGTGTTGCTTTCATAAAAACTCAACTCCCAGCCATCTGACCCGGCAATTCCAGTTTCGGTGCATGCCCAGGAGAGATGAAAACAGGCTCACAGCTGCCGGAAGGTGACAGCAACCCCAGATAAATGAAATGGGTCTGCCTGTGCAATGGATCATCGTTCAGCCACAAACAGGAATGAAGCCCTGACACGGGCTATAGCACAGAGGGACGGTAAACATGTGCTCAGGGAAAAGGGTCAGACACAGAAGGTCACACACCGTATGACTCCATTTATATGAAATGTCTAGAATGGGCCAGTCCGGAGAGACAGACACAGTGGTGTGGCTGCCAGGGGCTGGGAGCGTGGGGATGAGGGAGGGACTGCTTAAGGGGTATGGGATTTCTTTTTGGGGTGCTAAAAACGCTTTGGGGTGATAAAAATGCTTTGGAGTTAGATGGGGCAATGGTTGCACACTGTAAATACACTAAGCCACAGAACTGTACACTCTAATGGGGTAACTGTATGGCATGTGAATTCTGTCAATCAAGCTGTTACCGGGAAGAAAACCTGACTCCCAGAGCAAGGCTGACATGTGGCTGGCCCTCTGCAGATGCACACAGCGGGGCTCCACGCTCCAGGAGGAGCCCGGGGAGAGATTCCAAAAGGCCACAGGTAAACAGACGCTCCCTGATCCAAGTAAGAGCCCTCACGTCTCCCTCTCTTCTGAAGCTTCCCTCCTCCTCCTTGTGCCCATGTGGGCTCAGCGCCTTCTTGCAGTCAACCACCAGGGACTCCGCCAACAGGAAGTTCTGGAATCCCACCCATTTCGGACCCACCCACCCCTCACTGTGGGCCACAAGAGCCTGGAGTTCCCCACGGGCAGACCCTCATGCGACCAAGGGGCGAAGACACCTGGTCCTCTACCTCATCTCCTCAACACCTGGTTAATTATGGTAAGACAATGCCTCTTTCAGCCAGGCGTGGTGGCTCACGCCTATAATCCCAGCAGTCTAGGAGGCTAAGGTGGGAAGATCACTTGAGCCCAGGAGCTCAAGACCAGCCTGGGCAACACAGTAAGACCTTTTCTCTACAAAAAATTAAAAATAAAAAATCAGCTGGGCGTGGTGGCGCACGCCTGTGGTCCCAGCTACTAGGGAGGCTGAGGCAGGAGGATCACTTGAGCCCATGAGTTCAAGGCCACAGTGAGCCACGATAGTTCTGCATTCCAGCCTGGGCGACAGAGCAAGACCCTGTCTCTAATGAAAAAGAAAATGCCCCTTTCACAGACACCCACTGCTTCTGCCCTTCTCCAAACCCTGAAGACCCGGTCAGGGCCCAGGAGCTCCAAGGCAGGCTGCTGTTGGTTGCACTGGAGTCTCAGCCTCCGTCACCCTAACACCATGCATCTCACACGTCATCCTCCAGGCTGAGTCTGCGGAGGCCCGGGGACCCCGCCCAGAGTGCCTCCTCCTCTCCTCCCCAGTCTGTCAGCACAGCGGTGCCTCGAGAAACTCCAGCCGCCCGGGCATCACCAGACCTGCAGCAAACACGCCAGCGGGCCTGCCCAAGGCAGCAGCCTGTGGGGGCGTGGGGGGGGGGCTCCGATGAGGGTCCGCAGGGGGCTGCGAAGTGCGGCCGGCAGGTCTGCCTCCCGGCGCAGGACGTCGTGAGTGAACTGGAGAGAACGGGGCCTGGACAGGCAAAGCTGGGTTCCTGGGGTCCCAGCCCCAGAGCCTCAGCATTAGGGAGACGGAGCCTCTTCTGGGAGCTGGAAGTGACACAGAGCAACCCACGACCCCCCAGCCCACCGCCTGCCGACTCAGCCAGGGCCTCTGTCAGTCAAGGGGGCTTTCAGTCCCCGAGAAGAAAAGTAGAAAGAAGGGAACAGGGCCAGTCACAGTGACTCTTCCCCATCCGAGGGTCTCCAGACCTGCAGACCACCTCCCAGATTGGCGGCCACGGGGAGACGGTCAAGAGTGAGCGCAGCCTGTCCTCCGTGACCAGAGGGAAGAGGAATCCAAGTGGTTTCTCCAGCGACTCAGGCTTCCTTGTGCGTCAAGGGCCGCTCTGCCGGCCACAGCTCGCTCTGGGAGCAGCAAGTGAGCACAGGCAGCCGGCCCGGGGTCTCCCAGGCGGGCAGAGGAAACCTCAGCACCACCCTGCTAGGTGAGGGGACTGTGGAAGCATGGACTCCGTCTAAGCCACGCCTGCAGCACCACCACGTGGGCCCTGAATTTCCAGGTTTCACCCTGTGTCCCTTGACATAGACGTCACAGGAGCGATCACAGAAAATTTGCTAAACACAGACAAAGCATCAATAACATAACCTGCCCTCCAGGAAATCCACCCACTCACGCTGCTGGGGTGTCTTCCTCAGGGCCACACCACACGTGGGCTTGCATCCTTTTTCACTCATTTTAATACCAGGAATGAATTCCCACGCCATCTAATCCCATCATCCAAGCACACAGACCCCCATGTCAGCCGCTCCAATTTGCCGGGAACACTTTTAAACGTGGGTTTGCCTGCTGTCCTCACCCCAGGCTGCACGCCTCAGGGGACGGGGACCCAGCACCCACTTTCAGCAGGGTGTGCCCCACAAGGCAGCTCCCAGGGTGACTGTCATTAAAATATTTTCCTATTTGACAGGCAAAACCTGATCCCAAATCAAAAAGCGGCTGGACACAGGACAGGGCCCCAGAGCTGCCTGAGGGCATCAGGCGACTACCAGGCGGGGGGGGGGGGGGGGTCTCACCGAGTTCTTTGGAGCCCTGGCTCTCGCTGGCCAGCTCCCCCATCTTCACCAGGGCGTCAAAGTAGCCTTTGGCTGCATACGTCACACCTGAGAGAGAAGAAAAGGGAGCAGTTATTTCCTCCACGAGGGACAGACAAGACCCCCAGCAAAAACACGGCAGTCTTGGCACGCACAGGCCCAACCCTGTCTCCTGCCCAGACAAGCTGGGAGAATACTCGACTCGCTGTGATTTCTGGGTTGGACAGAACCCATCTCTTGTTGATATTCTTGTTTCACCCCAATCATGAGAGCTCCCTTGACTCGTAAGAACACAACGTACCAGTTCAGGTCCTGAGCTATTCAAGTCAAATTGCAGAGAGCTGATCCCTATCACGTGCTACCAGGCAGGGCCGGGGGGAGGGAGTGTTGTACTAACTGTATTTCATGAGACAAAGAACCAACCCTGGGCAAGGAAACTGCAGAGCTGGGCAGTAGGAAGCCATTTCCCCACAGATCCCCAAGCTGAGCCTGGAGTGGGAGAACTATTTCCAATTGCTTCACAGTCTCAGACCAGGACGCCCGTCACAGCTGATCAAAGGAGGCTAAAGGCATTACTTGGTATTGCCGCCGCCTGAGGGGCCTCCCAGCATCTCAGAGGCAGAGTCTGATCTAATCAGAAGTGGGTGTGAAGGGCTCCGGGCCTGCTGAACTCCTCCACAGCCACAGGGGTGGAGCAGGCTCCTGGAAGAGCCTGGGCTTCCTCCTCAGGGACTCCAGGGAGTGCCTGGCAAACTCCTCCACCTGACAGGGAGCCCCGCCCTGACCTCCAGGCCGCAGAAAGGGCGGGGCAGGGCCCCGGAGAGCAGTGTAATTACAATTTCTAATCCGTTTTCTACAGAACCCACTTAGGGGCCTATAACTGGGCACTTTATCAGATTTTATTTATATACTTTTCAATTAAGCGCACAATTTGTTCTGCGGCACAAGACCACGTCCACAGAGGAATGAAGGCCTGTGCCTGGGACGGGTGTGCTGCCTCGAACAAAAGAAAAACGCAACAGCAGAAAAACGCAACAGCAGAAAAACGCAACAGCAGAAAAACGCAACAGCAGAAAAACGCAACAGCAGAAAAACGCAACAGCAGAAAAACGCAACAGCAGAAAAACGCAACAGCAGAAAAACGCAACAGCAGAAGTGAGACTCCAGGGCGGCTGGCTGCGGCTAAGGTGGCGGTGCTGCCTGGACGGCCGAGCTCATTCCCACCAGGCCATCAAGAAAAGCAGGAGCAGGAAGTAAAGCTCCAAGTCTCCACACTCAGCCCCGCCACCCTCATGAGGAACCAAACAGGAGCGGAAAGGCCCGAACGGAACCCACGCCTTGGTGGCATCAAAGGGCCGAAGTGCCTGCTCACCCAGAGGAGGGGAACACAGGCCCCGGCCCCCACCGCAACCCACTGAAAGCGGCATCCACACCACTTCCCCGTGTGCGGACGACGGGGAAGAAACCCACACCTCGGAGAGCCACGTGAGGGCTACGGAAGACTCTACCGTAGATGAGGTCACCAAGTGTCCCACAGACGAGTGGCTCTGGAAAAAGGAAGCCATCGTCAGTCTGCAATGTGCAAGACCAGCCCCCATCTCCAGGGGTGGGATCATCTGGACTCTGGATTCTCATTGTAATGGCCAAGATTCAGACCCAGCCAGGAAGAGATGAACAACTGGTCTCATTCACAGGGCACGGAACTTAGCTGGGCCCGGAGAATCTGGACATCGTGTGCTGTGCCTAGAGATCATGGGGTCACCACAGTTGGAAGCCCTCTGCACCCACCTCGAGCCGGGCCTCAGCCTTCCTACTCTGATTCGGGAGCCTCTCTCCAGCGTCAACATTTCAGGCCAGAGGCAAAGGCAGCTCTCCCTGGGACCCCCATGAAGCTGCCCAACAACTGGGGTGCACCATAGGGAAGCAAACCAGGTGCAACTTCCACCAGGAGGCCACGCCGACCCTCAGAGCTGCCACAGGCTCTGCTGCCGACCTCCACTACCTCATCCAAGAAGCTCCTGGCTGGGGGACGGGGGTCACTGCCACAGCCCAAGCATCTCCACTGTCATGAAAACCCTGCAGACGGCCGGGCGCGGTGGCTCACCCCTGTAATCCTAGGCACTTTGGGAGGCTGAGGCGGGCGGATCACGAGGTCAGGAGATCGAGACCATCCTGGCTAACACAGTGAAACCCCGTCTCTACTAAAAATACAAAAAATTAGCCGGGCGTGGTGGCAGGCACCTGTGGTCCCAGCTACTCGGGAGGCTGAGGCAGGAGAATGGCGTGAACCCGGGAGGCAGAGTTTGCAGGGAGCCAAGATAGCGCCACTGCAGTCTGGCCTGGGCAACAGAGTGAGACTCCGTCTCAAAAAAAAACAAAACACCCTGCAGACTTTCGCTGGAGGAAGGACAGCTCTTTAAGACAATTTTGATGAGCAGGTCCCTCGGGTGCAACCCCGGGCCCAGGGATGTAGAGGAGGGGCAGGGTGGAGAGAAACAAGGCTGCTGCTGGGGCAGCCATGGGGGCCCCTGCAGGGTGCCGGGTGCAAACAGGAGGTGGCCCAAGGGAGCTCCCTGTCCCATTCATGCCCACAAGGAAACATGAAGGCCACCCCCAACTAGATGTGGCAGGCGGGCACAACTGGTCCACCTGGGGAGCTGAGAAGGAGGGCAGTGCCAGGGACAGGCCTTCTGCCAGGTGCTCGGTTGGAGTGCTTTCTCCCCAGGTGACAACGGAGTAAAGGTGGTAAAAAAGGAACGAGGGCTGACCAACTCCTGCCCCGTCCTTGACACCTCTAACCTGGCACCAAAACTGGACAACCAACTCCACCCAACCCATGGGTGCCGCAACACCAGGAAGCGGTGGAGGAGCCGGGGGCGCCGGCAGAGACGCAGCACGTGTCCCGGAAAACACACGATCTCCTCCCTGCTGGGGATGTGGACTCTGCCCATGAAGATGCTGCAGTTACAGGGACAGACACGGTAGAGGGTACAGGGAGACCGGGGGTCACTGTCCAAGAATAGCAAGTCCCCATCCATGGCAGGACTCAGCCAAGGGCACCTGCGGGGCCAACAGGGCAGGTGAGAAGGGCATCTGGCGACAAGGAAGCCACTCCCCACCAGGACGGAAAGACCCAGGTGCACCCAAGGCCCCGCAGTGGAGTGCCTGGGTGGGGTGGGGGCGATGGGAAGCGTCTCAGGGAGACAGTGGGAAGAATGGAATGTCCCTGCAGCCACCAGTCCCCCACACCCTCTGTCCCGGCTCTTTGTGAGAAGGAGCTGCAGGGCGTTCGCTCATTTCTCAAACCCGAAGCTGCTGCAGTTACCAACAGCTTCATCCCAGCCCTGATCCCACAGTTTCTACATGATCCTGAGGGACTGACATCCGCACCCCTCCCGTCTCTAGATGCCACAGGACAAGAGCAGCCCGCACAGGCAGGGGCGTGCTGCCACAGTGACAGCAGACCCAGTCCAGAATGCATGGGCTACACCTTCACTCAGAGCCGCTGTCCAGCTTTGTTGCTGGAACAGAAGACCTCCTTTCGCTCCTGACCAGGCCCCACAGGCTGTGCCCAAGTCCATCTGCCAGCTCAGGAGGCAGCTCCCACCCCACGGGGCCCGGGCACAGTTCTACCAGCTCAGGAGGCAGCTCCCACCCTTGGGGCCAGGGCACAGTTCTACCAGCTCAGGAGGCAGCTCCCACCCCAAGGGGCCCGGGCACAGTTCTACCAGCTCAGGAGGCAGCTCCCACCCCACGGGGCCCGGGCACAGTTCTACCAGCTCAGGAGGCAGCTCCCACCCCACGGGGTCCGGGCACAGTTCTACCAGCTCAGGAGGCAGCTCCCACCCTTGGGGCCAGGGCACAGTTCTACCAGCTCAGGAGGCAGCTCCCACCCCACGGGGCCCGGGCACAGTTCTACCAGCTCAGGAGGCAGCTCCCACCCTTGGGGCCAGGGCACAGTTCTACCAGCTCAGGAGGCAGCTCCCACCCCAAGGGGCCCGGGCACAGTTCTACCAGCTCAGGAGGCAGCTCCCACCCCACGGGGCCCGGGCACAGTTCTACCAGCTCAGGAGGCAGCTCCCACCCCACGGGGCCCGGGCACAGTTCTACCAGCTCAGGAGGCAGCTCCCACCCCACGGGGCCCGGGCGCAGTTCTACCAGCTCAGGAGGCAGCTCCCACCCCACGGGGCCCGGGCGCAGTTCCACCTGCCAGTGCCTTCTCGTAATTCTTCCCCATGGCGATGAAGTTCCGGAGGCTAGGGTTGAACTGCTCCATGATGGTCTGGAAGAAAGCAGAGAAGAAACAGCATTACTGGCAGAGGTCACCCTGGTGACTCCGAAGGGTCCGAACACAGAGGAGAAAACCCAGAGCAGGCACCCCTCCTGGGGGTCGACACCACAAATGCTCAAGGTGGGCTTCCCAAGTTCAAATCCCAGCCATGCCCCTGATCAATGTCCTTGGGAAAATGACCTTCCTGAGCCTCGGTTTTCACACCTGTGCAAAGGGGGTAAGAAGAAACCCGGCCGCAGAGGAGTGTCTGCGGGCTGAAGGAGCGCATTTGCATGGTGCAGCAGGCAGAATACAACTGGCGCTCAGACGCGCCGCTGCCGAGGTGCCGTTCCCATTGGCGCGGCTGAGTCAGCCCAGAAGGGCCCCCCACCGGCCATACACAATCGCTCAACGACGCCGGCACCCCCCTCCCACTAAAATCCTGCTCAACACATCAATTACCAAACCTCAGCTCTGATTAGCACCACTGCAGCCTGATCTGCAGATGCCGTGCTATGAATAATCCAACGGCTCTGGGTCTGTTTGCCCGACGGACGGGCATCTCGGTGCCAAGATCAGCAGTTCTTAGACTCAAGAAATTAGATTTTCACTGCGAAGGCCAAATAAATGTTTTAATTACAAGGGATAAAAACAGGCACACACAAACAACAGCCAAATGAGAATTCTACCGGCATAACATACACTGACTGTCAACAGCCAGCCCCTGCCAGCAAGGGCCCAGGGAGCAGCTCCAGCAGAAACCCCCAGCTCAGCCACCTCCCGTGTCTTCCGGTCATTTGTTATGATGTGATCCTGATCTTTCCTGAGGATCACAGGAAGGGAAGCCGCCCAGCCCTGTC
The DNA here is from genome assembly GCF_000001405.40 of Homo sapiens. NCBI lineage: Eukaryota > Metazoa > Chordata > Mammalia > Primates > Hominidae > Homo > Homo sapiens. The sequence continues at coordinate 81,052,819 of NC_000017.11, read as the reverse complement.
GCAGACAAGCAGGAGGCTGTGGGGCCCCAACCCACCCAGCCCCAACCTGTGGGCTAGAGAGTGGGGAGGGAAGGGCAACTGCATCCCCCACCCCCTCTCCCAGCACCTGGCCTCAGCCTCCGAAGCCAAGAGAACAGATAGAAAGGGCATTTAGGGACAAGGAAGCCACTCCCCACCACGGGACCTGCCTCCAGAAAACCCGCTATTTGACGAGTGTTCCATCCCCTGCCCTGAGGTATGGCCAGGGTGTGTGTTCTTGGGAAACGAGGCCCCGAGTTCTGCACTACGCCGGGGCTCACAGCAGGCCGGGTACACCTCAGTCCTGCCTATACTGGACCCTCCGGTGGTAACGCCACCCGGCCAAGTTCCAGGGCAGGTGCTCCTTCCTTCCAGGACGCAGCAAGGGTGAGGGCGCCTTTGCGTGCTAGCCCAGAGGCCACGTGCACGGGGGTGGGGGATGCAGCATCGACCCAGCCGCAAAGCCCTGCTCGCACAGAGCCAACATCTCCCGAGGGAAGGCAGGACTAGGAGGGCCAGCGCTTCCGCAGAAGTGGGATAGGCGTGCTCAGCGAGACGTGGAAGGCAGGCAGGGAAGCACTTTCCATGCCAGAGAGCAGTGGGCAGACCAGGGCAGGGCAAAGGCCCCGAGGCAGGGCCCATGGTGAGTTCCTGGGAAAGCAGGACCCGGCGTGAGGGTGGAAGGGGCCCAGGGGAGGCAGGAAGAGGAAGAGGTGGATGTGCTAATGGGATAGCCCCTGAGGCCCGGCTGCATGAAGCTAAGGAGGGTCTGAGCAGAACGATGGGCCAGCTACATTTAAGAGATTCCGCTGGGTCAGATGCGGTGGCTCGCACGTATAATCCCAGCATTTTGGGAGGCAGAGGCGGGAAGATCACTTGAGCCCAAGCGTTCAAGACCGGCCTGGGCAACGTGGTAAGACCCCATCTCTACTAAAAATTTAAAAATTAGCTGGGTGTGGTGGTGCATGCCTGTAGTCCCAGCTACTCAGGAGGCTGAGGTGGGAGGATTGCTTAAGCCTGGAAGGTCAAAGCTGCAGTGAACTGTGATTGTGCCATTGTACTCCAGCCTGGGTGACAGAGTGAGACCCTGTCTCTAAAAAAAATAAAACAGGCCGGACACGGTGGCTCACGCTCGTAATCCCAACGCTTTGGGAGGCCAAGGCAGGCGGATCACGAGGTCAGATGGAGACCATCCTGGCCAACGTGGTGAAACCCCATTTCTACTAAAAATACAAAAAGCCGGGCTTGGTGGCAGACGCCTGTAATCCCAGCTACTTGGGAGCCTGAGGCAGGAGAATCGCTTGAACCTGGGAGGCGGAAATTGTGGTGAGCTGAGATTGCGCCACTGCACTCCAGCCTGGCAACAGAGTGAGACTCTGTCTCAAAAAAATACATAAATACAAAAAAACAAAACAAACAAAAGAGAAGATCCCTCTGGCTGCTCAGAGGAGACTAGATTTTAGCCAAGGGCCCTGGCGTATGCTGGGAGACCCATCAGAGGCTCTGGGATGTCAGAGGGGAAGAGAGGCATGTGCTACGCAGGCCTCTGATCTAAAGGGACGGGGATGCTGGAGCAGAGAGGCACGTACCACGCAGGCCTCTGTCCTAAAGGGACGGGGATGCTGGAGCACAGCAGCGTTAGCACTGAGCTAAACACTCAGCAATGAACCAGGAGCCTGGACACTTTAACTCCCAGGAGTGCCTGGGAGCCGGGGCAGGGAGGCCACACCGGGAGTGGGGTGAGATAGGTCTGGCGCCCAGGAGAACGTGAGCCAGAGACAATGCCTGAAGAGTTACCAGCAGAGAGGAGAATGCTGGGACCTGGTGCGCTCTCGGCAGCCTGGTTCAAACTGACCATGCAGACCGGGACTGGCGGTGAAGGCGGTCGGGAAATGCTGCCGGATGCGCGTTTCTTGTGATGAAATCAAGCAGAAGGGGGCATCAGCCAAGTGAGGAGGATGCGGCCGACTCTAGTGTTCTGGTGTGCGTGTGCTCATGTCTGCATGCACATCTGTGCCCATGTGTGCATACACACATGCATGTGTGCATGTGTGTCCACGTGTGCATGTGCACATTTGTGTGCGTGTGTGTGCTGAGCTGCAGCATCAAGCATGTTTCTCACCCTGTGTGACACAGGTATGAAAACACTACCACGGAGGTGGGCGTGCCAGAGCAGACCCCTTGCTCACAAGAGCCCCACGCGCTTGGCTCCAGGACCATGACCCCCACAGGCCCCCGGGTGGAAGAGGCTCAACCTGAGCCCTGTGAGCTCCACTAACATCCTGAGCAGCAGGAGAAACAGGCCAGGAGCCACCCAGGGCCAACCACGGCGGGTCAGCACGGCGGCCATGCCTACCGCATGACGCACGGGGCAGCACCAAGGTTTCGCTTCCTTAGTGCAGCAGCTGAGCTCACACGGAAGGAATGCAGGAGACAGCGGGCAGGGAACAGCCACCAGGACACCTGGGCACGGCCCTGCCTCCATCTGCAAGAGAGGGGCGGCGGCCGGGACACGCAAGTGCTGCTGTCCTGGCCCGAAGGCAATGGCAGAGGCATCGATCCCACTGAGCCAACATTGTAAGGGGGGACTCCCCTTCCCGGGCGGGCGGAAGGGCCAGTTCCTCCTTCTGCATCTGCATCCAGCCGCTGGGCCAGCAGAGAGGCCTTCTGTGGAGCCCTGCCTCAGGCACGCACTGTAGGTGCCACCCACCCCTCCTCCGGGTTCCTCCCTCTCCCAGGAACCACGGGAGGAGCCCAGTGGCCCCTGAAGAGCCCAGCCCCTCTGCTGGGAGACCATCTCCAGTCAGGCGTCTGGTCAGGCGTCTCTCTGAGCCTCCGAACCAGTCCATCCCATTATCCTAGAACACAGGCACGGGCCATCCTGACCCAGTGGGCCCGTGTGGAAGTCCCCAGCCTGAGGAGAGCCCACTGTGGGGCATACACTCCAGTCCCGCCTCCACTTCCACCTCCGGCTCCCCTAATCAGGCCAAGGTCCTGGTCCGGGGGCCCATAGCCAACAGGCACTTTGCAGTGCCTGGGGGTCCCCAGGTGGGGGCAGGGGAGCCAGTGACAGGCAGCTCCAGCTCTTCCGGAATGAAAACCAACAGCAGCGGCCCCAGGTGGAAAGAACTCTGTTCTCAGCCACACCGACGTGGCTTTTCCGAGTCACTGAGCGAGTGTATCTTTTTGCAGGATGCCACCAGGAAGGAGCTGAGCTCAGACGCCCAGACGCCCTGACAGTGCTGGGGCAGGGGATGGGGAGGAGATCGGGAAAGTCTGTGGGCTTTAAAAGGGGAAGGGAGCTTGTTTCTTATCAACACCAAGAGGTGCAAAAAACCCAGAAAAACCTAGGCCAGGAGAGAGAAACCGCACAAGAAAATAACCTCAAGCCCTCAGAGGCGCCACCCCCACACGGCGGCTCTGAAGTGAGTTTGAAGCCCAGCTGTCCACACTGAGGGCGCTCAGGGACACGCTGTGCCATCCTCAAGACCACAGCAAAACTGAGAGACTCCTGGGGGGCCACAGGCACAGAGAGAGCTCCCCAGGGGCCCACGTTCTGTGACCCCATGCCCCCCTGCCAGGACAGAAATCCTACACCATGAGCAACCACCACACTCCTCAAACTCCAGGACCTGTGCAGTACAAACGCAGCCCGGCGCGTGCAGAGCTCTGCTGTGCCCCCGGCGACCACGCACTGGCTCCCTGGGCCGCGTTCCCGGGCCGGCACGGACTTCCAGTTCCTCGTTTGTTCATTCACTATTGACCAGGGAACACCTTTCCCACCCCAGGGGGGGTCCTGGGCCGGCCTGCCTATGAAGGGGGTCCTGCCCATGAAGGCGGTCCGGCCCACGAGGGGCTCCCACACACGCCATGGAAGGCTTCCCCTCATAGGACGCATGCCGCGAAGTGCCGGGAGAGGAGGGGTCCCTGCCCAGGGATGCCCGCACGCTTGGCTGCCCTCCTGCTGGGACGTCCACAGAGACGGATGTCCCAGTGGCCCTGGAGTCGCATGGAATCCAGGCCTTGACCACAGCAGGGACCCTAGCTGTCCCTACTACAGCCCCCAGGGACCCCAGCTATGCATTTCTGAAGGTACAAATGGGAGGGCCGTGTCCATCAGTTGCAGAGGTGGCCGTCAGAGAACATTGATGAGCCCAGGGAGCCCTTTTGGCTGGCGAGCTGCTGGACACTGCTGGCCAGCCTGGAGACTGATGGCCATTATGATTCAGTGCTACGGGCCGGCCTGGCCAGTGTGGGCACAAGGCAGCAGCAAAACCCCCGTCATCTCCACCTCCTCCCAACTTGGGGAACAAAGGGAGAGTGGCCAGTACATTTACAGAAAGGACCTCTGCCAAAGGACTTTGCTCTCCTGCCCACTCCTGGGCCGTGCTGGGGTCCACCTTCCGTCTGCTCAGGAATTCTTTTTTTTTTTTTTTTTTTTTTTTGAGACAGAGTCTTGCTCTGTCGCCCAGGCTGGAGTGCAGTGGTGCATTCTCAGCAAGTGATTCTCCTGCCTCAGCCTCCTGAGCAGCTGGGATTACAGGTGTGCACCACCACACCCAGCTAATTTTTGTATTTCAGTAGAGACGGGGTTTCACCATGTTGGCCAGGCTAGTCTCGAACTCCCGACCTCAAGCGATCCGCCCGCCTCAGCCTCCCAAAGTGCTGGGATTACAGGCGAGAGCCACTGCTCCCGGCCAGGAATTCTGTTTATCCCTTGGCTCTCCTTCCTGTGACGCTGGCCGCCTCTCCAGCGCTTTCCTGGCAGGATGGCCACAAACAAAAGCAGTCTCTCTGCTGACAGAGAGTGTCCCCCACCTCCCTCCAGCCCCTCAAGGCAGATGCCAGGGTGGGCGCGTATGGCCACACCCCTAGGGCCTGCGTGCATATGGACCCATGCATGCACATATATCCGTGTGTGTGCTGCGGCCATGTGCTGCATGCGTTTACCTGTGCATGTACACTCACGAGTGTGCTAGATGCATGTGGACCCCTGTGTGTGCTGTGGGCATGAGCTGGGCCTGTGTGTGTGCTGTGGGCATGAGCTGCATGTTTACTTGTGCATGCACACTCACACATGTGCTGGACGCATGTGGACCCGTGCGTGTGCTGTGGGCATGAGATGGACCTGTGTGTGTGCTATGAGCATGAGCTGCGTGTTTACCTGTGCGTGTACACTCACACGTGTGCTGGACACACGTGGACCCGTGTGTGCTGTGGGCATGAGCTGGACCCATGTGTGTGCTGTGGGCATGAACGTGTTTACCTGTGCATGTGCACTCATGCGTGTGCTGGACACACGTGGACCTGTGTGTGTGCTACATGTGTCTGTGTGTGGCCAGGCTGAGCCGTGTTTTCTATCTACTCAGAAGAACAAACAGAGAAAGAGTCGATGCTAGGACCCTCTCCGGCTGCCTTAGACCCTCATCACCCTAATCCTCACCCAGCCCCTCCATGAGAGTCACTGTCCCATCTTACACTGGACAAGATGAAAGTGAGGCTCAGGAAGGCAGGGGCCAGCCTGTCAGCTCTTGGTGGAGCCCAGAGTCCTGGCTTCAACCCTGCTGACCACACAGCCAGCCCGGTCCCTCTCTCCCAATTGGTCCTGGTGTTGCACCTGACATGCTCCCAAAGGCCACATTCCAGTAATATCAGGAAAAAGGGTGACTCGATCCACCTGGCCTCTCCCAGGAGGGCCAATGCCCAGGGTGGCTGACTGTTGAGGGGAGGGGCCCTGCCCACCCACTCCCTCGCCCACGGACCAGCACAGCTCCTGAGGGGCCAGGCCGCTGTTGCCCACTGGACCACCGCCCTCACTTCCACCTCTGTCGCGACAGGCAGAAGCCGGTGGCAGCTGCGGGGCCGGCAGTGCCAGAGGGGCTTCCCCCAGCCCGCTGTGCCACCACAGCCACAGCATGAGGACCCCACACACAGACACGGACCTCACAGCACCCACGACTCTGGTCCACGTAGACTTGACGGGACTCTGCCTAGGATGCCAGGCTCCAGGGAAGGGCGCACGGGACAGAGCCAAGCCTGGAAACCCCCGGCCACATGTACAGCATGGACTAGGGAGGTACAGGAGGGGCCCTGCAGCAGTGGACAGTGTCCTCGCGGGAGGACACCTCAGAGCTTGCTGTCCGGGGGCCACAGGCTCAGTTCCCTTGGCTGCCAGGGGGGTTGGGGGACTTCTGTGGGCAGAGAGCATCGGGAAGGTGGCAGCGTCCTCCAGGGCGGGCCACTGCTGACCCCACACACAGGAGCACCGATGAGCTCCAGAGCCTGGGAGCTGGCTCACAGGGCAAGAGGAGTGGGGGCTGTGGGGGTGTGAAGGAAGCCTGGCTGGAGTGGTGTGGACAGTCCTGTCCCCTCTAAACACTTGGACATCTGTCCTGGAGGATCCTTCCTGAAGGAAGAAAACCAACTCCAGGAGCACAGCTGGGAGGGCTGCCTGGAGGAGGCAGATCTTGAACTGCATCTTACTTGGTTTGAGTCGGAGACAAACTACAAACACATGTACACGGATTTAGGAAACGAGGGGATGCATGGAAGTTTCTGGGAGGAAACGGCGCGCAGGGTTAGGACGGGGGCCTGAAGGTGGGCTGGAGCCTGCAGAACGGGATCCCAAGGGGGACGGTGACAAACCAGGCAGAGACACCATCCTCCTCCTTACCCCCTGCAGCTGGGCGTGCAGGAGCCGGCAGCTCTGCCTCCCTGTGAGTATTAATAGGGTCCCCACAGCCGAGGGGAGAAGAAAACTGGGTGGCCAAACCCCTCTGCCGTGCCAGGGGCCCCCACCATGAGCCCCCCCAGGCCATGAGACCCCGCAGAGGGCTCTGGGTGTCAGGAAGCAGGCACCTCTCTGGAGGCAGGAAGAGGCCAGCCTGTTCCACAACAGAGGGGGCTGGTCCCCCACCCTTCCCCGGGGGGTCAGGAGGGGCCACTAGGCTTCTCCAAGGGCAGCTTCGGCGTGGCCTGGCTGACCCAGACTCCCCCAGAGCCACTCAGATCAGACAGATGGAGGGCACACCCCAGCCCCTCCTGGAAGACCGAAGGGAGACACCCAGGTCCCACGCATACCAGGGACTCCTGCAGGGCCCTGGGCAGCCTGGCCATGGGTCATGGTGGGATCAGCGTGAGGGGCTGGGATGTCCCCTAAGGTGGTAGCTCCAGTTCTCAGCCTCCAGGAGCACCCACAGAAAAGCCATCCACATCATAATAAAGTGATTCCTTGTGTCTTTGGCACGGTGCCCAGATATGACCAGGAGCAGGTGGCCTCCCGCCAGGAGGGGCCCGAGGTGCAGGGACTCCTTCCCTCATGCTGCCTGCCCTACCCGCCAGGCTCCTGGGAGGTCCCAGGACAGGGACCATGAATGCTGCAGCTAAAAACAACAGGGACAAATGCCAACACTAAGGTCAGCTCCTGAGCCAGGCGCTTCTGCCCTCCGCCTGTGGGAAGGGCCACACGGCCATTCCCCTGGGCCCCCAGCCCCAGCCTGGGGCCCTGCTTCCCTTTCAGGGTTGCAGCAGCATCTCCCTTTCCATGGGCCTTGGACACCTGCACGCCCTCTGCGAGCTTTCCCCTGGCGTCCTCAACTCTCAGGGGCCCCAAGTCTGAGCCCTCCTGAACGAGGTCCCAAGGAGCAGAGGTCCACAAGGGCAAAAGCCACACGTGGGGCCTTGCACGCAGGACACCATGACCCGGCCCACGCAGGAGGAGCCGCAGCCCAGCAAAGTCCAAACACAGCACCAAGCAGTCTGGCCACTTCCTTCCTGTCCGAGAGGCACATCCTGCCTATCCCAGCTTCAATGGGGACAGAGCCCCTTACACACACCTTCCAATGTCCAGCCACCCTGGCCCGGGTCACAGAACTTAGCAACTGCTCAGCCTCACGGGGTGTCCGGCCCACACGGGACGGTGCATTCCGGCTGCCTTTCGCCTGTGGCCAGCACTGAGCTGGCGCCTTGCCAGCTGACTGCTCGTCCAATAGAATCAGCTGTCCCCGTGGAAACCTTCCTGTTGTCATAAACTGCGGGCTGCGATCTGACTGAGGTTGGAAGGGAAAACCATCATAGGCTCGTAATACAATCAGCCTGAAGACAGACAGGTGGTCACCTCCAGGCAACATGGGAGACTCGGCCCCTCCAGCAGCTACTGCACTCCGTCACGGGTGGGGTCCGCTGGGTGTCACGGCTGAACTGTGTCCCCTCCCAAGATGCACGTGTTGAAGTTCTAAGCCCCGGCATCGCGCAGTGCAACTGTGTTTGGAAACAGGGTCTTTAGGAAGGCGATAAAAGTAACTGGGGTCACTAGGGCGGGCCCTAATCCCATAGGACCAGCGCCTTACAAGAAAGAGGGCACAGATAACATAGGGACGAGCCAGGTGCCACGGCCGTCCTGTGGGCACACCAGTCTGTGGCGCCGTGTTGGTCCCCCTCCAACGTGGAAAGGCCCGGTCACTAGGTCACTCATTACCGCCAATCGCAGACCCAAGTCTGGTCACCGCCTGGCCTGCAAGAATCCCCGAGGCCGCTGCCCCATCCATCCCCTCCCTGTGAAGGCACTGGCCGGTCTTTCGGGCTGGGCTCACGGCTGGAGGAGCAACCGTGGCTGAGCAAGCAGGGAGGCAGCTTAGGAATGCCTGTACGGCCCCACCTCCCGCCAACCTCAGGTCAGGCAGGTGGGAGGTGCCAGCCCGGGGGCTGTGGCCACACTCAGGAACACAGGATCCCAGGAAAGCAGACAGTGGCAAGCAGCTTCGGGGCGGGGCTTTCCTGCTCTGGACCACTGACCTCTGATCTCTGAAGAACTTTCTGTCCCACAAGCTAGCGATCGTGGCCACCACTTACCCAGTACTCTCTGTGCCAGGAAATACGCTATCGTCTCACTGAATTAATGAGAAAACAGAGACCCCGCGGCGAGAACGCCTTCCTGAACTCCTCGAACTCCCGAACGGAAGGACAGACGCGCGGCTGGAGAGCCAGAGGGCCCTGGAGTTGGCTCTGCAGTTTCAATGAGCTCAGCCACTCCAGCTTACGGGCGGGGACACACTTCTCCCTGAACCGAGGATCCCCTGTCAGGCAGGGACACCCAGGACCCGCACACGAAGCAACAGTAACGAGGCTGAGCACAGAGAATGTCCAGCGCAGTGTCCGGTGTGCACAGTGGCAGGGCCTCCCGGGTGCCAGGACGCTCCAGTGTGAGCAGTGACAGGGCCTCCCGGGTGCCAGGACGCTGTGGGCCCAGCCGTCCCCAGAGCCAGAGCATGAGACAGCAGTGACACCGCCCAGGCCCCAGCACCCCAGCTTCACAGCCACATCCCTAGATGGGACTCCTGCCACCGGTCGGACCGCAGCCCACAGCTCTGCTCCACGGCCTGGGGCCACCGAGGCCCTGGAGTCTCAGCCCAGGAGCAGGACAGGTGGAGGCTGATGCTCCATCCATGCCTGGACTGCGTGAGGACGGGCTTTCCGTGGTGGGGCAAATGGAGATGGACACAGGCCTCCTCTGGCAGACATAGTCGGCCACGGAAGAGGGGGCTGGAAAAACGGGTATGGGGGGACCCAGGTCCACTTCATTTCAGGTGGTGGCATCTCGGCCTCCACCACACCCACTGGTTTAAAAGCCCCACCTAGACCGGATGCAGTGGCTCACGCCTGTAATCCCAGCACTCTGGGAGGCCGAGGTGGGAGGATCATTTGACCCCAGGTGTTAAAGACCAGCCTGGGCAACATGGTGAAACCCCATCTCTACTAAAAATACTAAAATTAGCCAGTGTGGTGGCGCACACCTGTAATCCCAGCTTCTTGGAATTGCTTGAGCCCAGGAGGCAGAGGCTGCAGTAAGCCAAGGTCACACCACTGCACTCCAGCCTGGGTGACAGAACAAGACTCTGTCTTAAATAAATTAAATTAAATTAAATTAAAATAAAAGCCCCGCCTGGAAGCAGCAAGGCCACTCTGCCCGCCACTAGCAGCATCCACCCAGACCAAGCTTGGCTCTGGGTGAGACAAACCCTCTACTGGACAGATTCCAGCTCCTGCGGCTAGGGGACACCCTCTCCCCCACCACCATCCCCACCCCCATTCTAATGTCAAGATGTCGCTGTTTTCCGGCACAGGCACCTGTGCTACCCCAGCGCATTCCACCATTCACGTCCTGCGACTCCCACTGGGGCAGCCATGACAAGCAGGCGGTCACCTGGCATGGCCCACCTGCTGACTGTCCCCTGCCACAACCAGGCAGGGGCACGCCTGGACAGCTCAGTGTACAAAACACATAAGGACCATCCGAAGAAGGAACAGGAGGCCTGGCCGTTGTCTGAAAACCTGCTGATCAAGAAAGCACCAGGGTGCGTTTGCTCACACATGTAATCCCAGCACTTTGGGAGGCCAAGGTGGGAGGACTGCTTGAGCCTAGGAGTTCAAGACCAGCCTGGGCAACATAGCAAGACCTCATCTCTACCAAAAATTAAAATAAAAAAAAAAATTAGCCAGGCACACAGGTGGGGCACGCCTGTGGTCCTAGCTACTCAGGTGGCTGAGGCAGGAGGACTGTATAAGCCTAGGAGTTTCAGGCTGCAGTTGAGGTGAGATCACACCATTGCCTTCCGGGCTGGGAAACAAAGCAAGACTCTGTCTCCAAAAAAAAAAAAAAAAGAAAAAAGAAAAGAAAAAAAAAAGTGCCAGTAACAAAAATGGAAGAGCAGGGGCTTGGAAGAAAATCTCAGAGACATACTCAGGAGGTGTTCTGGCATTGGCACCCCTGACGGCTCAGGGGCAGGTGCCCAGTGGACAAGCACACTGACAGCCCAGAGCTGAAATGTGACTCAGAAGTCAAACTCTTCATGAAAAATAAGTTTTAAGAAAACCCTACCAATTTACTTCACATGAATTCAATATATGATTATTGAAAAATCTACCCAAACAGGGCCAGGCGCAGTGGCTCATGCCTGTAATCCCAGCACTTTGGGAGCCCGAGGTGGGTGGATCACCTGAGGTTGGGAGTTCGAGACCAGCCTGACGAACATGGAAAAATCCCACCTCTACTAAATATAAAATTAGCCAGGCGTGGTGGCGCATGCCTGTAATCCCAGCTACTTGGGAGGCTGGGGCAGGAGAATCACCTGAACCCGGGAGGCGGAGGTTGCAGTGAGCCGAGATCACGCCACTGCACTCCAGCCTGGGCAACAAGAGCAAAACTCCGTCTCCAAAAACAAAACAAAAACAAAACAGAAAAAACAAAAAACAAACAAAAAACGAAAAAACACTACCCAATTATAAGACAACTGTTCCAGTAAGTATAAAATAAAAACTCTAAGCAAGAGCAAAAGCACCCTGTTGTAACTGACAGCCTTTCCCCCAACAAGGGGTCCCCAGCACCTCATGGCCCAGGACATCAGATCTCATGGTGCCGCGTGCATCCCACCCCTGCCCATCAGAGTGAGGACTAGAGCACTGAGGATACCAAGGCTGGTGCCACCTGACCTGGGACAGGCCCCAGAGCCTCCAGGGACCCTGGGAGCATCCTGCCCGCTGTACCCACTGCCCAGGGAGCAAGATTTGGCCAAGGTCATATGGCCAGGGGACTGGCCAGGCAAGACTCCTCCCGGCAGGCCTGGCAGGAAGCCCAAGGACCAGGCAGCATTTTCCAAAGCTCAGGGGTGACCAAACCAAGAGCCAGCAGACAAGGCTCTATAGCGTGAGTCAAAAAGACCAGGGGCAGATGGGGGTTAACTTGAGGGAGGTGCTGGGGGCGCCACTGTGCCTGACAGGCAGAAACGGGCCCCCGCCAGAGGCAGATCCCCAGCCTCCTGCCCCCTAGAGGGGACTCCTCAGCACAGCATGGGCTCAGGCCCTACCTCCCCACCATCTCCACAGCCTCCTCCACTCTTGCTCCCTGGGCTTTCTGGTCCCCTTGTTGCAGGACCAACACCAAGAGCCCCTGGGCCACAGTAGGAGAAATAGCCCTCAGCCTGCCTAGGCCAGCCCCACACCAGGGCCACCTCCTCAGCCTGCACTGCCCACAGCCCTGGGAAACAGGGATTCCAACTGCATGTGGTGTGAGCTGCCACCACCTCCAGGGAGCTCTCAGAGGGCCCAGGCCACCGCCCGGGGAGCAAACCCTCAGCAAAGGCGGGACAGTGATTCAAGCATGAATGCTCCAGAATCCAGAAACAAGATGTGTTCATTCCCAAATACCGATGGGCCCCTCACAGGCTGGCCGCCGTTCCATGCCCAAAGGAGGAATCCGTGGGCAGGACAGATCAAGCCCTTGCAGTCACAGAGCCAAACGGGTCCCTTCTCGGCCTCCCTTTCTGCCTCTGGGTTGAGGCCCCTCAAGTCATTGTGCAGCTGTACAGGCACAGCCAGGGGCCAGGAATGAATCAGCGCTCGGGGGAGGTGGAAGTGCGTTGGAGGCCGGTGCCAGCACCATCCCCGCCTGCCTGTAATTACTAGGGATCTTAGCGCAGGCTGTGGGGGGCGGCTGACGGCGCCGGCCGCCCAAGTGCAGAGCTTCCAGGGGACCACGGGCTCTGTGCAGCCACAAAGATGCTTCCCTATCCTGGGGCCTCAAAGAAAGTCACCAGACAAGGTGGCTGGGAAGGCAACACAGGGCAGACTCTGGCTCAATGTAAGGAAGGACAGGAGCCAGCCTCAACCAGCAGTCAGTGGCACCCCGCCTCCACAGACGGTGGCGAGTGTCCCCACCCATGGTGGCACCCACAGGCAACACTAGCCCAGGGCAGCTGGCAGAGAGGGCCATGCAAGGCTGGGTGGAGACAAGTGGTGATGTCCAGCTCTGCTCACCACCTGCCACTCCTGCAGTGACGCTGGGGTTGCTCCCCTGACCAGGGCCCAGACCTGTGAACTGGGGAGAAGGGTGAACCGGGCTTCAGCCTCCCGGCCAGTCTGCCTCCTGGAGCTCGGAAGGAGGACAGGCCCCTCCTATTCAATGGCCAGGTCACACACCAGCCCTCCCCTGCAAGACCACCTATCCTGGACAGTTCAGCCCATGGTGCCTGTAGCCAGCAGACAGGTCTTGGCCCTCAGGTCTCCACCTTTGGAAGCTTCAGTCGAAGACAAGGCAGCAACAGGAACACAGCTCCCAGCAGCCCCCACCCACTGCCCTCCCATCTAACGGTGGCCCCTGAAAGCCCAGGGCAGCACCAGCCTTCACTTTAATCCTGAACCTCAGGTCCACTCGGGCAGTACCACGAGCCAACCAATCTCCCCAACGAAGAATACTTGCTCAAGGCAAGGCTGTGGGGACAGCAGGCACGGGCAGGACACTCTCCCCCAAGCAGCCCACAACTCCACAAGCGCCACATCCCAGAACGCCTGGCCACATCCATCGGTAGACACGGACTTCATGCAGCCACCAACGGCACAGCAGGCATGGGACACCAAGCGAACGCTGGACGCCACCTGGAGCCAGCAGGCATGGGACGCTGAGCAAGCACCAGCAGAAGGGTTGTACACCCTGGAGCCAACAACCGGCAGGACAGTGCCTGGGGCCAAAGCCCACACAGGCTGGGCAGCCCAGAGGGCAGCATGACACGGCAGCCGGTCTTTGTGCCCTGGCCACCCCACCAAGGGGACCACATCAGCACTGCTCCTGGGAGACGTGCCCCCTGCTAAAGGCTGGCGGTGGCGAGGGCGGGTAACACAGACATGCACATGTAGAGAAAATGCAGGCCAGGTCTACTCAGTGACAGCAGACCCAGCCACCCTGCGGCAAGATGGTGCCCATGGGGGCCACCCCAGGAAGTATCCTTAAACACAAAGCACTGCATGCACGTGTGCACACACGGACACACATACACATGTACACGCGCACGGAGCTGGGTCCAGCACTGTGATTTCTCTCCTCCTCAGGTGCCGGGTCTGCTGCCCCCCCCACCCAGGAAGGCGACTCCAATGCCAGGAGGTGCCTGTCAGCAGGAGGTGCCTGTCAGAGACCACCCCCCACCGTCTCCAAATGGAGGGGATGGTGAGCTCTGCACACCCCAGGAAGAAGCTGGATGTGGCAGAGAGGAACAGCCAGGCCCGGGCAGCCGGGCACGGAGCAGAAAAGCCGGCAGTGTGCTCCCTGCCACCCAGCACATGACGCCCACCACCTGGCGCCAGCCCTTACCAATCACACCAGAGGCGGCAAACCCAACTGGCTCCTGGCTCCAGGAACCCTGTGGCACCCGTCTCCTCGAAGCACGGCTGCGGCCCCGCCAGGCTGGCTTCCCCACCAGCTGCTAGAGTGACCAGCCAGGGCCAAGAGCCTCGGCACAAGGAAGGCCATGGCCACGTCTGCAACAGGGACTCCTCCTCCTCCCCAGATGCTCTCTCAACCTCACATATTCTAGGACAGGCTGTGGGCCAATGGCACTATGCCCAGAGAAGGTGGTGGAGCCGCCACACTCCAGGTCATGGGTCACCTGGGAGCCAGGGCTTCTCTGCGGACACGAGACCTTGAGGAAAACACCCACCTGACATTCTCCTGGCATTCCAGGAGACACAGCCAGCCAGGGAGCCAGCCCCTCAGCACACAGGGATGCACGGGGCTTCCCCAAGAGGGCTGCAGCTTCAGTAGCCTTAATTCCAAAGGCCACCGGGGGAGGCAGATTCCAGCACTCCATCCCTCCATCTGGGCCACTACCCAGGGCAACCTGAGCAAGCGCTGGGCCCGGGCTCCTGTGGAGGAAGGGGTCTTCCGCGCCTTGCCCTCCCAACACCTGCAGGGCCCAGCCCACGCAGTGCCCCCAGAAGGTCTGAGATTATGTTCTCGGCAAACACCGGGAAGCCGTTCCACTCCCCTCCCCTTCATCTTCCATGAAATTCCCCGAGGACACAGCTCCCAAGGGAATGGAGCCACCAGAAAAGAGGTCAAAGTCTGCGTTACGGATTCTTACGGGGAAGAAAATCAAAACTGCACTTTTTATTCTCGCATTTTTAATCACCAAGGCCAAGGACAAGCGTCCTCCTTTGCCAAGGCAAACACCACTCAGAACTGCAGTTAAGGCGATGCAATGTCCAAACCAAACCAAACAGCTGAGCCGCATCGCGGGTGACACTAAGCAGGCCACAGCACAGCCGTTCCAAGAGGCACTGCCAGGGCTCTGCAAGCCGCCAACCCAGGCACAGGAGCGGCCCCGGGAAGGGATGCCAGAGGCAGCACCGTCCCAGGAGAGGACAGAGCTCAGCACTGCCTGGACCGGCTGGACCGGCCCAGGAGTGCACACCGGTGGCCTCAGCGGTCTCCTGACTATGTCTCCATGTGGGCTGAGTTTCTGCCTGGCTGACATTGCCAAAAGCTGCCCAACCAGTACCGGCACTACCAAGGCACCTTGAGCTCCCCAGTGACAAAGCACAAAAAGGTCTCAAAGACTCAGCAGTCAGGCTCCCGGAGTGGCAGCAGGAGCCACCTACCTACAAAACCAACCCCGCCTGTGTGCAGCAGCAGCAGCGCAAGCCTGTCACCAGGGCAAAGCCTTTCCAGAGTGGATCGACCCTTCAGACACCTGCGGCCCACCGCGTCCTGCCGTGCTAAATCAAATCATCAACCGCCACATCTTCACTTGGGAAAATCACCAATTAACCCACCCGTGGAAGACAAAACGCAGAACCTGTGTGTTTCACGTGCTCCAGACCAGCTGGTCTGCGTCCACAGGGGCTCAAAGTCCCCAAACACTCAGTCCTAAGAGTTTTCCTGCCAGCAGATTTCACTTAGACCTGCAGATAAATTACAGCTTCACCTAGGTGAAGGCCTACTGCCCGGTTAGGAGAGTTTTATTAAGGACGATCACGGGGTCGGTCCCCCAGAGCAAAACCACTCCATGTACTCACCCCCTGCCAACTCTCACCACGAAAGTTCCTGCTTTCTGGTTTCAGCGCAGAAGGAGAAAAAATAGGAAAAAGGTTCCGCTGGTACTTCTCTTCCACCCTCTGCAATCACAAACAAGTCGTAATGGAGCTAATGACTAATAATTTAATAAACCTCCCTCCCTTGACAACATGTGCTTCCACAGAGCAACAAGGCCAGAACCGTATGCCACAGACTCTGTGAAACCAAACCTAACAACCCCAGGGCCTGTGCCTTTCCCAAGCCGACTCCTCAGGTCACCCTGAATCCTGTTTCCCAGTGGCTCCGACGTGGCTTTAGGACTCATCTAGTCGACCGCACACCCGCCTTCAGAAACCTTCCAGACTGACGCGGCCCCAACTTCACAAGCTTTATTGAAAGCTGTATTCAAGTGCAATCGGCCCCCTGCACTCCAGCTGGAACCAGAGGGGCCACCCCTGAAGCCTCCATCTGGCTCTCCCAAGCCTGAGAGCTAAGAGGGCTTCCCAGGCCCCTGGCCAGGCACGCCTTGGCCGCCTACCACAATCAGAAACAGTTACTCTGCCGGGCAGGGTGCAAGCCGGTTAGGAAACATGAACCAGCGACTGCCGGGTAAATACCCACTCCACTCATCGCCCAGCCTGTCACTGAACCTGCAGACAGTTTTGAAACAAAGCACATCTGTAAGAGATCGCCCAGGACCCAGGGACACCCAGAGCAGGGGTTTCTCCTCTGAGAAAATGCTCCCCGGCAGCTGCCGGGCTCAGGCGTGGGGGTCTGGACCGAGAACGGATGCTGAAGAAAGAGAAAACCAAGGGCCTGTTTGTCGGTATCCCAGCCACAAAAACGACTGGGGAGGGGGCGGCAGGGGAGGCTTCCAGCGGTGCTCTGCGGCCCTTGGATGTGAACCTGTCATTTCGCAGACGAGAACGTGGATGCCACTCTTAACACATCTGAAGCAAAGGCAGGCACGTCAGCCTCCTACACAATTAGTCTTCTCTCTCCGCGGTTACATAAGATGATAGATTATCCGTCCACCCATCCAGCCTGCCCGCGCTCCGACCTCCCACCTTAGGCCCCAGCATGGGCGCCGGGCAGGAGTTGTGGGAAGGGAAAGCCTGTTGAGAATGAAGTGCCCGAGGCTCGCGCAACCGCGCCTGGAGGAGCCCCACGGTGCCACCGCGCCGACCGCGGCCTTCAGACAGCCCCCATGCCGTCCTGGCCGCCGCAACCCCTGGGCCCGCCGCCCCCGCCGCCCCGGCCCTGCCCGGGTGTGCTACGACCCCGACCGGTCCGAGGGCTTCCGGGGCCCGGCGCGCGGCTCCGTTCCCGCCGACGCCAAGGCGAGCGCGCGGGGGCCGAGCAGGGCCGTCGGAGCGGGGAGTGCTCCCCGGGCCTGGGGCTGGGGACTGACCGGGCCGCGGCGCGCATGGGATGGGGGGGCCCGGGCGGGGGTGGCCACCTGTGAGCGGCCGGCGCCGGGCTCACCACCCCAGCAGCCCGGGTCCCGGGTGGCCGCGCCGGGAAGACCCCCAAAGTCCCAGCCTCCTGGCCCGGCGCGCGGCCCCGGGGCCGCCCTGGTCGGGCTCGGGCGCGCGGGCGGCGCGCGACCCAGGCGCACACGGAGCGGGCTCAGCTCGGCGCCGGGGGGCGCTCACCTTATAGACATTTTCCGTGAGCCGGTGCATCTCCTCTGAGCGAGACAGAGACATGGTCCTGGGTCCCGGCTGCACCACAGACCGGAGCGGGGGACGCAAGCGGCGGCAGCAGCGGCGGTAACGGCAGCAGGACGGAGACGAAAGCGGACCCGAACCACAGAGCCCGGCGTCCGGCGGCGGCCACCTTTATAGCCGCCTCAGGCCCCGCCCCGCGGCAGTCCCCGCCCCTGCGTCCCGCCCCCGTTGCGCCCGCATCACCGCCCCCGACCACCCGCCCCCGCCCGGCGCTGCCGCTGCTAGGCAACCGCCAGGCCCCGCCCCCGCACCGCCCTTTCCATTGGTGGGTTCCGGAGAAGGGGGAGGGGGGCGGGATCGGAGGTGGGGCCTAGTGGCCGACTCCAGGCAGCGATTGGTCTGCGGCGGCGTCGATCCTGGGGGAGGAGAGGGGAGGCGCGGCGCGGGCTGGGGCCCTGGGAGCAGCCTGAGGGGGCCCGGGCAACAGCCGGGCTGGGGGCGGGGAGGCGGGGGCGGGGTGGCGCAGGAAGAAGGAGCAGAAGGTGCGGGGAGGAGAGCGGGGGGCGCCGGCGGCAGCGCGCGTGGAGGCGGCACTTCGCGAAGTGGCACTTCGGGGCGGGCGGCCCGCCGGGTCGCGGCCTGGCGCTGCGGGGCGGGGAGCGGCTCGGACGCAGGACGCCGCGGGCCGGGCTTACAGGTGGGAGAGGCCCCGACCCCGCCGCTTCGCAGGTAAGCCCGCCGGGCGGGCGGCGACCCCCCGGCCGGCCCCTCGGGGCAGAGAGGAGAACCCTGGGGGAGGGGGTGCTGCAGGAGGACCCTGGAGAGAGCTCGGCCCTGGAGTGGGGGACGACTTGGAGAAGGAGGATTTCGGGGGAGCATCGTGAGGAGAGGACTTGGAGGGAGGATCCTGCAGAAGGTGAACTCTGGGGAGGACCCCAGACAGGCAGACAGCGCTTGGGGGCTTGGGGCCGGGATTCTGGAGAGGGGAGGACCCTGGGAGAGGAGGGTTGGGGAAGAGGATCTTGGAGGAGGGCCCTGGGAAGGAGGATCTGGAGAGGGGACAGGGGAGTGTCCTGCTGGAAGGCCTGGGGACAGGGCGACCCTTAGGGACGGGGAGGACCCTCCTGCCGTCAGAAGATTCTCGTTGGAGGCAGTTTACTGAGAGAGAGAGGTCTCGGGAAGGAAGGGTCGAGGGCAGTAGGAAACGAGGGGCCCGGAGGACTCTCATGCGGTGGAAAGCCCTAGGGGGTGGGGGAACCTTGTAGGAGGAATGGAGGAGTCAGAGCTGCCTCCAATTTTTAGGAAGGGTCCTGCTTAAGGGTCCTCCCAAGGGGAGATTCTGCCGGGGAAGCTGGCCGAGTTGGCACACAGGTCTCCCGGTACAATTCCCGTGGAGAAATATTTACATAAATTAGGCTAACATAGAGGAATTATTTGTTTTACGTTGTGAAACACCAGATCTGAGCGTTTCCGTTTAATGAAACCTCTCAGTCTCCCAGCCTCCCATCCCTGCAAAATCATTCATTCATTCATTCCTTCAACGAGTCAGGCCCCTGGGGGAGACGCAGTTGTGCTGGCTGGCCGGCAGATCCCCAGACTGGCACGGGCTCAGGCCGATGGAAAGACCAGGGAAGTAAGATTCAGGAAGCATTGCCTCCCTCCCACCACAGCCCCGCGCCTCCTCTCCTCCGGCTGAATTTCCTTCCAGCTACTGGCCCTGGCTGCTTCCTTTTTCTTTATTGTCTCCAGTGTTTGGGGGTAGATCCCTGTGTATTTATTTTCTAGGATTCTTTTGGTGGTAAATGACAGAAAGCTCGCTCAAACTGGCCCTAACAAATGAGGGCATTTACCTGAAGGTAGGAGCATCTCCACTGACCCTGACCCCCTTCTTCTAGGCCAGCTTCCTGCTGTGTTCCCTGCACCCACCGATCTCACACGCAGCCCTAGGACAGACGTCCACTGGCCTGAGTTGGGTCTGGGGCCAACACGGAGCAGGTGGGGGTAGAGCAGCTCTGCTCGCCTGGAGGAAAGTTGAATGGCTGGAACCAAGATGACAGATGGAGGCTGGCAGGCAAACACGGGAGGCCTCCTCACTCCAAGAGGGGAGTCAGCCTGGGGACAGTTCTTCTCCAGGCCCTGCTGCTCCCATCAGCTGCAACACAGGAGAGGTAGGCTTCTCCGGAAAAGCTCCCACGGTCCTGGATCCCGCTCCACCTTCTAGAAGCTCCCAGCGTTACTTCCTGAGCTGGCCTGCACATCGTTGCGCTACTCCCGTCCAAGGGGGGACATATTCGGTGACCGACTCAGAACGCAGCCTGCTTCCCGGGTGGCCAGTGGCTCAGCAGTCTCGGTGCCTGAGCCTGCTCCCTCCGCCCGGCGGCTGGGCAGGTGGCTGAATGCGGGCTGGAGGCCTTCCCTGAGAAGACGGTTATCCATGCTGTACATGGAAGTGACCAGCTCGGCACCTGAGGAGACACACCGCGGCCGATGACAGGCGCAGAGCAGGACGTGGTGAGGTCCTCATACCTAGGAATGCAGAACAAGGGCAAGAAACTCGGTGCCCGCCTGGCATCTGCCCTGCACCAGTGGCCTCCAGGAAGTTCTCCACCAAGGATGTTCCCCAGGCACTCTGTGCTCGCCTTCACCAGCGTCCTGTGAGGTCTTTCACACTGATGGGGAAGCCTTTCTAAAGGGTATTAGGGGGCTTGGGGGCTGGGGGTGCTGAGTACCAAGGGTCCCAGGAAGAGACAGGCCAGGCTTATGGGCTGGGCATCCAGAGATCGCCCTGACGCCAGCTCCAGGTGGAGTTAGGAGGGCACTCTTGTCCCGACGCATTTACAGACCACTCCCTCTTCTTGTTCCCCTCGACTCTGAGAGTGTGGTGGGGTAGCTGTGGAACCTGACTGCTTGCCTGAAGGTTGGGCAGCGTGGCTAGAAATTGCGGCCCAGACCTGGGATCTCACCCACACCTCTATGAGACGTCCTGAAGGAAACCATCGACTGAGCGGAGAGGCTTCGCCTTGCCCGCCTCCTCCCAGGAAGGAAGAGCGGAAGAGGCGTCGCCAGCCACCGAGACTGCCAGCCACCACCCCCTCCCAGACTCTCTGTCCCCACCCCAGACCAGGGTCACCTTCTTCCTGCACTGGGGGTGGGGTGCGGTAGGTTTCGCAATCCAGACTGTGGGGTGGGGGTGGGAGCAGGTGTGTGTAAATGAGCAGCTCGTCAGGAGTCACTGAGAAGGAGGCAGATGGAGCTGGTACCCAGCAGGTCTCCTCTCATAAGCGTCAACCCTCGCCTGGGCGGGCTGGGGGATCCTCAGCACCCCAGCTCTGAGCCAGGGGTCTGCAACCCGGGCACCAGCGATGGGCCCTCATGCACACAGGGCGCCGAGCGGGGCCGGAGGCAAGAGTGACTTCAGACAGGAACCCGACGCCACAGCCGGTGACGCGGACCCTGGGTCAGCCAGCACGATGGGCCGCTGGGGAGAGGAGGGCTGGAGGCAGAGAGTGTAAGTGTGCAGCCTTCATCAGCTTATTTTTAGTCGCGTTATGTAAGTGGCTTCATCTCAACGTCACATGGGGGGGGGTCTCAGATTTAATTACAGGATGACAGCCTTTGCTTTTCAAGCAAGCTGTTCTCCTGGCAAGCCAGGCGAAGGATTGGGGAGTTTTGCTAAACAGAAGGAGCCCTTTCTGAGGTGACCACCCGTCAAAACTTGAACCCGCTTCCACCTCCGTCTCCCTCTTCCCGACCAGCCTCACCCAGCCTCGGCTGAATGTGGCCTGAGAGTAGCCACTTGTCCGCAATCACAGGGACGTTTTATGCCTGTCAAGGGAGCTTCCTCTCTCCTCTTCCTCCCCCTCCCACCTTCTGCCTGGCAGCTTTGCCTTCTCTCCAAGAGAAGGGTCCACCCAATCAGAACTCCTCTTCCTTTTCATTCCTGGATTAAAGCACTTGTAATCAGTAACCAGAAAGTTCCAGAGCGGGAGAGACCGGAAGGCACTGGAGTGCTATCGGACGGGTGTCTGGGGCAGAGCCAGGAGGGCGAGCCTCTTCTCTCCCCGCCTGCCCTTGCTCACTTCCCCCTCCATGCCAGGTGCTGTGGGAGCAGCTGGGCCTGGCCGGGGTCGGCGGGTGAAGCTATCCGCATGGTGTCTGGAGCACCGTTTCTTTGCTTCCTGGATGGGCTGGATGGGCTCCCGTGTTCTTCACCAATGGCAGCGTTACCAGCACCAATGGCAGCGTTACCAGCAAGAAGGCAAAGGCAGGAGCACATCGAGGGTGGGAGCCAGGGCTGTGGGGTCAGGAGTCCCGCTCCTTGCCGCGGGAAGCCTGGCTCAGCCACCTCCAGCACACTTCGGCTTTGTCCAGCATAAAAGGCAGAGCGACGTTTTCACTGCAGGCTGTTTCCCACCAGGGCAAGTGGGACAGGGCGAGTGCTGACGTCTGCAGGCATGGTGTGCATTTAGGGGTGGGCGGCACCGAGGGGGCATCATTTGGCATAGGCGGGCCCGGGGGCCACTGGGCTAGATGACTGGCTGGTTGCTGGGGGCAGGTGTCACAGCCTCTCTGAGCACCCTCTAAGTGGAGGACAGAACATTGTTGGGAGGAGTCCAGGCATAAAGTGACATAAACAGCGCAGAGAATGGGACCAGCGCACCTGAGAGGTGATCATTAGCCTCAGCAACTGGATGGGACATTCCGAAGAGCTCCCAGCCAACACAGATGGTCACTCCAGAGGCTGACATTTAAAAGGAAGGGGCCCGGCCGGGCACAGTGGCTCACGCCTGTAATCACAACACTTTGGGAGGCTGAGGCGGGCAGATCAACTGGGGTCAGGAGTTCAAAACCAGCCTGGCCAACATGGTGAAACCGCATCTCTGCTGAAAATACAAAAAATTAGCCAGGCATGGTGGTGGGCACCTGTAATCCCAGCTACTCAGGAGGCTGAGGTAGGAGGATCGCTTGAACCCAGGAAGTAGAGGTTGCAGTGAGCCGAGATTGTGCCATTGCACTCCAGCCTGGGCGACAAGCGAAACTTCGTCTCAAAATAAATAAAAGTAAGGGGCACAGGGAGGGGGCCCCAGCTCGTGCCCCTTCTGTGTGGGCTGCACATGGTGACTTCCTTCCAGAGAGCACAGAGTGGGAGGTAGGCAAGGCGTCTCCACAGTGGAGAGCCCGACCCACTGTCTCAGCCCAGAGGTCAAGGCTGGCACCATCACCGAGAGGTCACACGGGCAGATGTGACAGGGCGCTTCACCACTGGGCTCTTCCTCCCAGACCCATAACCCTTGTCTTAGTATTAGAAAAACACTGGCAGACCGGGCGCAGTGGCTTACACCTGTAATCGCAGCATTTTGGGAGGCCGAGGTGGGAAGATTGTTCAAGAGCAGTCTGGGCAACATGGTGAGACCCCATCTCTACAAAAAAAATTTTTTTTTTAATTAGCCAGGCGTGATGGCACATGCCTGTGGTCCTAGCCACTAGAGGCTGAGGTGGGAGGATCACTGGAGCCCAGGAGGTCAAGGCTGCAGTGAGCTGTGATCACACCACTGCACTCCAGCCTTGGCGACAAACCAAGACCCTGTCTCGAAAAGAAAAGAAAAGAAACATTAGGCAAATCCCAACAGGGGGACACTCTACAGAAAAACCGACCAGCCCTCCTGAAAACTTCCCAAGTCATCAAAACCAAGGAAAGTGGGCTGGGCGCGGTGGCTCACACCTTAATCCCAGCACTTTGGAAGGCTGAGGCGGGCAGATCACAAGGTCAGGAGTTTGAGACCAGCCTAGCCAACATGGTGAAATCTCATCTCTAAAAATACAAAAATTAGCCGGGCGTGGTGGCAGGCGCCTGTAGTCCCAGCTACTCGGGAGGCTGAGGCAGGAGAATTGCTTGAACCCAGGAGGCGGGGGTTGCAGTGAGCTGAGATGATGCCACTGCATTCTGGCCTGGGTGACAGAATGAGACTCTGTCTCAAAATAAAAAAAACCAAAAACCAAAAAACAACCAAGCAAAGTCTGAGAAACTGTCACAGCCTAGAGGAACCTGGAGACAGCTGATCCCTAAATGTCACGTGGGATCCTGGGTGGGGTCCTGGGAGAGAAAGAAGACATTGGAGGGAAACTGAGGAAATATGAATAAAGTATGGGCTTTAGTTAATAATAATGTAGCAGCATTGATTCATTGATCATCATAAACACATGTACTGATGCAAGATGTCACCAAAGGGAAAACTGGGCTGGGGGGATGGGGGGGTGGCGGTATCTTTGTAACAATTGCATGAATGAAAAATGTGCTAGAGTTAAGGTTGTCATGGGAATGGGCAGTGATCTTGCACAGGCCTCCAGTTTTACCTGCAGGAGTCCGAAGGCGTCACCTGTGCCTCACCCTGGAATCTCGTCCTGGCCCCCAGGTCCCCACTCTGTCCACCTTGGGGTCAGTGGATGGAGCTGTTGCCCCTGTGGTCTGCTGCTGCTGATCACAGAGAGCCCCAGGGGGCCAGCACCCTGTGGAGTGGCCCCTTATCCCGAGGACAGGCACGTGGGCCCGCCCCCCACCTCGCCCCCTCCCCCGTCTGTGGCTGCGGCTGGACTGCCCGCAGTGGAGCTGGGGCTGTGAGGCGCGAGGGTCCTGCTGACGGCTCAGCCCTTCTGCCACCCCAGACGTGGTTCTCACCTGGCCTCCTTGGCAGATGGTGCCTTGGGTTTGCTGCCCACAACCCAGCGTGGCTCATGGCTGTCCTGCAGCCATAGTGTTGGCCAGACTTCTGGCCATAGCCAGGGAGATGCATTGCTGCCCATCCGGGCATCTGATGTCCCCTCTCTCCTCTCGCAGAGAGTACGTGGCCCGTGATGGGGAGGAAGTTCTGGAGGACAGGATGAGGCCACTGTCTCTAAGGCAGGGAGACCCTGCCTGCTCTGAGCAACACATGGGCAGAGGAGTGTGGGCATGGCCTCTCGGGCCCTTCCTGACCCTGTGTTGCCGTGGTCCAGCCTCAGCCCTCAAAGTGAGGCGGCCTACAGACAGAGCTTCCCTACAGACCAGGCCAGAAAGGCCAGAGGGGCTTCCTTCTGAGGGTGGTGGGGACAGACGACATGTGGCCTCCCTCCAGAGCCTGCCCTGGCGGGGGTGGGCGGGGAGAGGTTCCCCAGCAACAAGCCCCCTTATATAATCCAGCTCACATCGCGTGGCGTGACTCCAGGTGCCTGTGGGAGGCAGTGCGGGGGTGAGCACCGGGGCGCAAGTGAGTCTCAGAGTTTCGCTCCGTGCTCCTCCCCCCCTTGCTATATGTCAGCGTCATCCGGAGCCTGCCAGCCCGGTCACCCACTTGCTTATTAGAATACATTAGCTGACAATGTGGATTTAAATAACTCGGGCAGGTGACAGCCTGAAGCGCACCCAGCGTAGCTGGGCTCTCCTGCACTGGCCCAGGTGAGGCTGGGGTCTGGGGCCGGAGGAAGGACACATGTGGCGCCGGGACGAACTGGCCGAGCTGGCCGCTTCAGCCACACGTCTGGAGCTGGGCAGGGTGGAGGGGGAGGAGGGACACGGGTGCCCACAACGCAGCACCACCCCGGGCAGGAGTGGGAGCCCGCCCCAGTCCCAGGCCCACTCGCCATCTTCTGAACCCAGCATGGGGTGAGAGTGGCCAGTGACTGGGTGAGCAGGAAGACGGACCTGTGTGAGGACACTGAGCACTGGCCCCTCCTGGCACTGGGGGCCGTACTCGGCTCAACCTCCCTGAGCAAAGACGAAGAAAGACGAACTTTGCTTAACGCTCAGTATAATTAGTCTTCATTTACCGCCTGAAACGTTGTCTTTGTTTTCTTATCACTCTGCTTCTTAAATGACTTAAACTGCCTTGAAAGTGATCTGAAAGGTATTTCTGGATGGGAGCGGAGGGAATCTGTTCTTCAGAATCTGAAATTGGAGGACACCTGGAAAACAAGACCTCAGTGTGTTCCCGCAGGTCCCTGCAGACAGGAGACAGCAGAGCTGTACCTGCGGGTGCCGCTTCGCATGCCGTCAGGGAGGACCCAGACGTCTCCATGCTGCTGGGCGCCGCGCAGATGGCTTCCCTGCCCGGGGCTGGCTGCTTCTAATTTCAGCTGCTGGAGGCTCCGCGCTCTCACTCTTGCTCGCGCTCTCTCTCTCTCTCTTTTATTCCATGTTTATTTAAAGCCAGATTTTGAAATGTTGTCTTCAGCCCTAAAATCTCACTTTATCTTCTTGCAGCAGATCCTATAAAACCCCACTTAGGTGCCTAGAGGGTGGGGGACTTCGAGGACAGAGTTTCCCTGGCCCGCTGCCTGACACTGTCTCCGTAAACATTCCGATGACTGGTCAGTGTTTTCCCAGTGGAGCAGCCCAGTGTCACGTCCACCCAGACGGAATACAGACGAGCCGGGTGGACGTCGTGAGTCCAGATACACGAGAGAGAGCATGGCCTCCCCAGTGACATGCAGGAAGCACGCCTGCCCCGGTGCTCGGAGTTGAACTTAGGCAGGGGAGTCTGAGGCTGCCCTGCCGTCTCCTGTCTGGGGTCGTGATGCAGTGGGGCCTGTCATGAGTGGTCCAGACGTGTACCCCCGGAGGTGGAACAGTGACAGCCTCAGGTGCCCTGGTGCCTCCTCCTTCCCGGCTCTTCCTGGCACTCTGCTTCCTTCTCCTAACCTGAGAGCCACACGCTATTTCTTCTTGTCCATCTAGAAACCAAGGACATCTGGAAGGGGTCTTCCACCTTAGACCCTAACAGGGGAAGTGCAACGCAGCTTTCTGGCCGCGCTGACCCGACAGGGCTGCTCCGATGGGGAAGCGTGGCCACTCGCACAGATGTTCATTTGCACAGCATCAGACCACACAGCAGCTGGGGCCCTTTGTCCCACCGGCCATGGGAGCCCACAGTCAGCCCGTGTGCATGGTAGGTGCTCCAGAAATATGAGGTCCCTTTCTCTTTGATGAGACGTAACTACCCTCATGTCCCTCTATGGCTCGCCTCAGAATGTGCTAGAAGAGCTTTGATGAAAGGGGGATGTCTTGATGAACTGCACAGGGTGAAGGCAAAACTGGCCGAGGGGCCAGGCTGGATGTGTAGCGGGGAGGACACCTGCAGGAATGGAGTTTACCTAAATAGGTGCTCCTGGAGCCAGTAGTGCTAAGGAAGGAGCTCCCTGGCTTATCGTGCGCAGAGCCGCAGCGCCCCAGCCCAGCCACGGAGCCACACAGCTGCCTCTGGCTAGGGGCTAGGAGGCGGGCAGGGTGGGACGCAGCCGGGGGCAGTTGCCCCAGGGCTGGCTAGAGATGGCGGCCGTGGCCAAGCCAGTCTCCAGCCGACTTAACGCCAGAGCTACCGGGGCCCAGAGGAGGCGTGGCTGTGTTTCCAGTGAGAGCCAAGCAGTTTTCCAAAGAGCGCCGCAAGCTACTGCCAGGGCCTTTATGTTCTAAAGATGTGCGGAGCGTGTCTCAGTGGCTTCGCCGGCATACTTGGCCAGAAAGTAACATGATTTCGAGAAAACATGATTTGAGTGTTAAGCTCGAGAATATCATTTCCCCCAGCAAGTTCTTTTTCTTCTCACAAAGTTGGAAGACACAGAAATCTTTGTAGAGGTTCATGGAAAACTTTAGCTGTTTCCTAGCTGCCCAGATGAAAAGAATATTCCATCCACTGGGGGAAAACAATTACTCTAAACAGATTCGGGTGGCATTTTACCCCTCGTCCAACTGGCTGCACGTGACCTTTGCCGGCGTGGCTCCAATGCCCAGAGACGAGGCTGGTGTGAAGAGCTGGCTGCTGATCCCTGGAATCTGCCGCTAATTCTCACTCAGATTTTGAGATTTTCTCTGCGGCTGCAGGAGCCAACAGAGTCCTTTGTGCGGCCTCAGGACTCGGCTTTCAGAGGCCCTGGAGCCAGTGGTGTTGGATTCAGCCGTAATTCTTCATTCTTTGGCTCAAGGGAAAACCTTGATTCTGCACAGGATTGCAAAAGCCGAGGCACTCCAGCTAGGACACGGCGTCATTGGAGTGCCCTGGTGCGTTCCAAGGAAAGTTGAGTTGGTGATTTCCAAGTGGTTTTGGGCAGGGCAGGGTCTCCAAAAGGCTGGAGGTGCTGGAGGAGAGGCTGGGTTAGCTTGGCTGGAAGGGGCCCTGCCCTTGTTGCGTCAAGCCTGGGAGACTGGACTTGGGACTCAGGTGCATTTGGAGTTTTTTTGTTGTGTTTTTTGTTTTGTTTTGTTTTGAGACGGGGTCTTGCTCTGTCGCCCAGGCTGGAGTGCAGTGGCACGATCTTGGCTCACTGCAAACTCTGTCTCCCGGGTTCAAGCGATTCTCCTGCCTCAGCCTCCTGAGTAGCTGGGACTACAGGCGCCTGCCACCATGCCTGGCTAATTTTTTTGTATTTTTAGTAGAGACGGGGTTTCACCATGTGAGCCAGGATGGTCTTGATCTCCTGACCTCGTGATCCGCCCGCCTCGGCCTCCCAGAGTGCTGGGATTACAGGCATGAGCCACTGCACCCGGCCGGAGTTGTTTGTTTTGAGACAGGCTCTCTCTCTGTCGCTCAGGCTAGAGGACAGTGGTTAGATCTTGGATCACTGTAGCCTTGAACTCTTGGGTTCAAGGGATCTTCCCACCTCAGTCTCCTGAGTAGTTGGGACTACAGATGCGCGCCACCACGCCTGGCTAGGTTTTGTGTTTTTGTAGAGATGGGGTCTCGCTATGTTGCCCAGGCTGGTCTCAAACTCCTGGACTTAAGTGATCTGCCTTCCTTGGCCTCCCATCATGCTGGGATTACAGGCATGAGCCACGGTGTTGGCTGCATTTGGGTTTTATATATTTTTATTTATTTATTTATTTTGAGAGACAGTCTTGCTCTGTCGCCCACGCTAGAATGCAGTGGCACGATCTTGGCTCACTGCAACCTTTGCCTCCCAGGTTCAAGCGATTCCCCTGCCTCGGCCTCCCAAGTAGCTGGGATTACAGGTGCCCGCCACCACACACAGCTAATTTTTGTATTTTTAGTAGAGGCGGCGTTTCACCATGTTGGCCAGGCTGGTCTTGAACTCCTGACCCCAGGCGATCTGCCCAACTCGGCCTCCCAAAGTGCTGGGATTACAGGCGTGAGCCACCACGCCCAGCCGCATTTGGATTTTATAATAAGCTTTGCTGTGCAGGAGAAGTGGTCCCTGGCATCCCAGCCCCCTGGCCTGACGAGGTTGGAGGGCTCCTTGGGCCCCCACCACTCTGCTGCAGCCAGGGTGGGTGCAGGGCTGGGAGGGTGAGCCACGAACTTGACATCGGTGACCTTCACTGCCACCTGGTGGACAGCCTGGGAGTGGTAGCTGGTGGGCTGCGCGGCGGAAGGGGTGCAGTGTCCCGGACGAAGACGGCTGAGCATTGTGGAGACCAGCATAGAGAGGCCACAGCAAGTGGGGTGTGACATCAGGGACAAGGGAGAGGTCACAGACTCGGATAGTGGCCGTCCTGTGCTGGCCCCTGCATCTGGGTGGTTGGCAGGTGGAGCACCAAGATACAGGGTTGATAGGACTAGGCTGGAATCCTGGACTCTCTCTGATCCCGGCAAAGTCACAGAAGCTTCTCCTGTCCTGTCGCTGGTCTTTGGAAGGGAGGAGTGACACCCTCCTCCTGGGCTGGCGCGGGGAAGAGAAGCTCCCGCGTGTGAAACAGCTCCACCACCAAGCGCCTGCAGACGAGCGGTGTGTTCCGCCTGGAACCTGCCGAGGGAACGTGTGGGGAAGGTGTGGCCGCCCTGGGAGGCTCAGCTCTGCAGGAAATTCGCTCCTTCTGATGTGCGTTTCAAACGGCCCTACGACATCTTTTTCTTAAATTGAGGTAAAATTCACATAACATAAAATTACCCATTTTAAAGTGTTCTGTTCAGTCCAATGTGGTGCCATTCAGCACATTCATGATGTACAGTGGCAACTCCACCTTGTTCCAAAACATTTTTTGAGATGGAGTCTTGCTCTGTCGCCCAGGCTGGAGTGCAGTGGCGCGATCTTGGCTCCCTGCAACCTCCACCTCCTGGGTTCAAGCGATTCTCCTGCCTCAGCCTCCCGAGTAGCTGGGATTACAGGTGCCTGCCGTCACGCCCACTAATTTTTGTATTTTTAGCAGAGACAGGGTTTCGCGACGTTGGCCAGGCTGGTCTCGAACTCCTGACCTCAGGTGATCCACCCGCCTCAGCTTCCCAAAGTTCTGGGATTACAGACATGAGCCACCGTGCCCGGCCCCCAAAACATTTTCATCACCCCAAAAGGAAACCCCAGCCACTGGCAATCACTGGCTCTTCCCTGGCCCTAGTGGCCCCTCCCCCGCCCTGGTGGCCCCTCCCCCACCCTGGTGGCCCCTCCCCCGCCCTGGTGGCCCCTCCCCTGCCCTGGTGGCCCCTCCCCCACCCTGGTGGCCCCTCCCCCGCCCTGGTGGCCCCTCCCCCGCCCTGGTGGCCACTCCCCCGCCCTGGTGGCCCCTCCCCCGCCCTGGTGGCCCCTCCCCCGCCCTGGTGGCCCCTCCCCCACCCTGGTGGCCCCTCCCCCGCCCTGGTGGCCACTCCCCCGCCCTGGTGGTCCCTCCCCCGCCCTGGTGGTCCCTTCCCTGCCCTGGTGGCCGCTCCCCCGCCCTGGTGGTCCCTCCCCTGCATCTGTCCTTGGGCACTGGCCCATTGGACATTTCGTGGGACTGGAACCACACAGTATGTGGCTTCTTCCACTGAGCATGATGTCCTTGGGTTCATCCACGCTGTGGCCTGTATCAGAACTTCCCGCCTGTTGATGGCTGGATAGCTCCCCATGGGAGGGATGTCTGACATTTGGTTTCTCAATTTGGCAGTGGATGGATACTTGCTTGGGTCTGTACCTAGGAGTGGAGTTGCTGGTTCTTATGGAAATTCCATGTTTAGCTTTTTGGGAAACTGTCAAACTGGTTTCCACAGCGGCTGCAGCATTTTACCTCCCTGCCAGCCAGGGTACAGTTCCTCACAGCTTCACCACACTGGTTTTCTGTTTTTTGTTTTTGTTTTTTTAATTCTAGCCATCCTGAAGGTGTGAGGCAGATCTCCTGGTGGTTTTGTTTGTTTGTTTTTCAGACAGAGTCTCGCTCTGTCGCCCACGCTGGAGTGCAGTACTGCGATCTTGGCTCACTGCAACCTCTGCCTCCTGGGTTCAAGCGATTCTTATACCTCAGCCTCCAGAGTAGCTGGGATTATAGGTGCCCACCACCATGCCCGGCTAATTTTTGTATTTTTAGTAGAGATGGAGTTTCACCATGTTGGCTAGGCTGGTCTTGAACTCCTGACCTCAGGTGATCCACCCACCTCGGCCTCCCAAAGTGCTGGGAATACAGACGTGAGCCACTGCGCCCAGCCTCCTGGTGGTTTTGACTTGCATTTCCTGGTGGCGATGGTGTTGAGCGTCTTCTGCGTGCCGCCTTTTTCAAAGGAGCCGGAATTCTCCCAGAAATGTCAGTTCTCCCATTCAGTTTCCATCGGGGAAGTGAGCCTGGAGGACGCCGTGGAGTCCACACCCTACACCTGCCTTCCCCTTGCAGGTTTTTGGCCCAAATCTCAGCTCCTTCAGCTACATGGGGCCTCCCTGGACCCAACCCAGGGGCACCTTTTGGCCCAAGGGGAGTTTCAGAAGCAGCGAGGACAGACACATGTGGGGGGCATCTGCAGGTGGTAGAGGGTGTGAAAGGAGGTCCCTGAGCTGCCAGGCACCCAGACTGTGTCTGTAGGGAGGCCCCGCAGTCCCTGCACCCCCTCGACTGCCCGGTGCTCTCCGTGGAGAAACACGACAGACGCGGTTGGACACAGCACAGTGGATGGACGTCCCCACCTGCTCCCTGCAGACGCTTTGGGTGGAAGCCCAGACTGTCCCTGGCTGCCAAGCAGACCATGCTGAGGGGTGGTGGCCGGGAGCCAGGGAGCCGGCCCACTCCTGCCCCAGTGACACCCCACAGGCCACAGGAGAAATGCCAGGAGCCTCATGGTGTGGAAAGGGACACGGAGGCCCGGAGCACTGAGGGGCTTTCCCAAGGCCACGCGGCCGGGCACGGGGAAGCTGGGCCCTCCCGGCGCCTCCAAGGCCTCTTCCCGGCTGGAGGCAGCTTCACCCACCAGGCCTGGCAGTCGAGAGTCTGAGACTTCAGTAGTAATGGGGTTTCTTGGCAGGAAACTGGGAGATGAGTAGGTTTCCGGAAAGGCTGGAGAGAACCTGAGAGCTGAAGGGAAACACCGGAGCCAGCCTGGCCCAAGGACCAGCCTTTAGTCCAACCGCAGGCCCTGTGCTGGCTGGGGTGCAGCTGGCTCTGCCCCTGGGTGTGGCTGCTGTTACTGCCTCCCCGCCCCCCAAATGCAGCTCTCAATGCTGCCGGCTGCTCCCAACGTGAGGCCCAGCCTCAGCTGTGGAGCAAAGGTGCACCTCCAGGAGCATCTCCACCAAACCTCAACGAAGACCACCCCCCCCAGGAGGGGCAAGCTGGAACCCCCTGAGCTGACCTCCTGGGGCCTCCTTCGGCCCCTTTAACCAAGCACGGTGGAGCCCAGGCTATCCTGTCCACGATTGCACCGCAGACGGGCGCCTGAGTGCCCGCGAGCACACACTGCTTTCAGGTGATGTCCTTAAACTTTGGATCTCCTAGACGAGCTTGCCCCTCTCAGTAAGCCCCAGGCCTCCTAAGGCCATTTCTCAACAGGAGCCGTGGGCCCTGGCACAGGTAGGGTGGAGCTTAGCACTCTCCCCTGTAGACTCAGATGGCTCTCATATGCGTATTTCTCTCTTTTTTTTTTTTTGGAGACAGGGTCTTGCTTGTTCTGTCACCCAAGCGTGATCTGGTCTCACTGCAGCCTCAACCTCCGGGGCTCAAGCAATCCTCTCGCCTAAGCCTTCTGAGTAGCTGAGACTACAGGCGTGCACCACCATGCCCAACTAATTTTTTTAAAAGTTTTTTTCTAGAGATAGGGTCTTGCTATGTTGCCCAGACTGGTCTTGAATTCCTGGGCTCAAGCGATCCTTCTGCCTCGGCCTCCCAAAGTGCTGGGATTTCAGGCGTGAGCCACCGTGCCCAGCCACTAATATGTATTGTCCAGACCTCTTCGCTAACCTCCAGATCTGTGGCTCCAACCGCCTACCTGACAGTCGCCAAGCAGACCCCCTGCCAGGTCGCAGCCTCGGGCCATGGTCCCTCCGTATCCCCACACATACAGCTGGGAACCTTGGTGTTACCCTTTCTGTTTCCTCTTCCTTCACTCTCCTCCCCTGACCCCCAGCCTAGCCCCCATGTCTTGTCAACTTTGAGCTCCTGAATCTGTCTACCCACCTCCGGGCCCCGGACCCCTCCACCCCGGACCTGGGAAAAGGCCCCTTACCTGATCCCCAGAAGCCCTTGGCCTGTCCAAACCCGTCTCCATACTCAGTGAGGTTTTCCAAGTACAGATCTGACTGAAGTCCCCTGCGGCAGCCCTGTGCTGACATCCATTGCCCCAAGGATAAAGACCTGGGTCCTCAGTCCCTCCACAGCAGCCTGCACCCAAGTCCCCTCGCTGAGCTCCAGCCACTGGCCCCGCTGGGCAGAAGTGACCATGTGATACAGAGCTCCCGCCTCCCCGGAGTGGGGTGAGAATCTAAGATCCCCGCTTCCCCAGGGCTGTGCAAGAGGCTGAACACCTGTGTGGACCTGTCTGCCCTTTGCCCCCACACGCTAGCTGACAGTAAGCCCCCCAGGCAGGCACACAGGAGAAGGATAAAAAAGGAGACCCCCGTGAACTGCTCAGAACAGGCTCAGCCCCAGGGGGCCTCTGCCCCCACCTCCCCACGCTCTATGGTTCTCTCTCCATGAGGTCCAGGGCCTCCCAAGACCTTCAGGTACTAAACAGCCTTTGGTCACTTTGGTCACAGCAGCTTCATTTACTGGGTGATTCTCAGTGTGATAACTGGAACTCGGCCTGACTCACCCAGGATTAAACCTCTCCCGGCTGCCTTGTGCTCAGACCTGCCATGGCAGGAAAACTTGGGGTTTGCAGATTCTTAAATGTTTTGTGTTATAAGCCGGGAGCGGTGCCTCACACCTGTAATCCCAGCACTTTGGGAGGCTGAGGCGGGCGGATCACCTGAGGTCGGGGATTCGAGACCAGCCTGACCAACATGGAGAAACCCCGTCTCTACTAAAAATACAAAATTAGCCAGGCATGGTGGCGCATGCCTGTCATCCCAGCTACTAGGGAGGCTGAGGCAGGAGAATCGATTGAACCTGGGAGGCGGAGGTTGCGGTGAGCCAAGATTGCGCCATTGCACTCCAGCCTGGGCAACAAGAGTGAAACTCCGTCTCAAAAAAAAAAAAAGTTTTGTGTTATATGGATTCCAGTTCTCAGCTGAAAAATCTCCACCTTTTCATCTACTTTCTCCCTTGCTTCCTCCATCTAAACAAAAACGCACAGAGTTCGAACTCTAAACAAAAACTCACAGAGAGTTCAGGGGTTCTCTGCTGCGACTTCCACTCTCTGGCTTTGTGTGCATCCGTTTCCACGGGCTATTTTTCCTCTTGATTTTTGGCCCTGTGGTCTCTGAATGCTGGATGTCATGCGCTGAAGCCTGGAGACTCCAGATCCGGGGTCAGCAAACTGCAGCGGGGGGCAGCCGCCTGCTTTTGTGAACGCAGCGTATTGAAACACACCCATGCCCATTTGTTCACAGATGCTCTGTGGCTGCGTGTGCCCTACAGCAGCACGGTTCAGTAGGCAGAGGCCACTTCTACTACCCGGCTAAGGAAAAGATGGGCAGAGCCTGCTCTGGATGACGCTGTGTTCCAGCCGGCGGAGAGGGTCCCCCATTTCCTCGGTAAGGAGGGTGACCTCCTCGCTCCAATCAGGGACTGAGCTGAGCTGAGGACAAGCTGCCCTTTCGGTGAGCCTATCTCTGTGTTGCTTGTTTCTAGGAACTAATCCTCCAGGAAATTAACAGACAGTTTGCTGTGGACAACTAGAGCCCTCCCCTTCCTTAGCCCTGAGCGAGGTAAACAATTCTGCTCTGCCTTCCGGAAGTTTCAAATTAGCTCTTCAACCAGCGTTTTCACGCAGCTTCCAGTCCTGCCACAGTCTTGAAGAAGAGATCAGCTTTCGCGTCTTCATTCTTGCCAAGATTAGCTGCCCTTCGAATCTCCCGTGTGTCATTAATCCCAGCACGAACAAGCACTTGGGAACTGCGGGCTGCAGATGGTCTGCTTATCCTACGGAACCCTCCTCTTTTGAGGCTTAACCCCTTTAGTCTTTGTTGCTTCTGTAGCTTTCTGATGCCATTAAAGAGATGATTTTTATATTTTTGCCTGGCCTTTCTAGTTCTTAGTGGGAGCCTTGATCTGCTGCACTCCATCCTACTTGGAAGTAGAAGTCTGTTTCCCCATGTTTAAAATGTTAATTTCAGGCCACGCACAGTGGCTCATGCCTATAATCCTAGCACTTTAGGAGGCCAAAGTGGGAGGGTCACTTGAGCCCAGGAGTTCCAGATCAGCCTAGGAAACACGGGGAGACCTCACCTTAAAGAAAAAAAAAAAAAAAAGGCATGCACTGAGCATGGTGGTGCATGCCTGTAGTCTCACTTACTCAGGAGGCCGGGGCAGGAGGATCACTTGAGCCCAGGAGTTTGAGGTTACCATGAGCTATGGTTGCATGACTGCACTCCGGCCTGGGCAACAGAGCAAGACCCTATCTCTAAAAAAATAAAAATAAAATAGGCTGGGTGCAGTGGTTCACATCCATAATCCTAGCACTTTGGCAGGCCAAGGCAGGAAGATCGCTTGAGCCCAGGAGTTCAAGACCAGCCTGGGCAGCATAGTGAGACCCTGTTTCTAAAAAAAGATATTAGCTGGCCATTGTGGCACATACCTGTACTTAGGAGGCTGAGGCCAAAGGATCACGTGTACCCAGGAGTTTGAGGCTGCAGTGAGCTGTGATCATGCCGCTGCACTCAGCCTGGGCAACAGAGGAAGACTCTGTCTCTAAAAATGTAAGTCAATAAAAATAAATAAAATGTTAATTTCAGTTTCCAATTGTTCCTTGCTAGCAAATAGAAATACACATTTCATTTTGTACACTGACCTAGTATTCTGTGATGTTCTAATTTGTTCTAGTAGACTCCTTTGAGATTTTCTATGTAGTCATGCTGTCCACAAATAGAGACAGTTGTGTATTTATTCCTTCCCAATATGTGTTCATTTTATTATTTTCTTGCTTATTACACTGAACGGGGCCTCCAGTATGATGCTGAATAGATGTGGTGACAGCAGACGCCCTTGCCTTGTTTCCTTCCTTATGGGGAAAGCATCCAATCTTTTATCATTAAGTGTGATGTTATCTGTAGGGTTTTTGTGATGCCTTCTGAAAAGTTAAGGAAGTTGTTTTTTATTCATAGTTTGCTAAGAGTTTTTATCACAAACGGATGTTGAATTTTGTCAAATTCTTTTCCTGCATCTATTGAGATATCATAAGATTCTTTTTTTTGTAGTCTGTTGATACGATGAATGATACTGATGTTTGAAGGTTGAACCAACCTTGCATTTCCAGGATAAACCTCATTTTGTTTGTCCCAGAATAAATAGATTACTTCAGGATAAAGACTCATTTTTATATATTGCTGGATTATTTGCTAATAATGAGTTGAGGATTTTGCATCTAGGTTCAT
This sequence comes from Homo sapiens, assembly GCF_000001405.40. Taxonomy (NCBI): domain Eukaryota; kingdom Metazoa; phylum Chordata; class Mammalia; order Primates; family Hominidae; genus Homo; species Homo sapiens. The sequence goes on along the minus strand of NC_000017.11, from coordinate 81,016,606 downwards.
ATGGGATATTGGTCTGTTTGCTTTTCTTGTAATGGCCTTATGTGGTCTTAGGGTCAAGGTAATGTTGAACTCATAAAAGGAATTGCAAAGTGTTCTCTCCTCTTCTATTTTCTTTAAGAGTTTGTGTAGAATTGGTATTAAGTCTTCCTTAAATGTTTGGTAGCATTTAATAGACATATGACAATTTGGTTTACCTATTTAATCTTGAGTGAACTTTGGCAGTTTGAGTCTTTCAAGGAATTTTCCCATTAAATCTAAATTGTCAAATTTATGAGCATAAAACTGTTTGTAATATTTCATATTTACTTTTTTCTTTCTTTCTTTTTTTTTTTTTTTTTGAGATGGAGTCTCACTCTGTCACCCGGGCTGGAGTACAATGGCGTGATCGTGGCTCACTGCAATCTCCACGTCCTGTGTTCAAGTGATTCTTCTGCCTCAGCCTCCCAAGTAAGTGGGATTACAGGTGTCTGCCACCATGCCCGGCTATTTTTTTTGTATTTTTAGAAGAGATGGCATTTCACTATTTTGGCCAGGCTGGTCTCAAACTCCTGACCTTGTGATCCACCCGCCTCGACCTCCCAAAGTGCTAGGATCACAGGCGTGAGCCACCGTGCCCAGCTGTAATATTTCCTTAATATCTTTTTCATGTCTATAGGGTCTGGGGTGGTGTTCCCACTTTCATTGCTAATGTTGTAATTTGTATCTTCTCTTTTTTTCCTGATCACTCTAGCTTGAAGCTTTTCAAATTTATTGATATTTTCAAATAACCAGTTTTTGCTTTCACTGATTTTTCTCTGATGTTCTGTTTTCATTTCTGCTGATGTCCACTCACTATTGTTTCTTTTCTCCTGCTTGCTTTGGATCTGCTCTTCTTTTTTGAATTAATTAAGGTGAAAGTTTAGCTAACTGATTTCAGACTTTTCTTCTACCTTAACATAAGCATTTAATATTCTAAGTTTTCCTCTAAACACTGTTTTAGCAAGAATCCATAAATGTTAATATGTTTAGTTTTCATTTTCTTTCAGTTAGAAACAGCCTCTAAATTCCCTTGTGATTTTCTATTTAACTCACAGGTTAATTTAATATTTGTGGATTTTCCAGATAGCTCTTTGTTACTGGCTTTTGGATTGATATTATGGTCAGAGAACATGCTTTGTGTGAGTTCAATTCCTTTAAATTAGTTAAGGTTTATTTCATGGTCCAGAACATGATATGTCTTGGTAAATGTCCAATATGCACTTGAATAGAATGTGTATTCTGCTGTTGCTGGGTGGAATGTTCTATAAATGTCAGCTGAGTCAAACCAGTTAACAGTGTTCAGGTGTCCTATATCCTTCATGATTTTCTATTTATTCTCTCAATTACTGAAAGAGGGGCCAGGAACAGTAGACTATGCCTGTAATCGCAGCATTTTGGGAGGCCAAAGCAGGAGGTTCACTTGAACCCAGGAGTTCAAGACCAGCCTGGGTAACATGACAAGAGCCCGTCTCTACAAAAATAAAAAAATTAGTGGCCGGGTGCGGTGGCCCACGCCTGTAATCCCAGCACTTTGGGAGGCCGAGGCGGGCGGATCACGAGGTCAGGAGATCGAGACCATCCTGGCTAACACGGTGAAACCATGTCTCTACTAAAAATACCAAAAATTAGCCGGGTGAGGTGGCGGGCACCTGTAGTCCCAGCTACTCAGGAGGCTGAGGCAGGAGAATGGCGTGAACCCGGGAGGTGGAGCTTGCAGTGAGCCGAGATCACGCCACTGCACTCCAGCCTGGGCGACAGAGCGAGACTCTGTCTCAAAAAAAAAAAAAATTAGCTAGGTGTGGTGGCATGTACCTATAGTCCCAGCTGCTCGGGAGGCTGAGGCAGAAGGATCACTTGAGCCCAGGAGGTTGAAGCTTCAGTGAGCCATGTTTGTGCCACTGCACTCCAGCGTGGGTGACAGAGCAAGACCCTGACTAAAAACAACAACAAAATACTGAAAGAGGAGGGTGAAAGTCTCTAACTGTAAGAAATTGTTTTACCTTTCATTTCTGTTAGTTTTTGCTTCATGTGTTTTGAAATTCTATTGTTAGGTGAATACACAATTTGGATTGTTTTGCCTTCTTTTATTATTGAGTAATGTCTCTCATTATCCCTGTTGATATTTGTTTTGAATATACATTGCCTGATATTAACACAACTACTCCATCTTTCTTTTGATTAGGGTTTCTGTGATATATTTTCCCCATCCTTTTACTTGTTTGTTCTGAGATGCAGTCTGGCTCTGCTGCCCAGGCTAGAGTGCAGTGGTGTGATCTTGGCTCACTGCAACCTCCCCATCCTGGGTTCAAGTGATTCTCCTGCCTCAGCCTCCTGAGTAGCTGGGATTACAGGTGCACGCCACCATGCCCGACTAATTTTTGTATTTTTAGTAGAGATGGGGTTTCACCATGTTGACCAGGCTGGTCTTGAACTCCTGACCTCAAGTGATCTGCCTGCCTCAGCCTCCCAAAGTGCTGGGATTACAGGAATGAGCCATCACTCCCGGCCTGTTGATTGTCTTTTTGTATTAGGTCATTCTTGCACTGCTATAAAGAAATACCTGAGACGGGGTCATTTATAAAGAAAGGCTTATTGGTTCGTGGTTCAGCAGGCTGTACAGGAAGCACAGCGGCATCTGCTTCTGGAGAGGCCCCAGGAGGCTTCCAATCATGGTCAAAGGCAAAGCAGGAGGAGGGACATCACATGGCAAAGGCAGGAGCAAGTGGGGGGATGGGGGAGGTGCCACACACTTGTAAATGACCAGATCTCGTGTGAACTCAGAGAGACAGCTCACTTATCACCAAGGGATGGCCCAAGCTCCCATGACCCAAACACCTCCCACCAGGCCCCACCTCCAACACTGGAGATTACAATTCAACATGAGATTTGGGTGAGGACAAATATCCAAACTATATCATTCCACCCGGGACCCCTCCCAAATCTCACGTCCTTCCTACATTGCAAAATACTATCATGCCTTCCCAAGAATCCCCCAAAATCTTAACTGATTCCAGCGTTAACTCAAAAGTCCAAAGTCTCCCCCGAGACAAGGCATGTCCCTTCCACCAATGAGACTGTAAAACAAAATACAAGTAATTTACTTCCAAGACACAATAGGAATATAGGCACTGGGTAAGTACTGTCATTCCAAAAGGAAGAAATCAGCCAAATGAAAGGGACTACAGGTCCCATGGAAGTTCCAAACCCAGCAGGGCAGGTGTTAAATCTGAAAGCTCCAAAACAATCTCCTTTGACTCCATGCTCCACATCCAGGGCACACTGGTGCCAGGGGTGGGCTCCCAAGGCCTTGGGCAGCTCCGCCCTCGGGGCTTTGCAGGTTCCATCCCTAACGCTGCTCTCACAGGTTGTTGAGTGCTTGTGAAACCGCAGGGTGCAAGCTGCTGATGACTTTGCCGTTCTGAATTCTGGAGGGCAGTGGCCCCTTCTCGCAACTCCACTAGGCAGTGCCCCAGCGGGGACTCTGTGTGGGGGCTCCAACTCTCTCAATTAGTCAGATGGGATTTTGGGGATTTGTGGACATTGCTCCTTGGCACTGCCCTAGTAAAGGTTCTCTGTGGGGGCTCTGCCCCCCGCAGCAGGCATCTGCCTGGGAACTTGGGCTTTCTCATACATCCTCTGAAATCGAGACAGAGGCTGCCAAGCCTTCACTCTTGCATTCTGCGCACCCACAGGCTTAATGCCATGTGAAAGCTGTCAAGGCTTACAGCTTGCAACCTCCAAAGTGGCAGCCTGAGCTGTACCTGGGCCCCTGTGAGCTGAGGCTGGAGCTGGAGCTGCTGGGATGCCATATGGGGAGCACTGCCCTGAGGCTGTATAGGGAAGTGGGGCCCTGGGCCTGGCCCACAAAACCATTTCGTTCCCCTAGGCCTCAGGGCCTGTGATGGGAGGGGCTGTCATGAAGGTCATCATTCCATTGGCTTGGTCATCACCTCTCGGCTCATTTTCAAACACGCAAATATCTCTAAGAAGTGGTTCCTCCACACTCTGCTTGAATTCCTCTCCTGAAAAAGCTTTTCCTTTCTCTGCCACATGGCCAGGCTGCGCATTTTCCAAACTTTTTTTTTTTTTTTGCGTGGCGGACAAAGTCTCATTCTGTCGCCAGACTGGAGTGCAGTGGTGTGATCTTGGTTCACTGCAACCTCCGCCTCCCAGGTTCAAGTGATTTTCCTGCCTCAGCCTCCCGAGTAGCTGGGATTACAGGTGCCCTCCACCACACCCGGCTCATTTTTGTAGTTTTAGTAGATGTGGGATATGATGAGGTTTCTCTTCAAATAGCCTGATCAATCCTTTCTTCCTTAATTCATAGTACCTCCCCCACCCCTTTTTCCTTTTTCTCTTTTCTGCCTTTGTTAGATGCCTGGACACGCCACAGGACCAGGCTTATCAGTACCAGCTCACATTCCTTTCCTTATTTGGAAAGGAGACTAGTCTCTAGCTCATTGCAAACGCTCCTTCCCCTTCTTCTTTCCCTCTCTCCCTTACATGCCCACCATATCTAAAGAAAGTTCAAATGTCTACCCAACTGGGATTAGTTCAGTTTGTGCAACCCAACCCTGGCCAATGGGGAAAGGGTACAGGGACAGGACTTGCATCAGAAATAAAGGCCCTCATGCCCCTTTGTTCAGGTGTGCTCTCATGGCAACTGGCCAAGGAGAAGCACCTGTCTACGCAGAAGTAAAATTGCTTTGCTAAGAATCCTTTGTTTGAGGCTGGGCGCGGTGGCTCACGCCTGTAATCCCAGCACTTTGGGAGGCTGAGGTGGGCGGATCATGAGGTCAGGAGATCAAGACCATCCTGGCTAACACGGTGAAACCCTGTCTCTACTGAAAATACAAAAAATTAGCCAGGCATGGTGGCGGGTGTCTGTAGTCCCATCTACTTGGGAGGCTGAGGTATGAACCCAGGAGGTGGAGCTTGTAGTGAGCCGAGATAGTGCCACTGCACTCCAGCCTGGGTGACAGAGCAAGACTCCATCTCGAAAACAAAAACAAAACAGAACAACAAAAAAGAATCCTTTGTTTGAGTGTTCGATCACCTTAGGATTTTGAGCGTTATTCCCAACAGTAGAGATGAGGTTTTGCCATGTTGGCCAGGCTGGTCTTGAACTCCTGGCGTCACGGTATCTATCTGCTTTGGCCTCCCAAAGTGCTGGGATTACAAGTGTGAGCCACCACACCCAGCCAATTTTCCAAACTTTTACACTCTGCTTCTCTTTTAAATATAAGTTCCAACTTTAAGTCATTCCTTTGCTCCCTCATCTAAGTACAGTTTGTTAGAAGCAGCCATGCCACTTTTTGAACATTTTGCTGCTTAGGGATTTCTTCCACCAGATACCCTAACTCATGACTCTCAAGTTTAAATGTCCATGGATCCCGAGGCATGAACAGAATACAGCCATGCTCTCTGCCAAAACCTTAGCAAAGAACACATGACCTTTGTTCCAGTTTCCAATCAGTTCCTCATTTCCAGCTGATACCTCGTCAACCTGGCCTCTACTGTCCACAACACTATGAACATTTTGGTCACAATCATTTAACCAGTTTCTAAGAAGCTCCAAATTCTTCCTCATCAAATTCTTCTTCCTCATCATCCTGTCTCCTTCTGAGCCCTCCACACTCTTCCAACCTCTGCCCATTACCCAGGTCCAAAGCTGCTTCCACATTTTCAGGTATCTATAGCAATGCTTTACTCCTTGGTACCAATTTTCTGTATTAGGCCATTCGTGCAATTGCTATAAATAGCTAAGCAACCAGGCACGGTGGCTCACGCCTGTAATCCCAGCACTTTGGGAGGCTGAGGCAGGCGGATCACGAGGTCAGGAGATTGAGACCATCTTGGCTAATACAATGAAACCCTGTCTCTACTAAAAATACAAAAAATTCGCTGGGCGTGGTGGCAGGTGCCTGTAATCCCAGCTAGTTGGGAGGCTGAGGCAGGAGAATGGCGTGAACCCAGGAGGTGGAACTTGCAGTGAGCCGAGATCAGGCCACTGCACTCCAGCCCGGGCAACAGAGCGAGACTGTTTCAAAAAAAAAAAAAAAAAAGAGAAATATCTAAGACTGGATAATTTATAAGAAAAATAAGTTTAACTGGCTCATGGTTCTACAGCTGTACAGGAAGCATCGCAGCATCTGCTTCTGAGGAGGCCTCAGGAAGCTTCCAATCATGGTGGAAGGCAGAGGAGGAGCAGGGAAGAGGTGCCACACACTTTGAAATGACCAGATCTCATGTAAACTCAGAGCAAGAATTCACTTATCACCAAGGGGGTGGCCCAAGCCATTCATGAGAGACCCGTTCCCATGATCCAGTCACCTCCTACCAGGCCCCACCTCCAGCACTGGGGATTACAATTCAACATGGGATTTGGGCAGGAAAAATATCCAAACTGTATCACTTTTCCTTTGGAAACTGGTCACATTCTCATGATTTTTTATATGTCACATAATTTGGGATTATGAATTGGGCTTTTTAAAAAAATTTTGAGACCAGGTCTGGCTCTGTCACCCAGGCTGGAGTGCAGTGGTGCAATCTCAGCTCACTACAACCTCTGCATACCAGGCTCAAGCAATCCTTCCACCTCAGCCTCCCAAGTAGCGGGAATACAGGCACATGCCACCACGCCCAGCTTATTTTTGTATTTTTTGGTAGAAACTGATTTTTGTCAGGTTACCCAGGCTGGTCTCGAACTCCTGGGCTCAAGCGATTTGCCCGCCTCCGCCTCTCAAAGTGCTGGGATCACAGCTGTGGGCACCACGCCCGGCCATGAACTGGACATTTTGACGGTTATGCTGGGTGGACTCCGCAACAATCCGCTGGAGAATGTTGATTTTTTTTTTTTTTAAATGCCCATCAACCTGGTTAGTTCCAACCACAAAGTTCTGCTGCCTCTGCTCCAGTCGAGGTTCCACTTTCAAAGCCAATTCCTGTTGCTTCTCTGAGTGCACCCCACACAGGTGCAGCTCGGGTGGGGGAGCCGGGGCTGCTGCTGGTTCCTCCTCAGAGTCCCAAGGCCTCTTTCTCCCACTCGCTCCCTTCTGGGATTCCCCCACCACACGCTTTCTGGACCTCAGTGGCCCCTGTTCACAATTTCTCTTGCCAAAAGGACAAGGTTTCTATGGGAGTTTTAGCTTTCCGTGTTTCTGTGCAGTTCCGTAACTGAGGCCCATCCTGGGGCAAAGCTACGAGAGAAAAGGGAAGATAAAACCAGGAAACGGCTTCCCCACAGGGGCCACCTCCACAGCTTTGGTTTACTGGTTTACTTTGCAGAGTCCTCAGTGGCAGGGCGGTGGTGGCGGGGGCGGGGGGTGCTTTGTTTTTCCTGGATTTGAGTTGTTAGTTGTAACAGTGAAAGAGATGGGCTGGCTGGCCGGGAGTGGTGGCTCATGCCTGTACTCCCAGCACTTTGCGAGGCCGAGACGGGCGGATCATCCGAGGTCAGGAGTTTGAGAGCAGCCTGGCCAACATGGTGAAATCCCGTCTCTACTAAAAATACAAAAATTAGCCAGGTGTGGTGGCACACGCCTGTAATCCCAGCTATCCGGGAGGCTGAGGCAGGAGAATCGCTTGAATCCAGGAGGCAGAGGTTGCAGTGAGCCGAGATCAAGCCACTGCACTCCAGCCTGGGCAACAGAGCGAGACTCCGTCTCAAAAAAATAAAAATAAAATAAAGAAAGAAAGAGATGGGCTGTGGAGGGCTGATGCTACCATCAAGGTATGGACCCTTTGTAGGTAACTTTAAAATGGAGGAAAGATAATCTGGAGATGCTGCAGTTAATCCAAAACAATGGATTTTAAATATTCCTATTTTGCTTGAGGGTCCAGCTTTATCCATTATGTGTTAAAGTTCCCTTCCTGGACCAGGCGCAGTCGCTCACACCTGTAATCCCAGCACTTTGGGAGGCCAAGGTGGGCAGATTGCTTGAGCCTAGGAGTTTGAGACCAGCCTGGGCAACAGAGCAAGACCCCCGCCTCTGCTAAAAACACAAAAGTTAGCTGCGTGTGGTGGCGCATGCCTGTAATCCCAGCTACTTGGGAGGCTGAGGCAGGAGAATCGCTTGAACCCAGGAGGCGGAGGTTACAGTGAGCTGAGATTGGGCCATTGCACTCCAGCCTGGGTGACAGAGTGAGGCTCCGTCTCAAAAAAAAGAGGGCAGACCAAGCAACAGAGACACATACCAAAGACACACCCACGATGGCTTCATCCATGGGAGACGATTGAAAGGCTGGCGTCGCAGCCACGTGAGACATTCCAAGGCAGGTCAGATGAACAGCCCTAGAGCCTGTCTGGAGGAGAGCAGGCGTCTCCTGCGGGACATCATCCTCGAGATAAGGAAGGGTCCTGTTCCTCTTGTATAAATGGAGGTTTTTCTCATGAGTGTCCTTAAATCTACCACTAAACTCAGGTTAAATGCTCTTAGTCTGGAATTAATGTACAGAAACTGGGATGGATATGTTTTCATATTATTTATGAAAAAAATGTTTCTCAAGTAAATGGAACAAGCAGGAATACAGGTGGGAATGCCACAGTACTAGACTACACTGTGCTTCAGAACAGTTTTTCTTTTTTTGAGACAGGGTCTTGCTCTGTCTCCCAGGCTGGAGTGCAGTGGCACGATCATGGCTTACTGCAGCCTCCGTTTTCTGGGCTGAAATGATCCTCCCACCTCAACCTCCCAAGTAGCTAGGACTATAGGCATGCACCACCATGCCTCCCGGGTTCACGCCATTCTTCTGCCTCAGCCTCCCGAGTAGCTGGGACTACAGGTGCCCGCCACCACGCCCGGCTAATTTTTGTATTTTTAGTAGAGACGGGGTTTCACCTTGTTAGCCAGGATGGTCTCGATCTCCTGACCTCGTGATCCTCCCGCCTCGGCCTCCCAAAGTGCTGGGATTACAGGTGTTAGCCACCGCGCCCAGCCTAAGATACCCACTTCTAATCAACATTGTACTGAAGCTTTAACCAGGCACTTAGAGAAGGAAATGAAATTAAAGGCATCCAGGTTGGAAATTAAGAGGTAAACTATCTCTCTTTACAAGTGACCTCATCTTGTATATAAAAAGTCCTAAGGATTTCACTTAAAAAAACCCTAATAAACAAGTTCAGCAACATTGCAGGAGACAAGCTCAATATACAAAATCAGCTGTATTTCTGTATATTTAAGTGAATAATCTGAAATTGAAATTAAGAAGATTTCATTTACAATAGCACCAAAAATAAAACAGTAATAGGCTGAACAAAACAAGTATAAAATTTATACTCTGAAAACTACAAAACTTGGTTGAAAGAAAGTAAAGAAGACCAAAATAAATGGAAAGGCACCCTCAATCCACGGATCTGGACTTAATGTAGCGGAGACGGCGGCACTCTCCAAACACATCCACAGATTCTACGCAACTCCTATCAACATCTCACTTGGCTCCTCCGCAGAAACTGAAAAGCTTATCCTAAAAATTCACATGGAAATTTGAGGGTCCCAGAATAGCCAAAACAATCTTGAAAAAGAAGAACAAAGTTGGAGAACTCACACTTCCCAATTTCAAAGCTTACTACAAGGCTGCCATGAGGACGTAAGAATAGACACACAGAGCAATGGGACAGAACTGAGGGCTGGAAAGAAGCTCCTGGCTACAGGCAGCGGGTTTCCACACGGTGCCAAAACAATTACACGGAGAAAGGACTGTCTTTTTAACAAATGACGCTGGGACAGAAAAATACCCACATATAAAAGGAAGAAGTCAAGCCGGGCGCGGTGGCTCACGGCTGCAATCCCAGCACTTTGGGAGGCTGAGCCAGGCAGATCACCTGAGGTCAGGAGTTCAAGACCAGCCTCGCCAACAGAGTGAGACCCTGTCTCAAAAACATATTTATATAAATATAAATAAACTATAAAACTGTTAAGAAATCATAGACACAAATCTTCATGATCTTGGATTAAGCAGGGGTTCCTTAGCTATGACACCAAAAGCACAAGGAACAACAACAAAAATAAATTAGATTTCATCAAAATTAAAAACTTTTGTGCTTCAAGGGACACCATCAAAAAGGTTAACAAGACATCCCAAAGAATGGGTGAAAATATTTGCAAATCATGTGTCTAATAAGGGTCTAGTATCCCGAATAAAGTATTACAACTCAATAAAAAGACAACGAACCCAATTAAAAATAGGCAAATTATCTGAATAGACATTTCTCTAAGATATACAAATGGTCAGTAACACCCACGAAAAAATGCTCAACACCATTAGACACCAGAGAAATGCAGGTCAAAGCCACAATGACGTACCACCTCATGCCTGCTAGAGTGGCTGTAATCAAAAAGAATATAAGAGTTGGTGAGGCTGTAGAGAGACCAGAACCATCGGCCACTGTGCAAAAGAGTGTGGTCGTTCATCCTATGGGTGAACATCCAGTTACCACACAACCCAGCAATTCCACTCCCAGGTGCAGACCCAAGAGCAGACGCTGTCCACACAGAAACCTGTATAGGAATGTGTTTGTTTTTAAAATTTGTTTATTTTTGTTTTATTTCTTTATATGAGACGGAGTCTTGCTCTGTTGCCAGGCTGGAGTGCAGTGGCGCAATCTCGGCTCACTGCAACCTCTGCCTCATGGGTTCAAGCGATTCTCCTGCCTCAGCCTCCAGAGTAGCTGGGACTACAGGTGTACACCACCACGCCTGGCTGATTTTTGTTTTTTTTTGAGTCTTTTTTTTTTTTTTTTTTTGAGACAGAGTCTTGCTCTGTCACCCAGGCTGCAAGTGCAATGGCATGATCTCGGCTCACTGCAACCTCTGCCTCCCAGGTTCAAGCGATTCTCCTGCCTCAGCCTCCCGAGTAGCTGGGACTACAGGCATGCGCCACCACGCCTGGCTAATTTTGTATTTTTAGTAGAAACGGGGTTTCTCCATGCTGGTCAGGCTGGTCTCAAACTCCTGATCTCAGGTAATCCACCCGCCTCGGCCTCCCAAAGTGCTAGGATTACAGACGTGAGCCACCTCAGCCGACCTTGTTATTTATTGTTTTTTGTTTGTTTTTTTTTTTTTTTTGGAGACAGAGTCTCGCACTGTCACCAGGGCTGCAGTCTGGAGTGCAGTGGCACGATCTCGGCTCACTGCAACCTCTGCCTCCGCCTCCCGGATTCAAGCCATTCTCTTGGCTCAGCCTCCCTAGTAGCTGGGATTACAGGCGCCCGCCACCATGCCCAGCTAATTTTTGTATTTTTAGTAGAGACGGGGTTTCACCATGTTGGCCAGGCTGGCCTCGAAATCCTGACCTCGTGATTCGCCTGCCTCGGCCTCCCAAAGTGTTGGGATTACGGGCGTGAGCCACCGCGCCCAGCCCCGTTTTTTTTTTTAAAAGACAGAGTCTTGCTCTGTCGCCCAGGATGGAGTCCAGTGGCATGATCAACTCTGCAGCCTCAAACTCCTGAGCTCGAGTGATCCTCCTGCCTCAGCCTCCTGAGCAGCTGGGATTATAGGCGCCCGCAACCACGCCAGGCTCACACACACACACACACACACACACACACACACACACACAATCAACAAACAACAAAAACAAAACAACCCCCTGGTCCATACAATAGCACAGCTGAGCCTGGAAAGGCTGTTAGGTGAACGTCAGAACAGACCCCAAGGTATAGATTCCACCTACAGGGCAGGACAGGGGACTTTACAGGCAGTGCGTGGCTGCTGAGGGCGGGACGAGGACCGGATGGGGACCAGGAGGGTGACAGCTGAAGGGTACAGGGTTTCTTTTGAAGAGATGAAAATGTTCTGAAATTGGCTGTGGTGACGGCGGCGGGTTTGTCAATACACGCAGGACCCCTGAGGTGTACTTTTAAAATGGGTGAGTTGTATGGCAGGCGAGTAATATCTCAACAGAACTGTTGCCACAGAAGAAAAACCAAAACCCAAGCCCACGCTTCAACCGCGGGGCCGCTGCGGGAAAGGACAGCTCAGCGCGCTCCCCGCGCCCCATCCTGGGGCGGCTGCCACAGCTCCTGCCTCCCGTGAGCTTCCCTTGCGGGATCATCGTTGCCGCGCACCGGGTGCTCACTCCTGGGTCCGCCCGGGGTTCGCCCGGGGGCCCATTGCAGGCAGCCAGGGGCTGACCCGGGTCGCTCCGGAGCGCTGGGGCCAGGGGTGCGGATTCCCGGGGAGCGCGCCGGGTGGTCCCTGGTGATCCCGGGAAAGGCAGCCTCGCGCCCCGCGCAGCCGGGTCCAGCCGCAGCCAGGAAGGGCGGGGGGGCGGGGGTCGAGGGGCGGAGGGGGCAGCGGTCCCGGCCCCCGGAGCCGGTGGGGTTGCCATGACGACGCCCGTGCGCCGCCGCCTGCTTCCCGCGCCGCCGCCCCGGGAAGGGCTGGGCTGGGCTGGGCTGGGCTGGGCAGGGTTGGGCGGGGTCCGCGGGGCGCCCTTCCTTCCAGAAGCGTCTTTACCCGAGGTTGGGGGGGTGCGAGCCCCACTCCCGGGTGGGGAGCGGAGGCCAGGCGGGGATGTCTCGGGTCCCACGGTCCCTCCCGCAGGGCCTGGGGCAGCGCCGCTGAAACAACGAGAACGCCCACCCCCACCAACCCCGCCAGAGCCCCCGCAGAGCGCCTGGGGCCTCGGGAGGCGGCTGAGAAAGGCGCAGCTCAGGGTCACCGGAGAGAGGAAACTCCGCTCTCACAGCCCCGTGGCCATGTCCCTAGCAGCTCCGCTCGCAGCCAGCGAAAAGCAGCCAGATGTGCATCGACGAACAGCAAGGGCGGCACCGGGAGTATTACCCAGCAGGAAAAAGGGACAAGCGTTTGGCACGTGACAACTTCACAAGGACAAAGACTTTGTGCGGGGAGAAAGGCGCCAGAAAGGTGACCCATGGTCGGCTTCTGTTTTTGTGACATTCCCGGAAAAACACTATGGGTTGGAGGACAGATCAGTGGTCACCAGGGGCTGGTGGGGTTCGGGGGGAGGGGCAACCCTAAAGGGCTGGCGGGAGGGAGTTTCAGGGGTGATGGAAGGTTATGGTGTTGGTTACACGAGTCCACATGTGCTGAAATTACAGCAGTGTACGACGTAAAATCGAACTTCTGTTTTCCTGTGTGATCTTTTTTTTTTCAGATGGAGTCTTGTATTGTTGCCCAGGTTGGAGTGCAGTGGCGCGATCTCGGCTCACTGCAACCTCCGCTTCCTGGGTTCAAGCGATTCTCCTGCCTCAGCTTCCCGAGTAGCTGGGATTACAGACATGCGCCACCACGCCCGGCTAATTTTGTACTTTTAGTAGAGACGGGGTTTCTCCATGTTGGTCAGGCTGGTCTCAAACTCCTGACCTCAGGTGATTTGCCCGCCTCGGCCTCCCAAAGTACTGGGATTCCCAAAGTGCTGGGATTACAGGCGTGAACCACTGCACCCAGCCGTCCTGTATGATCATTTAAAAAAATCTATTAGCCTGGGCAACATAGTGAGACCCCATCTCTACAAAAAGTAACAAAAATTAGCTGGATTTGGTGGCACACACCTGTAGTCCCAGCTACTCAGGAGGCTGAGGTGGGAGGATCGCTTGAGCCCGAGTTCCAGGCTGCAGTGAGCCATAATCACACCACTGCACTCCAGCCTGGGCAAGTGAGACCCTGTCTTAAAAAAACAAACGAAAACCCAAACTATCAGTGCTGCTCCCAACATCTGTCTGCTGGCGGCCTGGAGTGGCTGCTGGATGCTGTCGAGTTGGATGGACCCTGTCTCTGCAGCTCAGCAAGTACTGGAGCTGCACTGTTCTCTCCAGGATGATGTAAAACAGGTCATGGTTTCACTTGGGGTTTAATTACCATGGTCATTCTGTTCAGTGTGGTTATTGCTCCTTCCACACTTTCTGCCATGGTTTGAATGTTTGTCCCCTCCAAAACCTGTTGAAATTTCATTGCCTTTTAACAGTATCGAGTGGGACCTTCAGAGGGTGGTTAGGCCATGAAGGCTGCGCCCTAACGGCTGGGATTGGTTATAAAAGGGTGGGGTGGCTCCCCTCCTGCCTTCCACCATGTGATGACGCAGCTGGACGGCCCTCGCCAGATGCTGGCACCTGTCCAGTACCGTGAGCCAGTTGATTGTTCATTATAAATTACCCAGTCTCAAGCACTCTGTGACAGCAGCACAAAACGGACAGAGTTCCTAAAGTTGAGTCCCTCAGAGACCATCAAGAGTCAATAGGTGCAGACAGTTTACAGGCTGGGGACAGAAGTGGACTCAGCTGGAAGAGACCCCCAAGGCCAAACCCCCAATATTGCATGTATGAAGAAACCAGGACCCAAAGGATTCTGCGGCCAAGTCAGACACCAGTTGGGACCTGAGTTTGGAGCAAACCATCCTCCCTCCCCCGAGTACCTGCTCTGCGCAGGAGCTGGCAGAGCGCAGGCACACAGGGGTCAGGGGCCCCATCCCGTCCAGGATGGACCCGCCATTCTGTCCCACGCATTTCTTTTTTGAAAGAGTCTCGCTCTGTTGCCAGGCTGGAGTGCAGTGGCATGATCTCTGCTCACTGTAACCTCCGCCTCCCAGGTTCAAGCGATTCTCCTGCCTCAGCCTCCCGAGTAGCTGGGACTACAGGTGCGTTCCACCATGCCCAGCTAATTTTTGTATTTTTAGTAGAGACGGGGTTTCGTCAAGTTGGCCAGGATGGTCTCAATCTCTTGACATCATGATCCGCCCGCCTCGGCCTCCCAAAGTGCTGGGATTACAGGCGTGAGCCACCGCGCCCATTCCATCCCACACATTTCTGACTGCCACACTGCCTGCCCCGTGGCAAGTGTGCCTTCCAGCGAAGTGTCTGCAGCCTCTGAAAATGAGGGCACCACTTCCACACTATGCCCCATTCCCTCCCTGGGAAGTCCTCTGTGGCTGGCAGGCTCCAACACCCTTCAAAGCTGCTGATTATGTATGGCTCTTCCTTTATGCCCCTCCTCCACTCTGAGCCACCCTTTGTGTGGCCCCCTACTCTGTGTCCCTGCCCTCTGCAGCCTCTCCTCCTCCAAGTCCTCCCGCCGGCCCCCAGGCATCTCTGGCAGGACACCAGCTCCGCCCTGAGGTTCCACACCTAATTTTGACTTGTGATTGTCATGCTCCTGTGTCCCCAACCTAGATTAGGAGATCAGGTTGGTCAGGCTCCGGCCAGCACTGGGCTCTGTACCTTGCTGGCAGGAGGGGCTGCCACCAGCCCGACATAACCAGGAGCCGGCCAGCCAGGACACACCAATGCCAGAGTTGGGAATCAGCTCAAGGTCACTCTGGGTTGTCCGGGCAGACTCTTGCGAGGTCCAGGGAGGAACACTGGTACACAGAACACGGCTGAGTAGTAGTCAGGCTCTAACTTCTTGGATAGTCAGAGGGAACGTGGACCCCACCCCACTCCTGGCTGTGCTGTAGCAGGGATGGATGGTTATTGGCGTTCCCTGGATGGCCTCCTGGGCCCTGACCAGGAACTTGGCACAAGGGGGAGGGCACTGTGGACAGCTGCTCCGGTTGGGGCTGAGAGCAAAGTCCTGCCACAAAATGCCGCCAGAACACCCGGCCTCTCTTGGCAAAAGCCCCTGGGTTCTAATGGAGGCAGAGGGAAAGGAGGGACCTGCCCCACAGGCAGGGTGTGTAAAGGCTGTGACTGAGGCCTGGGACTGACAGTAGCCAGGGCCCCTCCAGCCACACCTGCAGCTTCCCAACGCAGGCTCCTGGCACCCTGCGTGCAGTTTGGGACCCAGAGCCGGTGCTCCACAGGCCTGGGACGCACTGCTGCAGGGAGCAGGTCATGGGGCTGGAGCCTCATCACGAGGTGCCCTCCAGGCTGCCTGGCAGTCCTGGGGACAGACAGGGGGAGCGCCAGCCAACTAGTTTTCTGCAGAATCCCTGCAAGGGTGGTTGGAAGACCCCCTCAACCCCAGCTGACACGTGCACCGCAGGAGAGCTGCCGCCACGGGGAGAAACAAGACTTTCCCCCAAACCCAGGTCTTCAGCTTCTTCAGTCCTGAGACCCGGCAGTGCAGGGCCAGCACCCCCATGCCCACCGGTGCGGGGTGTGGAGCCACCCCTTGGGGGTCACCTGCCCATCGTGTTCCCTGCACATCAAGATTCCCGCCTGGGCACCAGGACCCCAAACCCACCACCCTCTGGGCCCAGGATTACACACAGCCACGCGAGGGAGACAGCCTGCCAGCCTGCTCAGAGCAGCACCCTGGCCCCCATGGAGGGCAGCTGCCCAGAGGTGGCCGTCAGGGCCCAGAGCTTCCATCTCACGTGTGCAGAGCCCAGGCCTGGCCGGACTGGGCAGGAGCCCTCCAGTGAGCGTCCCCATGCTGGTCAAGGGGCTGGGCTTTGGTCAGGGTCACCGTGGGGGAGGGGCCGCACACAACCCACCCACGCTCCCACAGA
The DNA here is from genome assembly GCF_000001405.40 of Homo sapiens. Lineage (NCBI taxonomy): Eukaryota > Metazoa > Chordata > Mammalia > Primates > Hominidae > Homo > Homo sapiens. Next base: position 81,000,178 of record NC_000017.11, on the reverse strand, counting down.
GGGAGCCACGCCTAGGTGCCCACTGCGCCCAAGTCCACGAGGCAGTGGGCGTGCAGGGCCAACTTTAATACGGGCCGGCCTGTCTGGGGGTCGAGGTGGCCGCTCCCTTTGTCCTTGTGGCTTTCCACGGGCAGGGGCGGTCCCAGCGAGATCGTCTCATAACCAAACCAGCCCTGTGCACGAGAAGTCACGCCATGCCCCACAGCCTCCAGTCCTGGCTGCTGGTGGCTCGGGGACCCGCAGGGCAGGAGGGTCCCGGGTCTCGCAGTTCCATGAGCCCCAGCCGCGGGGACCCCCATGGACAAACTTCCGGGGCTGCACCTGCCGGAGCAGCGTCTCCCAAGCATCGGAGGTCCTTTCTCAGCAGGGCTGAGCCCTAGTGGACAGAGCCGTGAGTGGCAAGGCGGGAGTCAGGGCTCTCGGAGTCGTCAATTCAGCAAGAAAGCCCCTGGCCCGCCACCTTCAAACTGGAGGTGGGTGTCTAGGGTGCGGAGGCAGAGGCACAGAGAGGTTCAGCACATGCTGGTCTCCTGGGGATCCCCCCACCAGCAGGGAAGCTGAGGTGCGCCGGGAAGCCAGGCCAAGGGAGGGACCCCTTAACGGAAGCCTGCACCAGCTAATGGGAGCAGCGAGGAGCAAGAGGAAGCGCGGGGACCCCAAGGTCTGGAGGTGTCTTCCTCACAGACGAGCGCGAGCCACGCGGGGCTGGGACTGCAGGGGAACAGCACCAGAGGCGTTGGGCCTGGGCCTCGGCCACCGGGGGAGCCCACAACCGGCAGAAGCTGGGCTCGGTCGAGAGTTAATCCGGACTGAGAGCAGGCCAGTGGCGCCTGAGTGCGTTCAGGCTCAAGGTCTCCAGGAGACGCTCTGGAGTCCTCCTGCAATGCGCCTGCGTGGCTGCAGCTCTGCTCAGCACCGTGCGCACTGGGCTCCAGGGAACCCGGTCAGGGGCTGGCCGTGACCCAAACTCTCTGTGGGCCACAGTCCCTGGGGCATCCCCGTGAGTCCCACAAGACGAGGCCACGTTACGAAGCTGCCACCAGCTCCGCCTGCCTGGGCCTGGCCTTGACAGGGACGTTTTCTGTGGAGGAAACAGAGATGTTTATGACACGCCAAAGACCCACAGGCAGAGACCTCCAGAGAGGGACGAGGCCACAGGGGTGGCAAGGGCCAGTTCCGGGGACTTCGCACTAGGGAAGGGCACGCCCAGCTCTGGGGGAGGCAAGTGACAAACAGGAAGCCAATGGGGCTGACAGACAGGGCCAGGGACACGGGACAGTGGGCCAGGAAAGCACAGCCCCTCCCAGCGGGACTCAGAGAGGAGAAGAGCCCCAAAGATGGGTAAAGGAACAGAACAAACGTGGATGGACGGTTCTAAAGTCAGCTTCCCAGTGGGCAGGTTGGAGAGCCTGTGCTGAATGGTGCCACGGGGAGAGCCATCCCTGGCTGAGGGCTAATCCTGGGCTACACCCTGGGAATGAGCTGGTGCTGCTAAAGAAGCCTTTCCCCAGTTCTGATTTCTGAATGTGTCTCTTTGAATGGGGTATGGCTCTCTTATGAGGTTGCCCAGTTACCGAACCCCTGGGAAACCCAAGCCCAACCCCAAGGCCAGGCACGCACGCCCCCAAGCCAAACAGCCAGGCAGCAGGGCTTGCCCACGGCCCAGGAAGGCCTGGGAGCATTCTGTCTTGTTCCCTTCTAGAATCCACTTTTCTCCTGCGAATTCCAACCATTCAAAAGAATCAAACATGGAAATACCTGGGATCTTCTCAGGAAGGGGCTCGGAGGGAACCTCTGGCAGCTCTATTTGTTCCTGCAAGAAGCAAAGGGTAAGGCTATGAGCAGGTGACAGGTCTGCCCCGGGCTGCCTGGGCCTCCCCGAGAGGACACGGATCCTGTCCGTCAGCCGCTCTCAGCCGGAGTTAAAGCGGACAGGAACGTGCTGCTCAGAAGACCCAAGTCTGCAACCGCCCCGGCTTCTGGTGCCACCAGAATCCCCTAGGTGGTGACGCAGCCGCTACCATGGAGGCTCCTCCCAACAGACCCTGGGGCGCTGAGGGGCTGTAAGGAGGCGACGTCCTGGGTGTGCCCCAGAGACCCTGGCTCTCAGGGACCGAGGGGTGGGTGACACAGACACCCAGGTCACGCTGGTGTCCACCACTGCGGGGTGGGCTGCGGTACAACGCTGTCCCAGCGAGCTTGGCTGCCTAAGCCAGCACGGGTGCTTCTGCCTCTCAGCTGGCCTTCCCTGGAGGCCCCGGAGGACTCGGACCCTCAGGAGAAAGTAACTGGACAAGCAAGTGGGTGCAGGCACCATGGGCCGCACAGCACCAGGGCGCCGGGGCAGCTGGCAGCAGGGCTGGGGCAGAGGCCGGCTCTGGGGGCACCATGAGAATTTGGCGGACTGAGGCAGGGGCCCACAGAGAGGACAACCCCTGTGTCGGGGAGTGAATACAGACTCAGAGCCTGGATGTGAGCCTGGGGCCAGGACGCGGCCCCCGCAGCGAGGGCCTATGTGGGACGTGAGTCAGCAGCCACGGCTGGGGAAAGCCAGCACCACATCCGTGACAGCCGGGGACAGAAAGGGGCCGAGGCGCCAGGAAGGCCCAGCACCCCCGCTCTGTCCAGGGCACGGGGCCAGCCTGCCTGCACCAGACCGTTGGGTGAGCAACCCTGAAAACAGAGTCACCTCAGGTAGGAAAACCAGTCACAAACCGCAGACTATTTACTTAAAGGACACCACATACGAGATCACCATGGGCAGGGCCTCCTGGGGGTCTGAGCTCTGGGGGTCCCGCTGCCTGAGTGACTGTGCTCAGTCCCGGGGGGGCCGTTACCTGAGTGATTGCGCTCAGCTCCTCCAGGATGGCGTCTTCATCCTCCTGAGTGAAGCTTCCTGCCAGGAGCTCGTCTATTTGCTGCAAAAGGACAGGCGGTGGTGAGAGCAGCGAGGAGGTGGCCCCTCAGGGAGGAAGGAGATGGCCTGTGGCTGGGTCTCGTCCCCTTGAGAGAAGGCGGCCGCTCTAGGATGTGGGACAGTTTGGCCCTCGAGGGTGGCCTTGTGGGTTCTCACAGTTGGGGGCAGGCCGGTCAGGGTGCCACCTACCCGCTGGTACTCCACGGCCTCCTGCGTCTCGTCCAGGATCCTCTCCACCTCTTCAATGGACATCACCTGTGGACGAGGGTGATGGGTGTTGACCCCTGTCGCGAGGCCAATGGTAGACCCCCGACAGAGGCCTCCTGGGCTCTCAGGGCCATGGCCTCACCCCTCTGTTTATTTTTATTTATTTTTAAAGACAAGGTCTGGCTGTGTTGCCCAGGCTGGGCTCAAGCGATCCGTCCAAGTAGCTGGGACTACAGGTGCATGCCACCACACCCAGCTCCTGTCCCTGTTTAAATGAGGCCAGGACATGTGTGTCCCAGGCATGGGCCTGTCCTGAGGCCACAGGGGCCGTTTGATGAGTCTTTTCAGAGGCCACGACTGCACTGCCCTGGCGCCCGATGCCCCCTCTCACCCTGAGTCAGCTCTCACAGCCGCCAGTAAAAACAAGCAACAGGTAGAACATTCTGGGCAGGTGACTTGATTTCTTTTGAGTGGCAAAAGGTCAAAGGGCCACTTGTGCTTGACCGGCACACACCACCAGTACTCACCAAACACTTGGAAAAGTAGCACAGCCAGACCTCCCGCCAGGTGAGTCCCTGGCTCTCCAACTAGCCCCACCTACTGGCCCCCATGTCAGGAGTGTGATGGGGTTGGTGGGGGAACGTGGTATGGCCACGCTGGGCTTCACATCCATGCCCGGCCTGAGATGAGGCCGGTATTCACCTCCTCCAGGAAGCCTTCTTTTTTTTTTTTCCTGAGACGGAGTTTTGCTCTTATCATCCAGGCTGGAGTGCAGTGGCGCAATCTCATCTCACTGCAACCTCTGCCTCCCGGTTCAAGAGATTCTCCTGCCTCAGCCTCTTGAGTAGCTGGGTTTACAGGTGCCTGCCACCACGCCTGGCTCATTTTTGTATTATTAGTAGAGACAGGGTTTCACCATGTTGGCCAGGCTGGTCTCGAACTCCTGACCTCAGGTGATCTGCCTGCCTTGGCCTCCAAAAGTGATTACAGGTGTGAGCCACCACACCCGCCACCTCCAGGAAGCCTTCTGTGATTAGTTTGCCAGCCCCCTCCCCACCCTCAGACTTCCCTTCTATGTCACTTCGGCGCCTGGGGACCCAGTTCCCACAGTTCCCAGCCTGTGCTGCACCCGGTCACTGCATCCCTGCCTGCCTGGCAGCACCCAACACATCTCCCCTGCCAGCCTCTTGCCCTGTGTCTGACACGAACACCGTGGGACAAGCCCCCCGCCCTATCCCCAGCTCCAGCCCAATGGGCTCCCCACACCTCCATGCCCCTGGCCCTGCAGAGACTCACCTGGTGCATCTTGTTCAGACACTCATTTCCAAACTGCAGCCCCTCCATCACTTTCATTTCGATCTGGGTGAACTCAATACTCTGAACCTGAAAAGGAAACCAGAGCAGACGCAGGTGCTGAGGATCCGGGGTGCCCTCCTCCCGGCCCTGGGGCAGGGTTCAGGATGACACCCTTGCTGGGCGGGTGCTGCTGGGCGTGAGGGTGACTCCTGACACCTGCTCCTCCCTGTCCTCTCCCACTGCCAGGTGGGGATGCGCAGGACTGAGCAGGTGCCAGGGACACACTCAGGGGACCGCTGGTTGCTTGTTAGTAGCTCTGGTTACCAAAGAGCAGAACCACGCCGCTCGGGTCCCTAACACCAGGGACACTCAGTCCCCATGCAGACCCCTGACCTACCCACACCACCCAGGGGTGGCCCAACCTTCCCCACCTCAGTCCTGCGAGAGCCAACCTGCCCCCCAGCCTCTTAAGACCATTAGCTTCCTGGCAGACTCCCCGGGATTCCAGGCCCGCCCCTCTTCAGGTCAGCTTCAGCCCGAGGCATCTGAGAGGAGCTTTCAGCTCTCGGGAGAAATTTCTGATGTCCACGCAGCCGGGCGGAGCTGCCTCCAGCTGCACCTGCACTCCAGGGCGAAGCACCCGGCCGCCTACCATGGCCTCCAGGCTGCTGATCTGGTTCTCCGTCCTGTCCAGGAGCTGCTCCTGGTATCGCTTCTTCTTGAGCAGCAGCTTGGCCCGTCTGCAGAGGGAAGCCCGAGAGTGACCCGCTGTGGCCCTGCCTGGGCCCCCCACCCCAGCCGACAGGGTGCCCACGCTGCCCGGGCCCCCCACCCCAGCCGACAGGGTGCCCACGCTGCCCGGGCCCCCCACCCCAGCCGACAGGGTGCCCACGCTGCCCGGGCCCCCCACCCCAGCCGACAGGGTGCCCACGCTGCCCGGGCCCCCCACCCCAGCCGACAGGGTGCCCACGCTGCCCGGGCCCCCCACCCCAGCCGACAGGGTGCCCACGCTGCCCGGGCCCCCCACCCCAGCCGACAGGGTGCCCACGCTGCCCGGGCCCCACTCACTCCTTCCTGCCGTCCCGCAGCAGCTGCCGGGCCAGGGCGCGCTCGCGCTCCAGCTGCTGGGCGATCCTCTTCTGGTACTGCCTCAGCTTGTCCCGCTGCTGCTTCAGTTGCTGCCAAGAGAGAGAGGGCCTGGCGTCACCGAGCCCACACTGGGAGCCCTGGCCACGCTACTGAGCGCCAGGCATGGAGGCCGGGCGGCCCTCCGTGAGTGTCCTTCATGGGGCAGGGTTGCCTTCCAGGGGACAGGTGGTGCTGTCTGGACACGTCTGGGGGTGGAAGCCAGGGACTCAGCTCCACATCCTGCCACACAAGAGGCGGCCCCACCAGAGGGTCACCCGGACTCCACAGCCCATCACAGGGATGGGGAAGACCACCGTGGCATTGCTGTGGGTCCACCCTCGAGGCTGCCTGCCAGCGGTACAAGCACTCTAGGCTCAGGTCAGGGAGCAGCTGCCAGGACCTCAAAGGTTTGGACTCGGCTGGGCGCAGTGGCTCACGCCTGTAATCCCAGCACTTTGGGAGGCCGAGGCGGGCGGAGCACGAGGTCAGGAGATCGAGACCATCCTGGCTAACATGGTGAAACCCCGTCTCTACTAAAAATACATAAAAATATTAGCCGGGTGTGGTGGCGGTGCCTGTAGTCCCAGCTACCTGGGAGGCTGAGGCAGGAGAACAGCGTGAACCCGGGAGGCAGAGCTTGCAGTGAGCCGAGAGTATGCCACTGTGTTCCAGCCTGGGTGACAGAGTGAGACTCCATCTCAAAAAAAAAAAGTTCCGACTCAAGAACATGCAGGTGGCGAGTACCCAAGTGCCACCAGCCACACGGCCAGGACAGGGCTCAGACATCCCCCCGGCTTCTCTCCTTGCGCTTCAGCCGCATGAGATGCCTGTGGCTTCCCTGCCCCTTTGCCAACCATCCGGCTGCAGGGACACCCACTCGGCCCCGCTGACCGCCTCTCATCTGTGTGCCGTCCCAGAGAGGGCACTCGGCCACTGAGGAACTTCAGCCAGTCCTGCTCTATCAGGTCCTTAAGTTTTCCAAACGTCATCACTTCAGACAATGCTGAGCCCGTGCAGGCACAGGGATTATGGCCTTAAGGCAGGAGGCTGAGGAGAATTAGCTCAGTCAGGGCCTGTGTGCCTCTTTAAGACTCCGCATGGGAAGCCAGTGCTCCCTCTACCTGAGAGGGCTCATTCCCGGTTCCCTCCACCCACGGAGTCTCCCCCTCGCCGTGCCAAGGCCTGTGGGTCCTCTCGTTGCTACAGTGAAAGGTGCCCCCTGCCCAGCCCCACTGCTGGGGAGACCCAGGGGCCAAAGGCAGGCAGGTGTGGCCAGGCTGCCCCCCTGTAAAACAAGGTCTCAGTGGAGGGTCACAGGCCACGTGGGGAACACCTGTTATCCTAGAAAAACAGAAAAAAAAAAGCAATCATTTGTGCTAGTGTGTGCTAAGGATGCTGTTCCCAAGCACCCAAAATCCCAGGGAGACCTACGGCAGCCCGCAACACGGGTCTGCACAGCCGAGAGCCCACAGTGACCCTTGGCAAGTGGAAAGCTGTGCTTGAAGAGAAACCGGAGCTGAGTCCTTAAAGAGAGGGGAGGGAGTGCCTTGGGGCTGGCAGGGTAGGTGGAAGGTGGACGATGGAGGCTGGGTCCAGCTGTCTTGCAGGCAGCTCGGGACGGTGCCCAGCGCTGTGCCCATCTTCTCTAGGGACAAATGTGCCCGTTGTTTCTTTTCACAGCTTATGGACTCAGATGCCAACGTAAGATTCCCTCTTTCATTTACATTCGCTTCTCTTTTAGTATAAAATTAACCTATTTCTGTTGCACAAAATTTAGAAAAGAAAGCATCCGAAAAAGCTAGCCCTGCTTTCATTTCGGGGTCTCTTTCGTGACACGTTTATCTCGTTACAAAAATGGACTATTCTTAACCCGCCCTGTCCCTGACATGCCAGGCGATTCCTCCTCCTACAGAAGCTAACTTTCACATGGGAAAAGGCACCACCACCGGCCCGGCTGTGCCCCGGGGGGTCAGTCTGGAGTCGCCGCAAACAAACGCGCCAAACACGGTGGTCCCGTACCCAGGCGCTGCGGAAGCCCGGCAGGACCCCGGCAGGACCCCGGCAGGCGTTCGGCGCACCTGTCGGCCGCTCCTCGGACCAGGGCAGACTTCCTTCCAGTCCTGGCCTGGATGGGGTGAGGGAGAGGGGATGCCCCGCGCTGCCTCGCGAAGCCGGCAGCACCGCCGGGGCTCCGGCCCAGGGCACCAGGAGGCAAATGAGCCGCGGGACGGGGGCGGGGGCAGCGACTCCGGGAGAGCCGGGACCTGCTCCCGCGGGCCCAGAGCCAGGGAAAGCCCAGCGCCGCGCGGACCCCACGGACGGGCCGCCAGGCTGTGGCCGAGCCCCGAACGCCGGCGTCGAATCCCGCAGTCACCAGCCGCGCCCACCCCGGCGGGGCTCGCAGAGGCGGACGCGCGGGCCCCGGGGAAGACGGCAGCCACGGCGCCGCGCAGGAGACCCCGGCCCGAGGCCCCGCGGGCGAGGAGGGACGCAGGGCGGAGAGACCGAGGGGCCCGGCTGCGCGCTGCGCCTCAGTTTCCCCATCCGAACGCGGGGGGCCGAGGGCGCGGGGCTCTTCCGGCCCCGCCGCCCGCCCCGGCCCCGTCGCCTGTCCCGGCCCCAGCCCTGACCCCGGGCCCGGGCCCTCACCAGGATGGCCTTGTCCTGCTCCGTGACGCGGCTCTGCTTCTTGCGGCCGAACAGGTTACCCATGGCGGCGCCCGCCCCTGGCCCGGGACCCACCAAGTCCAATCGCCACCGCCGCCCCGCGGCCACCGTAGCTCGGGTCCTCCCGCTACGGCGGCCGCGCCGGGCCAGGCGCCGCGGAACGCGAAGGCCGAGCGCCGCCTCCGGCCGCGCGCCGTTGCCGCGGGTTCGAAACCACAGCCCGCCGGTCTCGGCGACCGCCGCGAACACCGCGGCCTCCTTGGACCGGTACGGAGAAGTGGCACGGATACCTGGATGTTAGGGCCCGCGATGTTCGGGCCCGGGATGTTCTAAATGACGTGTTTCCGTGCACCCTTCCTGTGCAGGTGAAGGCAAAAATTTCTTATCTCCTAATTAGGTGGGATCCTTTTAGATTAACATAATTCAGTCTCCCCAGGCTTTCAGGAATCTTGTGCAGGAATCACTGTCCCACTGGCTCTGAACACAAAATGCCGCATTAATGATGTGATATCCAACGTTTTGCACTTTTTTTTTTTTTTTTTTTTTTAGATGGAGTCCTGCTCTGTCGCCCAGGGTGGAGTGCAGGGGCGCTATCTCGGCTCACTACAAACTCTGCCTCCCGGGTTCAAGTGATTTTCCTGCTTCAGCCTCCTGAGTAGCTGGGACTACAGGTGCCTGCTGCCACACCCGGCTAATGTTTGTTAGTAGAGACGGGGTTTCACCATATTGGCCAGGCTGGCCTTGAGCTCCTGACCTTCTGATCCACCCACCTCGGGCTCCCAAAGTGCTGGGATGACAGGCGTGAGCCGCCGCACCCGGCCCGCTTTGCACTTTAAAATGTTCCCTGAAATGCGACCAGCAGCGCCCTCCACCCAGCCTTTCAGCCCTGGGATCTTCCCTCTTCCACTGCGCTGCTCCCTGTCTGTAGATCAGTGCCAGGAGGAGACCAGCATGGCTGGGCTCAGCTTCTCCTTCCAAGGAATCGTGGCTGCGTCCCCCACAGAAGCATTCTTCCCTGGGGGGCTAAGAAACACATGAATGGGGATAAAGGGTAAAAGGGAGAAGCCACCCCGGTTCCCGCCTGAGTATCCTGACTGTGGTTCCTGAGCATTCACTAAGTGTCAAAGAAAAGCACTCAGCTGAGGATGGCTTGAGGCCAGGAGTTCAAGACCAGCCTGGCAACATAGCAAGACCCCCGTCTCTACAAAAAATATAACAAATAACATCAAAAGGAGAATAATTATCACCTGTTCCAAACCTCTGGACTCCAGAACCTTCACTGAGGTGAGGGGGCCCCTGAATTTTTGTGGGGTTCATCTCCCACCCTCTGATTTGTCTCACCAAGACATCTGAAGTACTTTTTTCCTTGGTGTCCATGGGGACGTTGAGGAAAAAAAAAAAAAAGACTTGCTACTCCCTGCTCCTCATGAAGGGGGAAGGAAGAGCTGGGTAGAGGAAGGCGTGATCCTTGGCTAGGGATCCCCCCACCGCCTGTGCCCACAAACCTAGGTGAGGACAGGGATTTTTGTTTTCCTGCCCAAATGTTGCATTTCCAAAGACCACCCTGGCCTGCCACGCCCCCATCCTGTCCCTATAAAATCCCCGAGACTCTAGCAGACTCCATCTGGCCAGGTGTGGTGGCTCACGCCTGTAATACCAGCACTTTGGGAGGCTGAGGTGGGTGGATCACCTGAGGTCAGGAGTTCGACATCAGCCTGGCCTCACATAGTGGACCGTGTCTCTACAAAACTACAAAAGTTAGTGGGGCATGGTGGCATGCACCTGTAATCGCAGCTACTTGGGAGGCTGAGGCAGGAGAATCGCTTGAACTTGGGAGGTGGAGGTTGCAGTGAGCTGAGATCACACCACTGTACTCCAGCCTGGGCGACAGTGTGATACTCTGTCTCCAAAAAAAGAAAAAGAAAAAGAAAAGGAATTGGAATCCATTTGATGCCAGTGTCTTGTCATTCCTGAGACGCTTGAGTATTTCCCTCCCTCTGTTACACAGTTACTTTGGTAAACAGGTACAGGTCCCTTTGGGGGACTCTTCCCGTGGCTTTGCTGCTGTATTCCTTGCAGCAATGCTTCAGGGGTCTCCCTCAAGGAACCTGGCCCCCAACTCAAGGGCTCCAGGTCTGTGAATTGGCTCAGCCTGGAAACAGGTGAGAGGCCGTGGCTGTCCACTGTGGTGACTCAAGTCAGGTTTGGCCACCAGACCCAGAGTTTTGTTTCTGTTGTGTAAGACAAACAGCACTCTGGTCTGCCAACCCTTTGTTTCACCCTGGGCACTGTGATTCGCCGGAGGACCCTGCAGGCCACGGCATCCCGAGCGCCAGTTCCTTCTGCCGCCGCTGGCACACACAGCCCGCGTGGGACTTGACGGCGGCGGTTGCCCCCTGTCCTGCTGCTGCTCTGGGATGTGTCACCCCATGGAGATCAAGGAGCGCATCTCTGCCGGGGCACCCCTCTCCCCGCGGTCACACTTGGCCTACGAAGGAGAGCAGTAGCAGGACTTTTCAGGGTGCAGGGGCTCCCCTCGCCCGGGTGTTCCTCACGTCCGGGAAGGTGGTGCTTCTGAGCCTGCAGGGCGTGGCTGGGTGTGGGCGTGCAGGTCACACTCACGGACTGCCTGTCCGTGGACCTTCGGATTCTCTCCTCCACAGCAGGCCATGGAGGGTCTGGGGTCTTGGGTTCGTGACCTGCGGGCCTCTGGGTCTGAGCTTCAGCCGTCGCGCGAGGGAGCGCTTAGCTGTGGCTGCAGCTGCAGACCCGGCAGAGCGATCAAGGCCCCCAGATCAGGGACTTCAGCCCCCTCTAGTGTTCCGATTCGGTGTTCCCGGTCCAACCCCCCCGAATCCACTCCCGCAGGTTCTCCCCAGGTTCCCCGCGATATCTATCTGAAATATCTCTGAATTCTTGTAGCATGTAAGCCAGGGTTTGCCAAACTACAGCCTGCGGGCCACATCCGGCCTGGAATCTATTTTTTTGTACAGCCTTTGAGTTAAGAGTGGATTTTACATTTCTTAAGGATTGTAAAACACACACACACACACACACACACACACACACACACACACACCGAAAAGGAGGAGGAATGGAGGAGGGAGAAGGAGAAGAGCAAGAGCAAGGTGGCCAGAGGCCGTATGTGGCTCACGGAGCCTGATATTTACTGTTTGATTTTTTATTTTTATTTTTTTTTGAGACAGAGTCTCACTTTGTCACCCAGGCTGGAATGCAGTGGTGTGATCTCAGCTCACTGCAGCCTCTGCCTCCCAGGTTCAAGCGATTCTCCTGCCTCAGCCTCCTGAGTAGCTGGTACTACAGGCAGCTGCCACCGCGCCCAGCTAATTTTTTTTTGTATTTTTGGTAGAGAAGGAGTTTCACCAAGTTGACCAGGCTGATCACAAACTCCTGACCTCAGGTAATCCACCCACCTCGGCCTCCCAAAGTGCTGGGATTACAAGCGTGAGCCACCGTGCCTGGGTGCTGTTTGTTCTCTTACAGAAAAAATTCCCAAGTCCCAGCATGAGCTGTTGTCTTCTGTGTCACGCTGTCCCGGATCCCTAAGATCTGATGCTAATTGTAGGCAACAGGAGGTGGCTGTGCTGGCTTGGGGAGGACGGCAACCTCTCACAAGGGTCTTAACGGTGGGCTCTTGAGGGTTTTCAAACTCAGGAGCACCAGCAACCTCAGCCACCACCACTCCCACTGGCAAGGGAGCCTCGGGGCACCCTGGCAGGAGCCGACTGTGAGCTCCACGGGGTTCCGGGCGCTGCCTCCACTCTGGGTCAGGGGTGCTGTCCTGTCAGCATTCTGCCTCTCAAGTGAGGACACGGGCAAGGCTGTGCGCTCAGCTGACCCTGTGATCAGGTGACACGCGGGACTGAACATTGTGTTTGATTTCCAGCAATGTCAGCCCCGTAGGGACCACAAACAGCAGCTCCTGTGAGGGCTGCCACGAACATTCTCTGCCTCTCAGCTGACCCGAGGCCTGGGAGGAGCTGCTCCTGCCAGCCATCTGATTGCTGTGAACGCCCAGTGTGTGGAGCAGGAACCCCCAGTCCACAGTCCTGGGGTGTCCTTGCTGTTCTGCTCTGAAGGGCAGCAGCCGCTTGGGCACCCCGGCACCAGTCTCACCCAGCCCTTTTTTTTACCCAACCAGAGGCCACAGCAAATCCACTGCAAAGTGGGGCCCAGCACCCCGTTTCCCATTGGCAGGAAACTCAGCCAGGCATTCACACCCTAGGGACGATGCAAACAGTCCCCAAATGCCCTCCTGGGACCTCTCCTTGTGCTAACTCTGTACCATTAGGTTCCAGGCAGGAGACAGAAACCACACCAGTAATTTGAACAGGAACATTTAATATAAAGAATTATAAACTAGAAAAGGAGGTTTCACTATTAAAAGGTTACAAGAGAACTCTGAGGAATACAGGAATAGCAGTGCCAGAAGCAGCGTGTGTTTCTAGGACAGACAGGGAGCACACGAGGAGAAACCAAGAACCTGGAAGAACATCCCAACTCAAGGCTGGGCCTGGCTCTGCTGGACCCTGCAGGCTGCCCCTGCCCGCAGTGGAGGAAGTTGCCCTGGGCTCTGCTGGACCCTGCAGGCTTCCCCTGCCCGCGGTGGAGGAAGTTGCCCTGGGCTCTGCTGGACCCTGCAGGCTGTCCCTGCCCGTGGTGGAGGAAGTTACTGCAGGGTGAGAGCCTAGCCGTCCGTGGGGAGCCTGCCAGTTGGCCGAGAAACTCACTGAGGGGTGCATCTGGGCCAGAGCTTTTCTAACAGGAACTCCTGCCAGGTGCTTGAGAATCTTGCTGGGGAGCACGACAGACGGGGGGTGTCTGCGAGAAGCAGCCCATGGGTGGCAGAGACTCACGGAGGAGTCACCCGCACACGGAGCCACTGGCAGCTGCAGCAAGGAAGGGGTCAGACAGGGAGGCCCCATTCTCTGCCAGGCCTCGCTGCAACCTCCAGCTCCCTCTCCCGTCAAAGCCTCAGGCTGAGCTGGCCAGAAGAGGAGAAACGTTTACAGGGTCCAGCTCCACCAGCACAAACAGGCCTAGGAAGGGTGGATTTGGAGCTGAGGGGTGACAGTGGCACACCGCTGAGCCTTTAATTATGGCGGCAGTGGTGCCATGTCACTTCTGAGACCAGGTGACAAAAGATGACACAAGGCTGGGTGTGGTGGTTCACACCTGTAATCCCAGCACTTTGGGAGGCTGAGGTGGGAGGATTATTTGAGCTCAGGAGTTCAAGACCAGCCTGGGCAACCCAGTGAGACCCCATCTCTATTTAAAAAAAAAAAAAAAAAAAAAAAGATGGCCAGGCATGGTGGCTCACACCTATAATCCCAGCACTTTAGGAGGCTGAGGCGGGCAGATCACTCAAGGTCAGGAGTTTGAGACCATCCTGGCAAACATGGTGAAACGCTGTCTCTACTAAAAATACAAAAATTAGCTAACGTGGTGGTGCACACCTGTAGTCCCAGCTACTTGGGAGGCTGAGGCAGGAGAATTGCTTGAACCTGGGAGGCGGAGGTTGCAGTGAGTTGAGATCATGCCACTGCACTCCAGCCTGGATGACAGTGTGAGACTCCATCTCAAAAAACTAAACTAAACTAAACTAAAATAAGACACAGTGTCTACCTGGTGTCTCCTGGACTCTCGTTCTTGGAACTCAGCCACCAAGTCAGGAGGAGCCAAGCAGCCCCTGGGAGGAACCGCCCACTGACACCACCTGGCCAGCCATGGGATGAGCCTTCTTAGAAGGGAAATGTTCTAGTCCCCTCATCCGCTGAGCCACCCCAGCTGATGTCACACGGAGCAGAGACGAGCCTTCTCTGGTGTACTTTGCCTAAATCACAGATTTGTGAGCAAAATACGTGTTTGTTATTGTTTTAAGCCACTGAGTTTTGGGGTGATTTGTTACTCAGCAAAAGATGACCAGAGCAATGGTTGTAGGTGCTTAGAGAAGGCAGCAGGGAGACTTGAAGGTGTTGGTGTCTGCCCTTCCACGGAGAGGCATGTTCTCCCCTTTATTTGGGGGCCCAGTCCTGGGACTGGTCAGGCCGGGGAACTGGTGAGGGATCGCCACTCTCCATTAAGGTATTTCATGGCAGATCTGGTTTTTTTCTTTTTTCTTTTTCTTTTTTTTTTTTTTGTGAGACAGTCTCACTCTGTCACCCAGGCTGGAGTGCAGTGGCGTGATCTTGGCTCACTGCAGCCTCCGCCTCCCAGGTTCAAGTGATTCTCATGCCTCAGCTTCCCGAGTACCTGGGATTACAGGCATGAGCCGCCAGACCTGGGTAATTTTTTGTATTTTTAGTAGAGATGGGAGTCTCACCATGTTGGCCAGGCTGGTCTTGAACTCCTGACCTCAGGTGATCCACCCACCTTGGTCTCCGGAAGTGCGGGGATTACAGGCGTGAGCCCCTGCGCCTGGCCTAGATCTGGGTTTGTTTTTGTTATTGTATTTTTTTTTTTTTTTTGGAGACAGGGTCTCACTGTTGCCCAGGCTAGAGTGCAGTGGTGCCGTCACAGCTCACTGCAGCCTTGACCTCCTGGGCTCAGGTGATCCACCCCACTCAGCCTCCCGAGTAGCTGGGACCACAGGTGCACACAACCATGCTTGGCTAATCTGTGTATTTTTTGTAGAGATAGGGTTCTCATTATGTTGCCGAGGTGGGTCTCGAACTCCTGGGCTCAAGTGATCCTCAGTCCTTGTCCTCTCAAAGCGCTGGGATTATAGGCAAGAGCCACCGCGCCTGACCTGGTTTTTAAAAAAATGATCAATTTAAGCTTTCATAGACTGTCCATCTTTTTCAGTTCTGGGGATGCTTGACCCATTAGCCAAGGGCCCTGACCCCTGTGGCACTCTCTGCTCCCAGCTGGCCGCTCCTTCTGTCACCGAGCCTGTCCCATCTCAGACTCTCGGTCTTTGCCACTCCAGGGTCACGTGAGAGATCAGGGGACACAGTCTTGTTGGCGGCAGAGCTCAGAGCCTCCTTGTGGGCAAGTTGCAGGCCTTTGTAAGGAATGTTTTGGGGAGGTGATGAGGGACTCAGCCAATGGGTTGCATCTGACGAATCCATTTGGCATTCCTGGCTCTCTACGCTGCTGGATTCTTCTCTCTGTGCTCTACTGAGGAAATCCTGGAATCTCAGCTGGGCCACTGTTAAGTCCAGGTTTCTTTCTTTTTGAGACAGTCTCATTCTGTTGCCCAGGCTGGAGTGCAATGGCGTGATCTCGGCTCCCTGCAACCTCTGCCTCCAGGGTTCAAGCGATTCTCCGGCCTCAGCCTCCTGAGTAGCTGGGATTACAGGCGCCTGCCACCACGCCTGGCTAATTTTTTGTATTTTTAGTAGAGATGGGGTTTCACCATGTTGGCCAGGCTGGTCTCGAACTCCTGACCTCAGGTGATTCACTTGCCTTGGCCTCCCAAAATGCTGGGATTACAGGTGTGAGCCACCACGCCCGTCCAAGTCCAAGTTTCCAGCAACAAATAGAGCGAACAGCTCCAGTTTCTCACAGATACTCAGGCAGACAGTTGAGCTCAGAGTCCCTGGAGTGTGCAGCCGCCCTGACAGTGGGATCCACGCTCACCACTAGTCTCCAGCTTGAATTAGCAAAATCTTGATGATCTTGGGGTGTGGCAGGTTTTTATTCTTCTCCCTGGAGTCAGCTGGGATCTCACTCCAGCTATGGGGTTAGAGGCAACCAGGGGTGACGGGCCTGGGTCTCGAGGGGAATCAGCCTCCTGCCCCAGGCAGATGCTTCAGGTGAGGTCTCCCAGTGTGGGAGCTGCCTCAGATAGGGAGGAGGGTGGCTTCTGCCGGCAAGCAAGGCTGAGTGGGACTCCCTGGGCAGGGGATCAGGGTTACCCCTCAGGTCCTTCCATCCCCACTTCCCCCCGCTCTGCTCTAAGGTTCACACAGGTTACCTGGGGAGGCTGAGAATTTAATTTCCGTTGTAATCCTCCGAGCCGTAGGGTAAAACTTGGGAAATCATTTTCGGATGCCGTGGTCTTGCTACCAGAAGATTTTCTTCACTGTTCCTCCTTGTTTTCTGATTTTCTCCCTCTGACTTCAACTGAGACTGCAGGGCCCTTGTGTGTGATTTTAAAGATGTCATCCTTCCCCTGCTGTCGGAAATTGCCGGCCCGCCCCGGTCCTTGCAGTCAGCAGGGAGGATTCCTTCTGAGGCTCCGAGGGAGAATCCGGCCCATGTGTCCCCCGGCCCCTGGTGACTGTGGGCGGCGTCGGTGTCCCTTGGTTTGTAGAAACATCCCCCCGTCCTCTGCCTTCATCTTCCCGACGTGTTCTCTTGTGTTATGATTGTGTCCAAATGTTCCCCTCCTCCTTTTTTTTTTTTTTGAGATGGAGTCTCGCTCCGTCGCCCAGGCTAGAGGGCAGTGGTGCGATCTCGGCTCACTACAAGCTCTGCCTCCCGGGTTCACGCCATTCTTCTGCCTCAGCCTCCCGAGTAGCTGGGACTACAGGCGCCTGCCACCACGCCCGGCTAATTTTTTGTATTGTTAGTAGAGACAGGGTTTCACCATGTTAGCCAGGATGGTCTCGATCTCCTGACCTTGTGATCCGCCTGCCTCAGCCTCCCAAAGTGCTGAGATTACAGGCGTGAGCCACCGCGCCTGGCCAAATGTTCCCTTTTTATAAGGACAATATGTTATATGGAGGAACCTGCCCCAACACCACCCACATTAACTAATTACATCTGCAATGACATCATCTCCAACTGAGGTCCCATTCTGCGGCGCTAGGGGGTAGGACTTCAACCTGTGAGTTTTGGGGAGGCACAATCCGCCCTTAACTTAGCAATGAGGTCATCACCTGAGGTTTGCCCTGGAAAGCAGGAACCCCTCTGGGCATTTCAAGGAGGGAGGTATTTAATACAAAGGATCAAGTGCTTCAAAAATCATTAAGAGTTGGAGGAATGAAGGCCGGGGAGTCCCATCCCTGGATCTCGGGGACATGGCGAGTGTTTAGAGTCGGGAGGTTGCAGGGACCGCAGGAAACCCTTGGTGATGGCCACAGCTGCCGCCAGCACCAGCGTGAAAAGGCCCACCCGCCACGGCAAGACCTCACATGGGCCAGACCCAGGAACAAGGACACAGATTCTACTCCTCTCCCGCCGCCCCTGTCTCACGAGGGCCCTTCCTGCTGGGGACACTCACCCGGGATCCCTCAGCAGGCAGCATTGGGCCAAGCTGCCCACAGCCGGCCTGGAACATGGGATGGGAAGGCTGTGGGGATCCGGGAAGGTTCCATTGAGGAGGTGACATTTGGGGTGGCCTTCAAATGACACACGAATGGAGAGGCAGCCGGTGAGAAAAGGTGGTTCTTGTGAGGCACCAATGACGTGGACATGACATCATCATCCAGCTGGTCCCTCCACCCAGGTGTCCACCAGCCTCTGGGGGTCGTGCTGGTGGCTCCACTCCACAGAGGTGGCCCTAGGCCTTCTGGGTGCAGGAACTGACCAATGCAGTCACCAGTGGAGGAAGCCCTCCCCACTCTCTGTCCCTCATCTCTTCCCTGACCACGCAGCCAGCTTCCTCCTAGGGCTGGAGGGCCGTTGGGTGGAGAGGGCAGCCCTCCTTCTCCGCCTTCCAGTCCCAGCCTGGTCAGCTGCAGCCATGGTGGGTGAAGACCCACGGCTGCCTGGCCCAGGAGTCACACCCACACCTGAGCCCATGCCTAGTGGGGAGGGAGGGAAGGTGGGGCCGAGAGGCATGCAGGGAGGGAAAGGGCCTTTTGCCGTGTTGCAGGTGACTTGCCTGGGCTGCGTGCTGACGCCTGGCTTGGGCCAGGAGACCCTGAGATCATGAACTGGGGGCTGCACCCCTCCTTGCAGGTGCCCCGCGTCGGTGGGGCCCAGCGGATGTGGGAGAGCTGCCACCTTCTCCATGGGCCGGGGGAGTGTCCAGGCAGGGGCTCCCACGCTCCTGGTGGGATCTTCAGGGTCAGACTAAGCAGCGGTGACTCAGGGAGCAGAGAAAATGATGAGCCCGACGAACATTCTGGAGCAAGTCAAAAGAAGCAAATCCTCAAGGAATGGGCGAGAGCCCAGAAAGTGCTGGTGCTGGACACAAGTGCGGGGTTGGAGGGACCCGTGGCTGCAGACACTCCCTGGGGCGCGGCAATGGGCGGCCTAGGGAAGAGAAGGTGTCCTCGGAGGGGCTGCGGCAGCGCCGGGGAGAAGTGGGCTGCTCCCAGAGGAGGGCCGGGTGGCCCAGAGGGAAGACCCTGCTTGCTGGGGACCCTCAGAGACCCGTGGAGTGGGGGCGCTGGGCTGCAGGGGGTTAAGGGCGAAGACATCTTTTGGGTGCTTGAGAGCTACGGTAGAAATGGGGCAGGAAGGGGTGGCGCGGGGCCTCGGGGCTGACGTCCCAGCAGCCTGTCCCGCCCCGGCTGGCAGCGGCGACCCCCGCGCCAGGGGAAGGAGCAGCGGCCGCGGCGGCCACGCGGTGGCGCTGCAGGACAGGGGAAGCCGGCGGCCCTCGCAGCTGGGGCGGCCCCCAGACCCCGGTGGGAGAGACCCCGGACCCCGCAGGCGGGACCCCGGACCCCGGTGGGAGAGACCCCGGACCCCGCAGGCGGGACCCCGGACCCCGGTGGGAGGACCTCAGCCCGGAGGAGGCAGGACCCCACACCCCTGGGGGAGAGACCCGCAGACCCCTAAGGGAGGCCCCCAGACCTCGGCAGGCCGCCCCGGGGTCCTCGCGGGCCCCTACCCTGTGCAGGCTCCTGCGCGGAGGGCAGCAGAGACTGGGGTCCCGGAAACCCGCGGGGGCGCGGGGGCGGGGGCACGGGGAGTGGGAGGCCCTGTGGCTGCGGGACCTGCGGGGCTTGATGAAGTCACTACCTCACTCATTCACTCATCCATTTATTCACCTGCTCCCTCCCTCCCTCTTCACTCATTCATTCATTCATTCACCTGCGCATTCATTTCCTCCCTCATTCATTCATTCACCCGCTTATTCACTCACTTCCTCATTCACTCATTCATTCACCTGCTCATTAACTCACTCCCTCCGTCCCTCACTGGCTCACTCATTTACTCATTCATTCTCTCACTCATTGACTCATTCACCCACTCTTTAACTCCCTCACTCCGTCTCTCTGTCCCTCACTGACTCACTCATTCACTCCCTCCCTCCCTCATTCATTCATTCACTCACCCACTCCCTCACTCATTCACTCAGTCACCCACTCCTTCACTCATTCATTCATTCATCCTCTCATTCACCCACTCATTCACTCACACACTCATTCATTCACCCACTCATTCACACACACACTCACACACACACACTCACTCACACACTCATTCACTGACTCATTCTTTGACTCATCCGCCCATTCACCCACCCACTCACCCACCCACTCACACACCCACCCATTCATACACTTGCTCATTAACTTTTTCACCCACTCATTCGCTCACTCACTCACTCACTCATACACTCATTCATATTCATTCATTCCTTCAGCGCCTACCATGGGCAGGCCCTGCTCTGAGAACTGCAGTCCCTTTGTCATGGAGTTTGCATATGACAAGGGACACAGGGGAATGGAGGTGGTGCTGGGCTGGAGGGATGTTGGGTGGGTAGTTGAGGATGTGGCATCTGATCTCAGGAGCCTGAACCCCAGATAGAAGGACAGCGGGGTGACAGTGCAGTGCCAGGACTGGATGGTGGGTGGGGCATGGCAGCCCTGGGGCTGGTCCGCCCCTGTTCTCGGACAGCCGGAAGCGCTTGGCCCTTGCCCAGGAGGGACTGACCTCACTTGGGTTTTCATCCTGGCTGCTCCCCCTGGGGAGAAGGGGTCGCGGTGGGAAACAGGCTTGAAGGCCACGGGTCAACCCGGTGAGAGCTGCTGGATGGGCAGGAGCGGCCCTGAGGGGAAGGGGCATGAAGGCGAGGTCAGCCTTTGGCCTAAGCCCCTGGGCAGACGTGGCGCCACTTGGGAGATGACATCGGCCGACCCAGGGGTCACAGGCTGCACACACACTACTGCCCCAGCTCCCACACAGCCAGCCTTCCAGGAGGATGGGGGACCGTCTGCATTCCACGGGAGAAACTGAGGCAGGGAGGAGTAAAGCGGCCTGTGCTGGGTGGAGCTGGAACTGCCAGGCAGGCAGCTGCAGCGGCCCCCCGGGAGTGATGGTGGTGGCCGGAATCAGGTGGCTGGGAGGCTCACGCGCCTGAGGGGACATGAGCGCCCAGGAGGGGGGCCACTGAGGCCTGGAGGGTGTGTTTTGGGTGAGCTATGCCTGTGGTCTGAAGGTCAGGAAGGATGCTGGGTGGGATGGCTTGAAGAGAGCCAGGAAGGGGGTGAGAAGGCCAGGCTTGGGGCAGGAAGAAGCCCGGGGAGGTGGGATGAGCTCACATCAGCTACGGACACAGGAGGCTGCCACAGGCCCTCAAACGGTCCTTGCGTCCCCACACACACTGCGCTGGGTTGGTCTGAGTGACCAAGGGCAGAGGAGAGTGATGGCAGGTCACTTTTGAGATTGGGTCATTAATGGCACGGTGGCCTCCATCTTGGCTGACAGCTGGATGGCCACCCCCGGGAGACCTGAGCCCGGCTTCCTGCTGAGCCGCTTCCGGTCTCCTGGCCTGGGAGTGTGTGGGATGATGTCGGCTGCTTTCAGCTGCTGAGTCCTTGGGTCACTTCTCGCGTGTGATAGACGATGAATGTGTGTGGCACAGGCTGCCCCTGGAGTCAGAATTCTGCAGCTCAGCTGCTGGCCGGGTTCATCTCAAGCCTGGGAGGCTGCCAGAGTCGCCTCCATGCTCATCTGAGTGGCTGTGGGCAGGAGGCCTCAGTCCTGGCCACAGGGGCCCCTCCAGGTGACTTCCCCCAGAGATGAGGGGATTACAGAGCTGGAGGCCGGGCTGCTAGCCTCGTGACCATGAGAGCAGCGGGTCCCTGGGGCTGCCTGATGTCCGCCTGTTTCTCTGGGCTGTTCCAGGCCTGAATTTGTGTCTCACGACTCCGGGCCCCTTACGGTCCTTGGCGAGTTCTTGGGTCTTAGTCTGTTCATGCTGCTGTAACAGAATTCGGAGACTGGGTAATTTATGAACAATGGACATTTCTTTCTTGCAGTTCTGGAGGCTGAGAAGTCCAAGGTCAAGGTGCTGGATTCCCGTGCCTGGGGAGGGCGGCTCTCTGCTTCCACGATGGCGCCTTGAGCTCTGTGTCCCCCCATGGCGGGAGGCAGGACAGCAAAAGGGAGCTGAGGTGTGAAGCCTCTTACACAGGCCTTAATCCCACTCACAGGGGAGGCGCCCTCATGACCCAATTACCCGGAAGGGCCCCACCTCTTAATACGCTAGACTGGGGATTCGGTGCCAACAGGGGTTTTGGAGGGACACGATGTTCAGACCACAACAGTGGGCACCCTCCCTCTCAGGTTGCACTCTTAACACTCTTAAGAGACTTCTGTTTCTCACAGCAAATCCTCTCGCTTGAACCTGGAGGGACCAAAGGCATGACCGGAGCCGCATTCTCTGGCGTCAGTTTGTATTTTTGTCAATGAAAAAGAATGGAAGTGGAATTCATATAACCTGCAATTAACTAGTTTATTTTATTTTTATTTTTTAGAGACAGGGTCTCATTCTGTCACGCAGGCTGGGGTGCGGTGGCAACTATAGCTCACTGCAGCCTCCAACTCCTGGGCCCAGGCAATCCTCCCACCTCGGCCTCCCGTGTAGCTAGGACTACAGTCTGTGCCACCACAAAATAAAATAAAATTTTATTTTATTATTTATTTATTTATTGAGACAGAGTCTTGCTCTGTTGCCCAGGCTGGAGTGCAGTGGTGCAATTTTGGCTCACTGCAACCTCTGCCTCCCAGGTTCAAGTGATTCTCTTGTCTCAGCCTCCCGAGTAGCTGGGATGACAGGTATGCACCACCACATCTGGCTAATTTTTGTATTTTTAGCTGAGACGGCATGTTGACCAAGCTGGTCTTGAACTCCTGACCTCAGGTGATCCGCTCACCTTGGCCTCCCAAAGTGCTGTGATTACAGGTGTGAGCCACTGCGCCTAGCCCCGTTAACCATTTTAAAGTGTACATTTCAGTGGCATTCAGTGTATTCACAATGTTGTACAACCACCTTCTCTATCTGGTGTCAAAACATTTTAATCACCCCAGAAAAATACTCAGTAAGGGCTGGGCTAGGTGGCTCATGCCTGTAATCCCAGCACTCTGGGAGGCTGAGGCAGGCAGATCACCTGAGGTCGGGAGTTTGAGACCAGCCTGACCAACATGGAGAAACTCCGTCTCTACTAAGAATACAAAATTAGTTGCGGTGAGCTGAGATCACGCCATTGCACTCCAGCCTGGGCAATGACAGCAAAACTCCGTCTCAAAAAAAGAAAAAAAAGAAAAGAAAAGAAAAATACCAAGTGGCACCCCTCATTCCTCCTCTCCCCCCACCCCTGGTGCCATCAGTCTCCTTTCTGTAGTTGGGCTGGTTTTACCTATTCCAGATATGTCATATAAAAGGAATTGCACAATATGGCCTCTGGAATCCGGCCTCTTTCATTCCGTGTGTTTGCAGGAGGCATCCTCGTTGTAGCTTCAGTGCTTCCTTTTCAAGGCTGCGTAATATTCCATGGTATGAATATACTGCATCATGTTTATCCATTCATTCATTGTTGGACCTTTTGTTGTTTCTGCCTTTTGGCCATTATGAATAATGTCCTATAAATATTCCTGTACAAATTTCTGCATGGACATGTTTTCATTTCTCTTGGGTATATATCTGGGAGTGGAATTGCTGGGTCCAACGCTGATCCCGTGCTTAACTTCTTGAGGAACCGCCGAACGATTTTCCCCAGTGGCTGCACCATTTTCCATTTTCACCAGCAATGCGGGAAGGTTTCGATTTGTCCACATCTTCACCAACCCTTCTGACTTTCTGGTTTTCTTTTTTTTTTTTTTTAATTGTCAAATGATCCTTTATTGAAATATTTTCCTTTGTGCTTCTTAACTAGCTGGGCATTCCCCGGCACCATTGTTGATGTCATCTATGATGTCATGAGGATGGAGGCCATCAGCATTGCAGCCCAGAGACTGGGCAGTCCCCAGGATCTTTTTAATGGTTCCAGAGAGTTCTCTGGCTAAAGATCAGTGCCACATCTGTGGAGCAATGTTGACAATCTCATCAAAAGTGATATTTCCACTGTGTTTGATGTTTTTCTGTTTCTTTCTGTCTCCTGGCAGTTCCTTGAGGGCGTTGATGATCAGGGCAGAGGCAGAAGGCACCACCTCAGTCTGGGCCTGTCTGTTCTGAATGGTCAGTTTCGCTGTAATCCTCAGACCACCAGTCACCGGTTGCCTTGGCAATGTCATCACCAGCCTTTTTTGGAGACAGACCCAGGGGGCCGGTCTCGGGGGCCAGTGCAGACGTGGCACCGACTTTGCCCCCGCTGCACCTCAGGTGTACGACTTTGCTCTTGTTGGGGTGGAACTTCAGAGCATGGTGAAGCAGCTGGTGTCAGATGAACCAGGGTTCGGGACAACTGAAGGGAGTTGCCAAAAGCTGGTTTTCTTTCTAAATTGAAGCCATCCTAGAAGGTGTGAAGTGGAATCTCATTGTAGTTTTCATGTCCATTTCCCTAATGACTGGTAATGAGCATCTTTTCATGTGCTTATTGGCCATTTGTTCACCTGCTTTGGAGAAGGTATTTAAATCCTCTGACCATTTTAAAATTAGGTTGCTTGTCTTTTTAAAATTTTTTTATTTGTATTTTTTATTTTTATTTTTTTGGAGACAGAGTCTCACTCTGTCACCAGGCTGGAGTACAGTGGCACGATCTCGGCTCACTGTAACCTCCACCTCCCTGGTTCAAGTGATTCTCCTGCTTCAGCTTCCCGAGTAGCTGGGACTACAGGTGCGCACCACCATGCCCAGCTAATGTTTGTATTTTTAGTAGAGATGAGGTTTCACCATGTTGGCCATCATGGTCTCAATCTCTTGACCTTGTGATCTGCCTGCCTCGGCCTCCCAAAATGCTGGGATTACAGGCATGAGCCACCGTGCCTGGCTTATTATTATTATTATTATTTTTGAGATGGAGACTTGCTCTATCACCCAGGCTGGAGTGCAGTGGCACAATCTTGGCTCACTACAGCCTCCACCTCCTGAGTTCCAGCGATTCTCCTGCCTCAGCCTCTTGAGTAGTTGGGATGACAGGCGTCCACCACCACACCTGGCTAATTTTTGTGTTTTTAGTAGAGACGGGGTTTCACCATGTTGGCCAGGCTGGTCTTGCACTCCTGGCCTCAAGTGATCCGCCTGCCTTGGCCTCTCAAAATGTTGGAATTACAGGTGTGAACTCCTGCGCCTGGCCTGGGTTGTTTGACTTTTTGTCGTTGAGTTGTAAGAATTCCTTATATGTTCTGGATATTAAACCCTTATCACATACATTATTTGCAAATAGTTTAATCCATTTCTGTAGGTTGTCTTTTCACATTCTTTTTTGAGACAGGGGTCTGGCTCTGTCACCCAGGTTGGAGTGCAGTGGTGTGATCATAGCTCACTGCAGCCTCAACCTCCCAGGCTCAAGTGATTCTCCTGCCTCAGCCTTCCAAGTAGCTGGGACCACAGGCACGTGACGCTACAACCAGCTATTTTTTTTTTTAATTTGTAGAGACAAGGTCTTGCTATGTTGCCCAGGCTGGTCTTGAATCTTGAACTCCTGGGCTCAGGCAATCCTCCTGCCTCAGCCTCCCAAAGATCTAGGATTACAGGCCTGAGCCACTGTGCCTGGCAGGATAATGTCTTCTGATGCACAAGTTTTTCATTTTTATGAAGTCCAATTTATCTATTTTTTCTTTTGTTGCATGTGCTTTTGGTGTCAAATCTAAGAATCCATTGCCAAACCCAGGGTCATTAAAATTGACTTCTATGTTTTTTTCTAGCTGTTTTATAATTTTATTTCATGTATTTAGGTCATTGATCCACTTTGAATTAGTTTTCAGTACATGGTATGAGGTAAGAGTCCAGCGTCATTGCTTTTGGCATGTAAATCTCCAACTGCCCCCGCATCATTTGTTAAAAAGGCCATTCTTTACCCTTTATCCACTGAATGGTCTTGTCACCCTTGCAAAAATCGATCAGTCATATTAGATCTTCGGGTTTATTTCTGGGCTTTCTATTTTATTCTATTGCTCCGTACGTCTATTCTATGCCAGTACCACATAGTTTTGTAGTAAGTTTTGAGATTGAGAAATGTGAATCCTCTAATTTCTTCCTCCCCCCACCAACACTATTTCTTCTTTACTTTTTAGAGATGGCGTCTCCTATGTTGCCCAGGCTGGACTCCCTTCCCGGGCTCAAGAGATCCTCCCACCTCAGCCTCCTCAGTAGCTGGGACTACAGGCACAAGCCACTATACCTGGCTAATTTTTTTCTTTTGCAAGAAGAAAATTATTTTACAATATTATTTTATGATATTATAATTCTTTTACAATATCGTTCTGGCTCTCTGAGGCCCCTTGAAGTTGAGGATTGGTTTTTCTTTTTTCTTTTTATTTTTGGAGACAGGGTCTCATTCTGTCACCCAGGCTGGAGTGCAGTGGTGTGACGACGGCTCACTGCAGTATTAACCTCTCGGGTACAAGTGATCCTCCTGCCTTAGCCTCCCAAGTAGCTGGGACTACTACGCCATCATGCCTGGCTAATTTTTGTATTTTTTGTAGAATGGGGGTTATGTTGTCCAGGCTGGTCTTGAATTCCTAGGCTCAAGCAATCCACCTGCCTCCGCCTCCCAAAGTGTCGGGATTACAGGTGTGAGCCACTATACCTAGCCTGGTTTTTCTATTTCTGTGAAAAAGGCCATCGGAATTTTGATAGAGATTGCCTTGAATCTGTAGATCATTGTGGGGAGTATTGCTAACTTAACAATATTAGGTCATCCAATCCATGAACGTGGGATTTCTTTCCATCTTTAGAGCCTCTTACTTTCAGCAATGTTTTGTAGTTTTCAGTGTCAAAGTCTTTCATTTCCTTTGTCAAATTTGTTTCTAGATATTTTATTCTTTTGCATCCTATTGTAAATAGAATTGGTTTCTTAATTTCCTTTTCAGATTGTTCATTGCTAGTGTGTCATTTTTCTCCCAGACCAAAAAGTTTTTAAAAGTAAAACAAAAACAAACCCGTGGCCAGGCGTGGTGGCTCACGCCTGTAATCTCAGCACTTTGGGAGGCTGAGGTGGGTGGATCATGAGGTCATGAGTTCGAGACCAGCCTGGCCAACATGGCAAAATCCCGTCTTTACGAAAAATACAAAAATTAGCTAGGCATGGTGGCGCACGCCTGTAATCCTAGCTACTCGGGAGGTGGAGGCACAAGAATCGCTTGAACTTGCAAGGCGGAGGTTGCAGTGAGATGAGATTGCGCCACTGCACTCCAGCCTGGGTGACAGTGAGACTCCATCTCAAAAAAAAAAAAAAAAAAAAAAAAAAAAAAAAGGCCCGGCGCGGTGGCTCACGCCTGTAATCCCAGCACTTTGGGAGGCCAAGGCGGGCGGATCACGAGGTCAGGAGATCGAGACCATCCTGGCTAACACGGTGAAACCCCGTCTCTACTAAAAATACAAAAAAAAAAAAAAAAAAAATTGCCGGGCATGGTGGCGGGCGCCTGTAGTCCCAGCTACTCAGGAAGCTGAGGCAGGAGAATGGCGTGAACCCGGGAGTGGAGCTTGCAGTGAGCGGAGGTCGCGCCACTGCACTCCAACCTGGGCGACAGAGTGAGACTCCGTCTCAAAAAAATAAAAAAACCCAAAAAACCACCCATGTGGGTCCCACTTTGCCTTTGATTGTGGTTGTTGGCCTCTGTCACCTTCCCTGCAGAGCCTGGGGGTGGTCAGTCTCCTCCCTTTTTTTTTTTTTTGAGACAGAGTCTTGCTCTGTCGCCCAGGCTGGAGTGCAGCGGCGCGATCTCGGTTCACTGCAAGCTCCACCTCCTGGGTTCACACCATTCTCCTGCCTCAGTCTCCTGAGTAGCTGGGACTACAGGTGCCCGCCACCATGCCCGGCTAATTTTTTTTTTTTTTTGTATTTTTAGTAGAGATGGGATTTCACCGTGTTAGCCAGGATGGTCTCTATCTCCTGACCTCGGGATCCGCCTGCCTCGGCCTCCCAAAGTGCTGGGATTACAGGCATGAGCCACTGCACCCGGCACGGTCTCCTCCCTTTACAGGCTGTGAGGATGGGCATCCTGCACGTGGTCAGGGCTTTCATAGCCAGTTGGGTTGACAGCAGTGCCTCATCTGGGTCTTCCAGTTAGGGGAGAAGCTGGGCTCAGAGTATGAAGATGGGGGCGGCTGTGTTACCGCCCACAGGCACCTCCTCCTGCAAGGCAGGTCATGCCACTGTACCAGCGACAAACTCTGTGGCTCTCCTGCATCCAGCCCCTCCTTGCTGCTATGGTTGGGAGCCTTTCTGGGAGCCCTTAAGCTCTTGTCTCCCACGTGGATGGGGTGCGCAGCCCAGGAAGGCTCTGCTGGTCCAGATCCCCATGCCCACCTGGGCCTCTGCTCCATGCAGGTGGTGGCTGCTCCCGCTCCACAGTCTGAGTTTGCTGCCTTTTCTTCTTTCTTTTTCTAACACAGAGGGCATGGAGGGGGTTGTGGTTGGTAAACCCAGTGTGCCTTGCTCTTGGACTCCCTGGCACCTTGGATCCCGGGCTGCTTGCTGGGGGCCTGTGACAGGCCCTGTGCTGCCCTGGGGCTGGTGCTTTCAGGGCTGGCTCCCCCATCGCTGGGTTTGGAGGAGCCCCTGGCTACAGGGTGGAACCTGGTTGGCCCCCAGCAGCTGCTGAAGGTGGAAGCAGCTGGCAGTTGGGGGCTGGTTCTCTGTGGGGGCAAACTGACCACGGTGAGCCAGGCAGGGGCCAGGACTGGGGAGCAGTTGGTGAGGGTGTGCGGGCAGCTCTCTGGGCCTCCCCCTGCTGGGAGGTGAGCCTGGGACCCCATGTGGGGAGCCCCCAGCCCCCAGCTCCTGCCAGCCCTGGGTTGGAGGCTGCGGAGCTTCCCGGCCGCGCAGCTTGTCCTCCCTGGAGGGCCCTGGGGGCTTACACCCTCAGGCAAAGCCTTCCCATCCACCCCTCCAGCTCGCCTGCGGTGGATGGTGGATGACCCTGGAGGGCAGCCGGGAGAGCCTCCAAGGGGAGGCCAGAGGGGAACCCACAGCTCTGAGTACTCCTGCGCCTCCCCCTGCAGATGCGGCTGTGGTTCTGTACCTCACCAGGCTGTGGGGATCTGAGTGGGGGTCCTGGGGTCTGGGCAGTTCTTCTGACCTCATCAGATGGCATCTGCCCTCCGATGCTGAGCCGTGGGTGACATCAGCCTTCTGGGCCCAGGAGGCCACCTGGCAGGATGGCTCAAGCAGCCTTGGGCAGTGACCTTGGTGGCTGTCGCTGGTGGCCATGAGCCCTGCATGAGTGTCCCTGGCCTCAGCACTGGGGGCTCCTCACTTCCTGGCCCCTGGAAGCAAACTCAGAGCATGCCTGTGGGGCCACAGGCTGTTTGGAGGACGCTGCAGTGATGGCCTTCTGGGGAGTGAGGGCTGGGTTTCGGATAGGGAGGTGGGAGATGGGGGGTCCTGAACTGCCTTTCCCGCCACGTCAGGACCCAGGGCCGGGGACAGCGGGCGTCTGGGGGGCTGCATGGACGATGGGGGAGGATGTGCAGGCTGGCGGGGGAGGGGGTGGAGCGCATGGGCTGCCTGGCCCTGTCTTGGGGACATGAAGCCTGGTTTGCCAAGTGGGAACCGAGGGACATGTGCTCCAAGAGACACATCCAGGGACTGCAATCAATTTCCAAAGGGCCTTTTCTCCTTTCAGCGATGCTGTTAAGAAAGGCAATGAATCATGTGCCACAAGAATCTTGAGAGAACCCACGAGCTTGGGAGCTGGTGACAGACCCCCATTCGGAGCGCTCTCTGCACAGCTACACAGCGACCCCGCCCCCGCCTGCCCATCAGGACGGCTCTGCAGCTGCAAAGGGCGAGTGCTTGGTTCCCAAGGCAGGGCCCAGCTCCATGGTTCTCCTCGCCTCACTCTCCTCCGTGAGCCTCAGGGACCCGGTGGCCACAGCACCCTCAGTTCTCCCCAGAGTTGCTGTTCCCACCTCTGGCTGTGAGGTAGGTGGCATGGCAGAGGGGGCTGGCCTGGGATGTGGGATCCTGCTGTGAGCGGCACCAGTGGGGTTTGTCATGCTGACACTGATGACAGAGGTGAACTCATGGTCCCCCGGCCCTGGGGAGCAGAGACCCCCTTCCAGGCAGCAGGGCAGGGTAGGTGCATCCAGCACCCTCCATGGTCGCAGCCCTCCACCAGGTGGCAGGTCACGCCATGCCTTCTCTGTCCTCACAGTGGTGTGGCGGGGCTGGGTGTGTAACTCTCGTCCTGTGTTCCGTGGACACTGTGCCTGGGTCACACAACAGCGGATGGAGCCTCAGAGCCCCAGGAGCCCTGTGGCTGCTCCTGCTCCTGGGACGGCAGGGCCAGCGCAGGGACTGTGGAGCTCAGGAGGAGGGACCCTCTAGCTCATTATGTAGAGGAGGCGGCAGTCAGGCGGACGGGGTGGGCACCGGAGGGAGGATGGGATGGGCAGGGAAGCCGCCGCAACAGCTGCAGTGAGGTTCTTTCCCAAGGTGGAGGAGGGGGAAGGACAGGCAGGGCCCATGTGGTTGGGCTCTTCCTCCTCCAGCTCAGGAGCCACCGACAGGACATGGCCTCAGCTGGGTGGCACCAGGTGACCAGGCCCAGCTCAGGGTCTGCTCTCCTCTGATGGTCCAGGCGGGTACCGTGCAGCCCTGGGACTTGACATCGGCTGAGCTGTGGCAAAGAGCTGTGTTCTTCCCAGCTCCCAAGCCCTGTGGCACCCGCAGTTGTGAAGTCCTCAGGTGACCTCGGACAGTGTCCATTGGGTGCTTCCCTGGTGCCAGTGCTGTTCTGGAAGCTTCTGTGGTCTTGTTTGGTGCTCACAGCACTCATGCCTGCAGTAACTGTCCCCACATTAAAGTGAGGGACAGGCTGGGGCTTGGAGGTGCCATGGTGGCGCCAGTGTCCCAGGGCCACCAAGCAAACCACCGTGGGCCCGGCAGCCTGAGCGGCAGGCCTGTATTCCCTCTCCACCCGCCCTGTCTGGAGGCTGGACTTGGAGACAGAGGGGCCTCTTGGCTATCTTCTTCCGGGACCACTCTCCCTGGCAGGTAGGCTGTGTCCTCGTGTGGCCGTCCCTCTGTGCACAGCTGTGTCCTAATCTTCCTTCTTATAAGGACACCAGTCCTACTGCATTGGGGCCACCCTGGTGACCTCATTTCACCATACTCACCCGTGCAAAGGCCCTGTCTCCAAATACAGCCGCAGGCCCGGGTGCAGGGGTTCCGGGCACTGGGGCTTCCGCAGGCGGATGTGGGAGGTCCTGCTCGGCCCCCACTCTGGCCTCCCCGCCCGCCCTGTGTCCTTCAAGGGTTCCTTCCTGGTCTGTGCCTGACTCTGAGGCTCTGTCCTGTCTGGGGACGTGTGGGCTCCGGACCACCCGGTAACTGAGTCTGAGACACAGACCCCCAGAGGCCAACTGCTCTGCCGCCTCCCGAGGGCTATCCGCCAAGACTCCTGGAAGGGGGCCAGGCACAGACGTGTGTTGGAGGCCACAGCTGCCCATCTGGCAGGTGCCTGCAGTCTCACCCAGCAGAGCCATGCTGAGCAGGAGCCCCCATGGCCACCCCTGGCCCTCACCGGCCCCTCGCCAGAAGGCTGAGCATTCCTCCACATGGCATCACCAGGCCTGGCCCCTTCACCACAACCACACGGGGTCTGGCAGTGGCAGGGGCAGGTGTGGGCCTGGCTCAGCCCTGGCCTCCCCTGAGGCTGGCTTCTACAGCGTGCCCATCCCCATGTTTACAAGAACTCGATTTGTACTCATCTCGGTGACAGAAAAACTGGTGCTAATGGGAAAAATATGACTCTCTCAACAGGAGCCCGCCTGGCACAGCTGCGTGAGTGCCGGGCGTCCTTGCCTGAAACAAACTGCAATTCAGCGCAGGATTCCAGGATTCCATGGCAACGTGCCCTGTGTTCCGGCCCCGGCTGGGGCTTGGGAGCAGCTGCTGTGTCATGGGGGATCCACTTGTTTACCGACAGCCCCAAGGACCCGGACATGGTGCCAGCTTCCCATGCCTTGGCCCTGAGATCTGGGAGGCCCATCGCGGCCGGTGCTTCCCCCAACCCCACTGAGCATCTCCTTCCCGCCCTGTGTCCACCCACCTCCTGCCCAAGACCCCTGAGTGTTCGTGGGCTCTACCTGGTGGGATGCTCTTTGGCTTGTAGACAGGGGTTGGTTGGCAGCATAGTGTTCCCTATCGATGTCCACATCCTAGTGGGAGCCTGTGACTACCTGGCTCGGGGGATCCAGGTTGCAGATGAAATAAGGTTGGATCAGCTGACTTTAAACTAGGGTGGTGACCCTGGAGCATCCCGGGGGGCCCAGTGTAATCACAAGGTCCTTAAAAGTGGAGGAGGGGCCAGCGTGGGGCTCACGCCTGCAATCCCAGAGCTTTGGGAAGCCGAGGCAGCAGGATCCCCTGAATCCAGGAGTTCGAAGCCAGCCTGGGCAACAAAGTGAGACCGAGTCTTCAAAGCCAGCCTGAGCCACATAGTGAGACTGAGTCCTGTCTCTACAAAAAGTAAACAAAAATCAGCCGAGTGTAGTGGTGCACGCCTGTGGTCCCAGCTACTCAGGAGGCTGAGGTGGGAGGATTGCTTGAGCCTAGGTCAAAGCTGCAGTGGCCATGATCACACCCCTGCACTCCAGCCTGGGTGACAGTGAGACCCTGTCAAAAAAAAAAAAAAAAAGTGGAGGAGGGAGGCAGGCGAGCCGGGCTCAGTGAGGAGGGCCCAGGCTGCAGTGGGTGCCAGAATCTATCCTGGAAAAAGGAATGACATGAACACGAGGGAAGCCCCGAAGGGCCATTCAGTGCAGCACTGAGTGAGAGGGGACGTCCTCAAGGAGCCACGAGCCCTGGTGATGAGGCCGTGGTGGGTGGGGGCCCAGCGGGTAGCAGGCGCCCCCTCTGTGTGCGCAGCGGGGCTGGTTGCTCCACATATCGCCCTGGTGCATCCGAGTCCCGAGCTGCCACTCCTGCAGGCCTGCTCTAGGGCGGGGCGGGGCTTGCACAAGCAGCACCTGTAGGTCCCGAGTGCGTGGCTCCCCCAGCCCCAACACACCCCCCAGCCCAAGTGGTGGAGTAAAGGTCTCCGCACATGGCCTTGGGGTGGGGTTAGGACCCCAGTCCCTGCCACCACCCAACAGGCAGGGCTTTGGGCAAGCTACTCAGTGCCCGAGACCCAATTTCTGGTCGGCAGGTGAGAGGGGCCGGGGGGACAAGAGCCTGTTCCC
Organism: Homo sapiens; assembly: GCF_000001405.40. Lineage (NCBI taxonomy): Eukaryota > Metazoa > Chordata > Mammalia > Primates > Hominidae > Homo > Homo sapiens. The sequence continues at coordinate 80,967,524 of NC_000017.11, read as the reverse complement.
AAGCTCTCCAGAAGTCAGGCCCCTGAGGTGGTGCAGTGTGGCTGACATGACCATCCCCACGGACCCTTGCCTCCCACTCGCCCCGCAGGACCATGCCCAGGCCCGTTGCCTCTGCTGTGGCTTCCACAACATTCCCCCTGGCTCCCAATCCCTGCACGGACCTTGCTGCTTGGGAAAAACCTCAAGGGACAGGCCATGACCTGCAGAGCAGAGTGTGATCTGGAAACGGGAGCCTTTCAAGAATTGGCCAGACGGGGACAGGCGTGGTGGCTCACGCTGGGAGGCTGAGGCAGGTGGATCACCTGAGGTCAAAAGTTCGAAACCAGCCTGGCCAACATGGCGAAACCCCGTCTCCACCAAAAATATAAAAATTAGCTGGGTGTGGTGGTACAGACCTGTAATCCCAGTTACTTGAGAGGCTGAGACAGGAGAATCGCTTGAACCCAGGAGGTGGAGGTTGAGGTGAGCCAAGATCGTGCCACTGCACTCCAGCCTGGGTGACAGCGTGCGATTCCATCTCAAAACAAAAAGCAAACCCAAAAAGAGTTGGCCAGAGGGATGTGCAGATGTGATTAGGGCTAAGGACCCACACAGCCCGAGGTGGGTACGGCCCCTAGGCCTGGAAACACTTCTGGCCTGCATGAGAAGTGGTGACGGTGGGCGTGGGTCAGAGGCCCTGAACTGGAGGAAGGGGCCACGAGCCAAGGAGAGTGGGGGCCTCCAGAAGTGGGGAGGAGCGGGGAAGCGGCTTCTCCCCCAGGAACTCTGACGTGGCCCAGATTTCAATGCAGACTTGAATGGGGCCTCTAACCGTGAGAGGATAACCGTCATTTTAAAGAGAAAGACACGTGTCTGGCCTACGTCACAAGATGGCTCTTGCCACACAGTACGCTCCCTGATGTGGGGTCTGCGCCACAGGGCTGGGGGCACTGCCTGGGAGAAAAGGACCGAGACCTTTGCACACTCGACGTGCCAGGCCCCCTGTGGCCACAGTGCCTGCCTGGAGAGCACCCGGGACGCAGAGCTGCTGGTGGCCCTGGGGACAGCAGGGGGGACCCGGGCAACGTCCCCCCACCCCCCAGAGCTCTGCTCTGACCGATGCCCCCCTGAGGTGGGGTGGGCAGTTTCCTTAAAGACACAGCCGCCAGCCGCGGAGTCTGCGCGTGTTGTTTACTGTTGGTCACTCTCTGCTCTTAGCTTCACATTACCATTTCGTGTTTTGTCAAAGTCCGTCTCAATTCGCGTTTGGTAAAATAAATAGATAATGAGCCTCTAGGCCGGCGCTCTCTCGAGCCGGTTAACGTCGTGATTGAATTTTCACATCAGACCTGTGAAGACAGCCCACGTGCAGGCGGCACGCGGTGCCCATGGGGGTGGGCTCCAGGGTGGAGCGGGGGCGGGGGGGGGTCTTGACCCCTCTGGAGCCACCTGCCTTTTGACAGGTGGTGATTTTGTCTCAAAACAAACAGAAACGCGTGTTGGGTAAGAATTGAGTTGAAGGACTGGATGGGAAGCTGCGTGTGCGGGTGGAGCTGGGCTTCTGGAAGATTCTGGTGTTGCCGCCTGGCACGCCCTGTGAGCTGAGTGAGGCCGGGACTCTCTACACCTTCCGGACCCGGGCTGCTTTCTCGGCCCAGACGTGGGGATGGGATTCGTGCCGGAACCTTCTTCTGGTGGGAGCTCGCATTCCAAAAAGGAGCAGCGGAGGGGCCGCCTCTGTCCTGCCTTGTCACGTCCCGGCCAGCCCCAGCTCAGTCTCCAGCTCAGCCCCCTGAGGGCCAGGTGTGTCTCTGGCCAAATGTGACCAGGCAGGGTTCCATCCACCCAGAAGATGCTCTTGGCCACGGCAGGCCACCAGCCACACCGCAGGAGAGCCGGGCCTCGCCACACCAGCTCTCACTCCCGTGGTCGTGGGCCTCTCACCGCCAGAATGAAGCCACCTGGCTCCTTCACCTCTCAATAATCCTGATTCCCGACGAACACGGAAAGAACACTTTTCAAAATACCATCATTGTGGTTGTGTTCTGTTTGCAAAACTGCTCATACACGCCCTGCGGCCCCTCCTGGGCGGGACTGTCCACACAGCTCCTGTCTGCACCACAGGCCCAGCTGTCAGCCGAGGTCGCATCAGCATGGGCGGCTCAAGGCTGGAGACGGGGCTGGTGTCACCCGGAGCCGTCCGGGACCCGGCAGTGCCTCTTGCCTGTATGTGAGGAACGTGTGGGGACAGAGCAGGGAGACCACGCCGCCTGCATGTGTGTGCCCCCAGGTGCCGGCCGTGGTGCCATCTGCACATGCGTGTGCTACACCTGTGTGAGGGCACAGGCATGGAGACCACAGGTCGGGCTGCTGTCCCCGCGCCTGTGGGGAAGAGCAGCCCTTCGGAGGGAAAGGAGCCCCGTGGATTAAGGCAGGGGCTACCTCGCCAAGGACCTGCCTCCCCTGTGCACCGCCACAGCGGCCCCTGCTGACAGCTCTGTGTGAGAGGGGCCAAAACTGGAGTCCAGAGACCTGGAGGTGCGGGGAGGGTGGGCTGTGCGCTTCCTGCTCAGTGATGCTGCCAGCGGCCAAGGACAGCCCGGACCCCTGGGCGGCTTCCTTCACACCCGCCAGTTGGAGGGGCGTCTCCTTCTTCCTCTCTCTTGGTTTCCCGAATTTCCAGTGTCCCCCAGCTGGCTAGGAAATGTCCCTGCTTGCGTGCACTGACTGTGAGAGGTGGTGGGCCTGGCTGGGGCAGCGCCTCTCGCTCGCTCTTGGCCTGATGGGGACAGCTGCCCCAGGGACCCGTAGGAGCCCCAGCGCCTGCCTCTCCGCCAGGGCTCTGTCGGGGGGTTTTTCTGCAGCTAATGCTCTGATTACATGGAAATAAAGTGAGGTGTTTCCCCTTTCAGCGTCTCAGAGAAACACAGAACAGGAGAGGGACAGAGGCGCCGTGGCCGCGGGGGTGCACCTGGATGCTGGTGCTCAGTGGGAAGCCACCGTCAACCCGAGCCCTCCCCTTCCCTGACATTCCAGACACGACAGCGAAGACAGACAAAAGCGAGTAGCAGGGCCCTCCTGCCGTCATCAGCAGCTAAGGCAGCAGCCAACGTTCACACTGCGGGGCCGCAGCAGCCGACGCCCCGTGCCCCGGCGAGTGACAGCTTCACTATGTACAGCAGGCGGCCGTGGCCTGGTGGGCCCGGGTCACGCCGCTATCTGACACGCTTCTCCACCGAGTACACGGAGATGTAGTAGTCGTTGCTTCCCACGGCCAGGTGAGGCTGCAAGGAGAGAGAAGGGGTGAGCAGGGGTTCAGGTGCGGGCAGACACTGCGGGGGGCGGGGGGGCGCAGGCCAACCCGCATCCTTAGGCAGCTCCTGCCGGGGTCTCAGGAACCCCCACGCCCACCTCAGGCCCGGAAATGCCGGGCCGGTCCCACCAGTCCTCTGCAGGGCCCATGCATGGTGCACTCCGTGAGGGGCGTGGCGCTGCCCCGGGCCCTGCGTGGTTTTTTCAGGACTGCCCCACGGGGCAGCTCTGGGATCCAATGTCACACGTGTCAGCAGAGCTACATGCCTGGAGCCTCACAACACAAGGCGGCAGGTGGGCAGAATCCTAATCTAAAAACAACGGCCTGAAGCCACGTGGGGAGGCTGCAACCAAGGCCAGAGAGCCGTGCAGGTGGGGCCCGGCCGCACAGGGGACAGGGTGAGGACTCGGCCGCACAGCGGACGGGGTGAGGGCCGCAGAGGGGACGGGGTGAGGGCCGCAGAGGGGACGGGGTGAGGGCCGCAGAGGGGACGGGGTGAGGGCCGCAGAGGGGACGGGGTGAGGGCCGCACAGGGGACGGGGTGAGGGCCGCACAGGGGACGGGGTGAGGGACGCAGAGGGGACGGGGTGAGGGACGCAGAGGGGACGGGGTGAGGGCCGCAGAGGGGACGGGGTGAGGGCCGCACAGGGGACGGGGTGAGGGCCGCACAGGGGACGGGGTGAGGGCCGCAGAGGGGACGGGGTGAGGGCCGCAGAGGGGACGGGGTGAGGGCCGCACAGGGGACGGGGTGAGGGCCGCACAGGGGACGGGGTGAGGGCCGCAGAGGGGACGGGGTGAGGGCCGCAGAGGGGACGGGGTGAGGGCCGCACAGGGGACGGGGTGAGGGCCGCACAGGGATGGACACCCCGAGCGACTCTCCTGGAGGTCCCCAGGGATGGCTTTAGTGCAGGGTCTGAGGGCAGGAGCTTTGCCCCAGCCACTGTGTGTCAATTCCTCCCGGAGTGACGGGACTGGGGCTCTGCTTCCGGGGCGAGTGCAGGGTGGGGCAGGGGCCCTAGAGATCCTGGGACCCAGGCAAGTCCCTCCCTCAGGCAGCCAATGGGCCCCACTGTGGTGTGGGGTAGCCAGGCAGGACCCCTGCTGCCTTGTCCCCTTGCCTCCCATCCCTCTACCCCAGCCCCCGACCCCCGACCCCCACCCACCGCCACACTGACCCAGTGCGGGTGGAAGGCCAGGCAGCTGATGGCGCCGACCCGCTGGCCCATGAAGCCGTCGTAGTACTTGATGTTGTTGATGAGCTCTCCGCTGCTGTTGTAGATGGCGGTGAACTGATTGACGGAGCCACTGTGGGGAGAGAAAGGGTCCCGGCATCACTGCCCTCTTCTTTGAGGATGGAAGATGGGCGCAGATGCCGAGACCGCGGGGACAGGCCGGCTAGACCACGGGGACAGGCTGGCTCGGGGCAGGTGTGACCCTCTGGTCACTCTCACTGAGGACTCGGGCCTGGCAGGGCCCTGAGAGTTTATCCTGGGAGGATGTGGTGGGCAGACATCTTTTGTTTTTATGTCCCCACAGCAGTGAAATCCTCCCCTGCCCTCCTTCAGCTCCTGGGGGCAGGAACACAAGAGCCTCCCGTTTGCACAGAGGCCCGAGGCGGGTGAGCGGTGCAGGCCAGGGAGGTGGGTGGCGCCTACCATGCGATCAGGTCCGCCTGGGGGTGGATGTCCAGGGCCGTCAGCCCCTTCACGATCTGAAGCACATTTACCGACTCAGGCATCCGGGGATCAAAGATGCGCACATCTCCATTGACGCTGCCAAGAGAGGGTCACAGTGACACCTCCTCCCGGAGGCCCCATGAGGGGCCTGGCCAGGGGGACGGTGGAACCAGGTGTGTGGGGTCGCACACCTGTTTGCACACACACTGCTCAAGGAAAAAGCTGCCTGGATGCTCAGCGTCCCCAGTGAGGGCTGCCCAGGTGGGGCCCAGACATGCACCCATACTGGTCTCAGGGCCAAGGCTGTCCCCCACAAGCTCTCTCAGAGCCAGAAAAGGCGCGGAGCTTTCTGGCCTAGAGAAATGACCATGAGCACAGATGCGGGAGGAGGCTGTGAGCTCCTGGTTTCATTTCCAGCTAGAGATTAGATTTCATGCAACCGGGGCCTGCAGTCCCGGGAGACAGAGCCTGGATGGCAGGCTGTGGCCCGAGAGAGGGATGGCCTGGCCCTTTTGAGGCCCCGTGGCTCCTGCCTTCCACCCCCAGCAGGCGTCCATCCCAAGAGTTATGTTTGGTTTTTATATCACAAACAAGGGGGAAAAGAGCATCTCTTTGAAGAAATGCTGGCTTTGCATTCATAAATTACATCTTGCTCTTCCTTTAATAGGCAAATAAATATTCCCTGCTCTTGGTGCTGTATTTACCAAGAGGCAGAACTGAATTTATGTGCAGACAACTGCCACGTGCCTGGCAGACGCGCCGCCCCTGCCACCCTGCCACCCCTGCCCGTGGAGGGAGAGCAGCTGCCCAACTCCCCCCGGAACCCTCCGCAGTTGGCAGCCCAGGAAAGTTCCCAAAGCGCCTGCAGGTCAGGTGTCCCCCAGCAGGGGAGCAGCTGTGGCCCCTGGGCCCCTACGGGCTGCGCCTGATCTTTCTGGCCAGTTCCAGGGCAGGAGTTAATTACTGCCCGAAATGCCATCCCCTTCCAGCTGTTTAAATACCAAGGACGTATTTTAAATGGAGGGGAAAATAATGTTTTTACAGCAGAACGGCTGCTAAATATCGGCGCTCCTCACCTCACACTCACGATGTGGCCGTCGGGACGCTTCTGCAGGGAGGCCTTCACCACCCAGGCTGTGTGCTCCCGGTACGTCATGACGCGGCTGTAGGGGAGGGGGCACGCTCAGCGTGGGGCTTCCCTGAAGGACGTCCCCACCCTTCGGGGCTCTCACCGGGAGCTGCCCAGGTCTGCCTGTGCCAGCGGGTCCGCAGGCCCTCGCCCGTCCGCTCCCCACGAGGGGCTAGTGCTCACGCAGGGTCAGAGCCCCCTCCAGGTGACCTGCTCCAGCAGAGACCCCCTGTGTCCTCCCCAGGCTGGCTCAGGGCTGGGCCCTAGGTCACCGTCAGGCCGCTGGAGGACTGTCTGAGCCACATGGAAGCTGCCCAGAGACGGGGGCCAGGCGGCCATCGCAGCGCTCCCAGGCCCTGCCCACCCTTTGCTTTGCTTCCCTCAAAACTCCTCATTGTGTCTCCCCGATCTGTGCAGACTGGAGGGTCAGGAATGAGAATCCCAGACCTAAAGCTGATGAAGCTGGAGGCACAAGGACCTTCTGGGAATCCTCGCTCTGTGCTGGGTGAAATTTACTTCTGCTGCATGAGCCGTGTGGGCCAAGACGGACTGTCCCCTGCTAGGCCCGGACAGCACCTGCCCACGGGGGTGCTCAGCAGAGGCAGTGCCCGGGGCTGCTGTGCCCACGCGTGTGCCCTGTCCCCTGCCAGACATGGACAGCACCTGCCCACAGGGGTGCTCAGTGGAGGCAGTGCCCAGGGCTGCTGTGCCCATGCGTGTACCCTGTCCTCTGCCAGACGCGGACAGCACCTGCCCACAGGGGTGCTCAGTGGAGGCAGTGCCCAGGGCTGCTGTGCCCACGTGTGTGCCCTCAGACATCCCTCCCCAGACACTTGCTGCATGACCCAGGAGGTGGCAGGCAGTGGCAGTATTCTGTTCAGGTGAGCTCAGAGGTGGCAGGTGCCTGGCTGCGGCCCTGCCTCACCCCGACAGCCTCTGCCTCCAGTCCACTGGCTCATCCCACATGGCCTGTCCCCTGTGCTCCTCCATAGGCTGTGGGGTGGACCTCTGTGGGGCAGACCTTTGTGGGATGGGCCTCAGTGGGACGGGCCTGGCGGCTTTGGGGAGCCCAGGACTGGCCTAAATACGCCACTGCAGGCTCCTGGGGAAGCTTTGCATCTCACTGAGAAACCTGGACCCAACCAAATGGCAGTGACACGGCCCTACCACCTGGAAGGTACCCTGCCAGCACTCGGGGAGGGAGAGGACAGGGTCAAGGTACCATTCGCTGAGTGCCATCCTTCTGTCGTAGACGCGGATGGAGCCGTCACCGAGGCCAGCCACGATGAGTGAGCGGTGGGAATCACAGGACAGACTCGTCACACAGCTGTCTGCGCCCGTAGGGATGTCCTAGAGCCAAACACAGGCAGCCCGGTGAAGACCGGGGCACCGAGCCACCCTCCCTGCTGTCCTGCAGCGCCAGGACCCCTCTTGCTGCCTGCCTGGCTGTGGGGATCACCCTCCCTGGCTGCAGGGGCCTTTCTCTCTATCCAGGGAAGCATCAAAGGCCTGGGGAGCCCAGGAGTCCCAGGGAGAGGCAGGGGCTGGCAGGACAATGAGTCACGCCCTTATCCCTTGGCCCTGGAGGGACAGCCCTGAGGCCCTGAGGCGCCTGGGACCCAGCCAGTGAGGCAGAGGCCAGCCCCACCCCGAGCGGAGGCCTGCAAACGCCTCTGGGAAGGACTGGCTGTCAGTGCCAATTAAACTTCCAACCTCTCTCTGTTTCCTAAAAAGGAAAGCAAAGCACATTTTGGCAAGGACTCCTCACTGGCTGCGTCTCAGAACTTCTAATGAGCTATGGGACGAGTCCAGGAGGGGTCATCTGGCTCCCTCGGGGGCTCTAAGTGCTGGAGAAGCGGGGGCGGGGGCGATGGCACCTGCCAGGGACGCAGGAGGAAAAGGGCCACGAGAGGGAGAGCGCTTTCCACGCACGATGGGCGGTGCTGGGTTGTGCACTCCAGGAGGAAACACAGGCGTGGGGATGATGGGGCCAGACCCCTGCGAGGGGCAGAGCCGGCTCTGGGAGCACCTGCTGCGCTCTGTGCCTCCACCCACCTCTGCAGGAACAGCACCTGCCCCGCAGGCCACCTGGGCCTCTAAGCCCCCACTGGTGACCAGACCCTGAGGATCAGGGTGTCCACGCTGTGCCCTGAGGGCTACGTCTCGTGTGGAGCCACAGCTCCAGACAGGTGCAAGACCCCCCCACCCCAAAGAAGGTGCCATGAAAGCTGCTGGTGCCTCGAGGGATCCACGGTCACGTCAGAGGGGAGGCTGCCCACACGGGAAGGCCTGGGCCAGGTTCTCGGGCTGCTGCTGCCCAGAGCAACCACAGCAGCTTCGAGCAGCTGAGGGTGCCCAGGCCTCCCCTCTGCTGGGCCTGCTCCACACCGCCCTCTACGGCAGCAGGGCTGAGCCATCCCTCCTGACACCAGATGGCCTGCCCGGGAGAGAGGCTGGGTATGGCCTCTGTGCCACACCTCTCCCTGGGGACCCAGAGGAAGGGAATACTGGCTCTAAAGCCACCTCAGGCGCTGCCCCTCACAGTATCTGTGGTCTCGCCTCTGCTCCAAATGAAGTCAATGCAGTTAGATTTCTGCTGAGCGCGGCCTGCTTAGGTCTCTACCACTTTTCCAGGCTGTCTTGGGCAAAACCAATGTACTCCGCTTTTTGTCAAAACTGAAAATAGCAGATGCTTTAAGAAGCAAAGAGGCTTCTGGCCGGGCGCAGTGGCTCACGCCTGTAATCCCAGCACTTTGGGAGGCTGAGGTGGGCGGATCACGAGGTCAGGAGATAGAGACCATTCTGGCTAACACGTGAAACGCCGTCTCCACTAAAAATACAAAAAAAAAATTAGCTGGGCGTGGTGGTGGGCGCTTGTAGTCCCAGCTACTCGGGAGGCTGAGGCAGAAGAATGGCATGAACCCAGGAGGCGGAGCTTGCAGTGAGCCGAGATCGCGCCACTGCACTCCAGCCTGGGCGACAAGGCAAGACTCTGTCTCAAAAAAAAAAAAAAAAAAAAAAAGAAACAAAAATCTTCTGTCTTCTGTAGCGGCTCACACCTATAATCCCAGTGCTTTGGGAGGCCAAGGCAGGAAGATTGCCGGAGCCAGGAATTCGAGACCAGCTTGGGCAAATACTGAGACCCCTGTTTCTACAAAAAGTTAAAAAAATTAGCCAGGCGTGTGGGTGCATGCCTGTAGTCCCAGCTACTTGGTGGTGGGGGGGGGGGGTGAGGTGGGAGGATCACTTGGACCAGGAGGTTGAGGCTGCAGTGAGCTGTGATTGCACGACTGCACTCCAGCCTGGGTGACGCAGGGTGACAGAGTGAGACCCCATCTCAAAAGAAAAAAAAAAACGCCTCCAAATAATTAATCATTCTAATTTACAATTGGTCACCCTACTGATTTCTGACATTCCTTAATTTGCAGAGAGAAGACACTACTTGCAAACACTCAGAGCTGGCGCAGCCTGAGCCATACTGCAGCGCAGGGCTGGGTGTTGCAGTTCACCTTCATCCAGAGGCCTCAGGGAGCCCACGTCTCCTCCCAGCATTGTCCCGGCACTGTCCTCCCAGGCCCTGACTCCACCCCTGGGATGGCCAGGCCTCACCGCACACTTTGCTGGGTTCTGTGACGAGGACCAGCCCTGCACACACTGCCCCACAGGCCCAGGGCTTGGGGGACACCTGCATGGTTACCTGCACCTTCATCTCACGGTCTGTGTCCCAGATCCGGACGATCCGCACGTCTCCTGAGCTCATGAGGAGGCCGGTCTCCTGCTCCCAGTCCACCACCATCCCAGCTCCTGGAGAGATACAGTGGGACATGGCATCACCCCATGGGCCCTTGCCTTGGGCAGGCTTTGGGGCCTGCTCTGGGCAGCAATTTGGCCAGCAGCTACAAGGTACCCCTGCCACCATCGAGCCCATCTGGTGGGTCCATATGCCTCATATGAGCTCCCGCTAGGGACCCTGGTGTGCCCCACGTCCAGGCTGGGGTGACAATTCTGAGCTGGAACTCCCAAGTCCGGGCCGGGATGACAATTCTGAGCTGGAACTCCCAAGTCCAGGCTGGGGTGACAGTTCTAAGCTGGAACTCCCAAGTCCAGGCCGGGGTGACAATTCTAAGCTGGAACTCCCAAGTCCAGGCCGGGGTGACAGTTCTAAGCTGGAACTCCCAAGTCCAGGCCGGGGTGACAATTCTAAGCTGGAACTCCCAAGTCCAGGCCGGGGTGACAGTTCTAAGCTGGAACTCCCAAGTCCAGGCCGGGGTGACAATTCTAAGCTGGAACTCCCAAGTCCAGGCCGGGGTGACAGTTCTAAGCTGGAACTCCCAAGTCCAGGCCGGGGTGACAATTCTGAGCTGGAACTCCCAAGTCCAGGCTGGGGCGACAATTCTGAGCTGGAACTCTGAGTCTTCCCCTGACTCGACTATGCCCCAGGCATCGCTAGAGGGAGCAGAGCCTTCCAGGAACATCTGTCTAAGGTGTCCACTGTTCGGAGCAGAGCCTTCCAGGAACGTCTGTCTAAGGTGCCCACTGTTCGGAGCAGAGCCTTCCAGGAACATCGGAGCAGAGCCTTCCAGGAACATCTGTCTAAGGTGTCCACTGTCCAGAGCAGTGCCTTCCAGGAACATCTAAGATGCCCAACATCCGGAGCAGTGCCTTCCCGGAACGTCTGTTAGGTGCCCACCGTTCAGAGCAGTGCCTTCCAGCAACGTCTGTCTAAGGTGCTCACCATCTGGAGCAGACCCTTGCAGCGACGTCTAAGATGCCTGCCGTCTGGACGCCTGGGCAGAACTGGCAGGTCTGGGTGACTTTAGGAAGGCTGTTAAGGCTTGAAGATGAGGGTCCTCCTTTTGGCCCTATCAAAGCTTGAGGAAGCCGGTTCTTCTGAGACAAACAGGAGCTCGGCATGGGCCACGGGCCGGCAGCCTTCAGACAGCAAGGGGCTGACTCCCGACGGCTGGCGTCAGCAAGGGATGGACGGAGAGAATGGGGCAAGGGCTGCCCTTTGTGTGGGGATTAGACAGAGCAGAGCAACCCCCACCTCACGTGACGGCCTGTATTTAAAACCAGATTCAGTTCTAAAACTGTAATGATAACCATTTTAAGATACAGAAAGGAACACCATAGTAATCCTTGTACCCACCACTCAGCTCTAACTTTGCTAACATTTTACCATTGTTTGCTCTTTTTTTTTTTTTTCATAGAGAAGCATAATTTTAGACACAGTAAAAGCATCGTCTGCCCCTGCGCCTGCCTGGGAGGGCTGTCCCTTGGGCTGAGGGCGCCTCCCAGGGGCTGCTGAGGTTTTCCTGCTTACGCACGCTCATCAACAACGTAACATGCCTTCCACATTTCAAAAAACCTCTTCAGTGTCAAAATGGGGCCTATTTTCTAGCAACTTGCTTCTTTAATGTTAGGCTTTGAGGATTTATCTGGCCCAAGACACACAGCTCTGGTTAACTCATTTAATCTTGCGTTACCTTCCACTGTACAACTAACCCCGTCATTTGAGCTGCCCCTGGCTTTGTGAACCATGTCACAGTCAACAACTTCACGTGTCCTTGCGGGTGGAGAAGGAAGCGCCTAGAACGGAACTGCCAGTCATGTATCCTGCATGACTCTGATCTCCCCAGGGAAGGCCATTTCATTCCCCAAATGGGTGACCATCTACACTCTCGGCAGGACACACACAAGCCAATGTCCCCAAATCCTTATCGATGTGTGGTGTTTGCCGTTTTTTTTCACGACAGACAGTTGCACATATTTTTATATATATTCTGTAACTCGTAGATACTGCAAATATCTTTTCTTATTCTGCCACTTACATTACAACCGTGACATTTTTCTTGTGGTCATGAAGAAGTCTGTAGAGTCAAACCTATTGATGTCTTTACCCTCAATCTCTTGTTCAATCTGTCTTTTTGTTCCTCACTGTTAGGAAGATTTCCTCTTGATTTTTCTCTGAAAGGCTTTTACAGGTTAGGTCTCTCACTGTGATGTGTTTTGTGCATGGTGTGAGGTAGGGGTATCACTGCATCCTTTTCTATATGGCATCAGCTGTCCCAACACCATTTAGCAACATGGCTCCTTCCCTAGTGCGCAGAGGTACCCTGCCACTTGCGGCCCTTCTGGGCTCACTGCTGCGCTGAGGGCCCTGGTGCCTCTTGGCCTGGCTGCCCTGCAATTGCAGCTTCTTAATGCCGTCTGCGCCTCTTCAATATTGCCTTGGCTGGTCTGCATTTTATAAAAATCTCTCCTGGGAATATAATCAAAAGTGTATTAATAAATCCACAGATTAATTTGAGAACTGCCAATCTCCACAATGATGAGTCTTTTCATCCATGGCTATGGTGCCATGAACACTGCATGTGCCTTTTATAGTCTTCAATTAGAGTTTATGCTTTGATCTGTGAAGAAAGTGCATTTGTTGGATTCATTCCTAGGTATCTTGCAGTTTTTATTCCCGTTGTCTATGATTTCTTTCTTTCTTTCTTTCTTTTTTTTTGAGATGTAGTCTCACACTTTTGCCCAGGCTGGAGTGCAGTGGTGTGATCTTGGCTCACTGCAACCTCCGCCTCCCAGGTTCAAGTGATTCTCCTGCCTCAGCCTCCTGAGTAACTGGGATTACAGGCACCTGCCACCATGTCCAGCTAATTTTTGTATTTTTAGTAGAGATGGGGTTTCACCATGTTGGTCAGGCTGGTCTTGAACTATTGACCTCAGGTGATCCATCTGCCTCGGCTTCTGGGATTACAGGCGTGAGCCACCACGCCTGGCCCATGATGTTTTATAATTACATTTTCTAGTTGTTAATTGCTGGCATACATACATTCTTTATTTTACTTTTGAAATGCAGTCCCAGGCCAGATGTGTTTACACCTGTGATCCCAGCACTTTGGGAGGCCGAGACAGAGGATTGCTTAAGCCCAGGAGTTCAAGACCAGCCTGGGCAACATAGCAAGACCTTGTCTTTACAAATAATAAAAGATTAGCCAATGTAGCCCGGGCACAGTGGCTCACGCCTGTAATCCCAGCACTTTGGGAGGCTGAGGCGGGTGGATCACCTGAGGTCAGGAGTTCGAGACCAGCCTGGCCAACATAGTGAAACACCGTCTCTACTAAAAATACACAAAATAGCTGGGTGTGGCAGTGGGTGCCTGTAATCCCAACTACTTGGGAGGCTGAGGCAGGAGAATTGCTTGAACCTGAGAGGTGGAGGTTGCAGTGAGCCAAGATCCGCCATTGTACGCCAGCCTGGGCAACAAGAGTGAAACTCCGTCTCAAAAGAAAAAAGATTAGCCGTTGCAGTGGTGTGCGCCTGTGGTCCAGCTAGTTGGGAGGCTGAGGTGGGATGACCGCTTGAGCCCAGGTGGTTGAGGCTGCAGTGAGAGCAAGACCCCATCTCAAAAACAAACACAAACAAACAAAAAAAGAAGTGTAGTCCCTCTACTGTGATACACCTGAACCCAGGCAGGAAGAAATGTCCCAGCAGGTCAGAAGCACGAGCGCCGTGGTGGATCACAGGCTTTCAACTTGCAGCCCTGCTCCTCCGCTGGGAGGCCTTGTGAGCACAGTGAGGGCCGGTGTGCAACCGGGCGGGAGGGCACATACTTCCCCGTTTCTGCCCAGAAGAGCCCAGCTCCTGCTGCAGCTGTGCAGCCAACAGAGCCTGAGGACACAGAACTGGAGCCCCCTCCCTCAGGATATGCTGTTACCTACATTAATCACAAAGAATGCTTGCTGCCCACCCGGACATGCTCTTGGGAAGTGGCGTCTGGGTGACCGAGGAGGACACCGCCCAGGGTTCCTGGTGCATCCCTTTTAGTGGCTCAGTGCTGTCCTGCCTGGAGGCACGGCCATCCGGAGGCTGCGCCAGGAGGCCCTGAGGCCCCACTCTGAGACCTGGGGCAGATCCACAAGCACAGAGGGCTTGGCTTGGCACAGACATTTTCTAAGTTTCTCTCTGTTTAAGTGAGGAACTTATGGGAGCTGGGTGTGGGGCATGGGCCTGTGGTCCCAGCTACTCAGGAGGCTGAGGTAGGAGGACTGCCTGAGCCCTGAGAGGTCGAGGCTGCAGTGAGCCGTGATGGTGCCACTGCATTCCAGCCTGGGTGACAGCAAGAACCTGTCTCAAAAATAGATAAATAAGAATCTATGGGAAGAAACTGCTTTAATGGGCAGCAGGCCGCCTTCTGGAGTGGTGAGAATCTTCTGGAACTAGATAAAGGTGGTGGCTGCACAACTTGGAAAATGCACAGGCTGGGTGCAGTGGCTCACACCTGTAATCCCAGCACTGTGGGAGGCCAAGGTGGGAGGATCACCTGAGGTCAGGAGATCGAGACCATCCTGGCCAACATGGTGAAACCCCATCTCTACTAAAAATACAAAAATTAGCCAGGCGTGGTGGTGCGACCCTCTAGTCCCAGCTACTTGGGAGGCTGAGGCAGGAGAATCGCTTGAACCTGGGAGGCGGAGGTTGCAGTGAGCCAAGATCACGCCACTGCACTCCAGCCTGGGCAACAGAGCGAGACTCCACCTCAAAAAAAAAAAAAAAAAAAAAAAAAAAGAAGAAAAGAAAAAGAGAAGGGAGAGATGCATGGGTCTGGGCTCTGCACTTCTAGACTGCATGGTCACTTGGGGGGCAGCAGCCACGTCCCAGGCACGATCCTCCTGGTGACTCTGCCAGGAAGCGACACCTTGGGTCGGGAAGAACAGAGAGGTGCCCTGGGAACAGCAGTGACACGAGCAGAACAAACAGAGGGAAAAGGTGAGAACGAGCACATGGAGAACATTCAAGATGCCAGAAAACAAGAAACAGCCTCCAAAGCACCAGTCTCAGGGGTGACGTGGGGAGCCTGGCTTGCGTGTGCCTGAGCTGGGTGTGCCCAACTGGGCAAGCGGGTCCGGGAGAGGCGAGTGGGGGCTGGGGCAAGCGGAGGTCACGCCTTGGGCCTCCTGCAGGCTCCCTGCAGCAGAAGCTGGCGGAGGGCCTGAGCTCCTCAGTTCCAGGGGAGGATGAAACCTCTGCGGCTCCACGGATCCCCGTGGTGACCAGATCAGATGTGCTGTGGGCCCTCCGTGAGCACCTGACGAAGATGGAGAGCACCACTTCTGTCTTCAGCCCTTGGCCGTTCATGTGAGTTGTTTATTCCCTTAAATGTAATACCGCGGAGGGAAACCAACCTGCTAATACCATTAATCTATCAAATGCCAACACTGGGTCCTGGTGACTGTGACTTTCAAGAAGAGTGGTGGCTGTGCTGTGGTCAGCATTCACGGCTCTGGATTTAGGCAGTGTGACTCCAATCGATGACAAATAATTACCCTCAGGCCCGTGAGACATCCCCCAGCAACCTGCTGGAACTCGGGCCCTCCCTTGACACCGTGACCTCATTGGGTGAGTGCCGAGCCGGCGTCCCAGGAACGCCCACCTGTCCCTGCACGTGTGTCTGTGTCCTGGTGGCCTCTTCTTGTAAGGACACGAGGCACATTGGGTTAGGGCCACCCTGGTGACTTGGTTTGACCTTAATCACCTCTGTAAAGGCCCTGTCTCCAGCACATAGGCCGACGTACCCGGGTAGGACAGTGACATGCCGGCATGGGGGACATGGCACAGCCCGACCCTGGGCCTCAGGTGTCCATCTGAACCAGAGGCTCTGGGCAGCTGTCCCTCGGCCCGAGCGTCCTGCCATGGAGGGGTATAGTCAGGTGAACCCTAAGTCCTTTTTCAGTTCAGATTCTGTGATGCCGAGTGAACTGGTTTGAACCAGTCCTGGACACATAGCAAAGCCGCAGCAGCAGTGACACACCCGCCTGCTGCCCACACCCAGGTTTCCCATGTCCTGTGCAACCTGAGGGAGCCCAGAGCTGTGCCTGGTGCCCCAGCCCACAGCTGGCACAGCCTTCGGGGACTGGGGCCTGGAGCTCTTACGTCTGGCGAGACGCCTCTGCTGCCTTCCCCCGCAGTGAGAGCCTCGTTCTCTGACCCCGAGACCCCTGAAGTGCAGCACAGGCTCCCACTCTGAAGGAAGCACTGGAGGGTCTGGGCCGAGAAGGCCGCTTTTCTCGTCAGTGCTGCTTCCTGATATGTAAGCTGGGCACTGCCATCCTGACCCGGAGAGACTGAGAGCCCGTGGGGCAGCACAGGCCACCAAGTCTTGTTTCCTGCAGCGTGGCCCGGTGTGGATGTGTGGATGCTTCTGGGGGTGTCAGGGACCCCAGGCCCAGCCGGGTGTGGACGTGTGGATGCTTCTGGGGGGTCTCAGGGACCCTGGGGCCAGCCGGGTGTGGACGTGTGGATGCTTCCGGGGGGTCTCAGGGACCCCGGGGCCAGCTGGGCATGGACATGTGGATGCTTCTAGGGGGGTCTCATGGACCCCGGGGCTAGCCACGGGTGTGTCCTTCCAGCACTGCATTTCCGGCAGGTCCGAGCCTTGGACAGGGAGGGAAGTTTTCACAAAAGCAAACAAGAGAAAGGGCAAGGCAGAGCCAGGGCTCAGCCAGGCGCTCCCGTGCTGAAGCCCAGCTCCTTCCATGGCACCACTGCCTCTGAGCGACCCCAGAAAAACAGCCTGGAAAGCCTATCAAACAGTGATCTTTCCTCTCTAGCAAATGACACAGTGTCACCAAAATTGGTCTTTTGGAGAGACACACAATGGCCGGTGAGTGGCCTGACCCCCAGGCTGGCCATCCAGCTGTCTCCCGGGACCCCTCCTGGACCAGGGCCCCGGGCTGGGGCTCACTTTTCCTGCCCTGTCCCAGGGAAGCTGTCATACCCCAGAAGAGGGTTGCCTCGCAGGGGAAGCAGAGCCCAGAGATCAGGACAGAAGCAACAGGAAAGGGCCCCCACGGAGTGCGGGGTGTGGATGATTTTTTTTGCTGGATGAAACTTAAGAACATGGCTACATTAAAAAAAAAAATCCAACGTTCGAGGCAATGTCCACCCTGGAGCTGCCCCCATGACGTCCCGAGGCACGTGAGGGTTGGCATCTCCCGGGACAGGTGCTCAGACAGAAGGGCGGAGACAGAGCCATGCAACCTAGGGCAGAACCAGGGCAGGCCCCACACGGAAGGCTGACCACGAGGTGTAAGGCCACATCCACAGGCCACAGACGAAGACACAGAAATCACAAACCGGCAGGAGCCGGCAGAGGGGGGCTGGCGGGGTAACGCGTTCACTCTGAGCATCGCCAAGGGCTGCAGGATCCGCTGAAGAGCGATGACTCCTAGAGGCGAATGCCTGGTGCTGCAGAGGGGCCTCTGGAAATCTAGACCCAGAAGCCTGACCCCGGGAGCCTCCTAACTCCTGCCTGAGTCCTTCCAGAAGGACCTGTGGGCCTGCGCCTCGCCCCGCACCCAGGCCGTGCAGCGGTGCAGGCAACACGCAGAACTGTACCCAGAGCCGGCACTGCAGCCACTCCGTCCCACCAGCCCAGGCATGCCAGCGAGCGCGTGAGGCCCCAGATGGCCATGTGCACCCCGACCCCCAAGGAGGAGTTAAATTTAGGTCCAAAGAGCAGACCTAATTTTAGGTCCAAAGAAGGACCCCGTGATGCGGGCCCTTTAGGCCCTGCCAGCAGTGATGCTGTCCCAAGCAGCACATGTCTGCAAGCCAAGGATGAAGGTTGGGGACAGGGGCACCCACGAGTGGCTGAGACCATGCCCAGGGCTGGGACTCCAGCCAGGCAGTGCACTCAGGGACCTGGGGCTCTCACGCTTTCGGGGACATTGGCGGGGAGCTGTTGCTTTAGGATTCTGGGGACTCTGAGGTGGAGCAGCCTGTTTAGAGACAGCCCCAGAAGGGCCTTGGAATTCCGAGTGCGTCCGCAGCCCCGGGAACACATTCTGCTCTGGGGAGGAGCCGGGCGGACCCACCTCGCGTCGTTGGCAGCATGTCCGAGAGCCCCTGCCACGCGGTCACCATCTCTGGGTTCTTTTCCAAATCAGCAAAATTCTTCCAGACCCTGATGGCACCATCGTCTGGGGAGGGAGAGAGGAAAGGATGTGAACCAGGCCCCTCGATGGCCTGGCCTGTGCTCTGTGCGTGGTGGTAAGAGCCCTTCCTGGCAGACGTGCTGCAGTGACCCTGGGCGGCCAGCCTGACTCACTACCCGTGGTTCCAGATCTCTGGGTGCCCACCGACTGGACTCTGTCCTCAGATCCATATCTGGGCGAGCCAGCAGGAGGAGTCGCAGCCCAGGGGATGGGAGACCACAATCCTGTCCCACCCTGGCCACAGAGCTCAACTCTGAGGTTTGGCTGCCCTGGGAGCCGGGGCTGCCCTTCCTCCCTCCAGCTCCAGGGCATCGGGTTCCCTGGAGGGAGGCAGGCGGGTGAAGCTCGGTTGGGTGGGTGGGGCTGCGTTTTACCCTCTGGTGAGCCAGCCTGTGCCAGGGAGCAGAACGAAAGGCCAGCTTCACAGAGGACACCAGCACCCTCCGCCCCATTCCTCTCTGTGCTCCACAGAGAGAGTAGCCTTGACTTGAAGGGACAATGCAGACGTCTGGGCTCTCCGCCTAAGACGTGGGCAGGGACGCACTGCCCTGCTCTTCAGGGCTTAGAATGGAGGAAACGGCCCTCTGCATCCTCCAGCAGACAGGCAGGGAGGTCGGCCTGGGTGTGGGGAAAGCATGCGGGCACTCTGAGCCTTCCGGGAACCACATCCGCACCCCCTGGCCTCACCAGCCCCTCCTGCGTGACCCTCAGGCGCTCTTCAAGCCCCAGCTGATTGCCCTGGTGGACGACGGCCTCACCTCCACCCACCTGCCTGTCCCGCTCTCTGCTTTCCATCGCATACACCAAACGTTCCTGGTTTTGGAGCTGGAGCCCTTCTACTGCTGTCTGGAGCCCGTTCTGCAAAGGACCCTGGCCCTGCTCCAGTGCTCGCTCTCTCAGCCAAGGAACTGCCCTCTCCCTCTGGTGTTGGGAGATGCTCACATCTGGTCTCTCCGAAACCGCTGGCTGAGCCTGGCTGGTCCCTTGCCCCCACCGGCCCCTGCCCCGACTATGCATCTCCTCCCGGTCACGTCTGACAGCTACAGGGACAAAGACGGGCTTTCGACATCGGTTGATGCTACTTGGTCCTGAGGGGGCAGCGCTCGGAGGAGGGGCTGCACGAGGACACGTCCCCATGGCCACGCCCCTCACCAGGAGCCCGCAACCGCGTTGAGAGGGCTGCGCACTTGTCAGCACAACCGACTCGACACTCTCAGAGGCTCAGGTGTCCAGGGGCTGCGGCCGACAGGGACAGGCTGGGTGGGATCCGGGTGTCGGCCTTCACTTCTCTCAGCCGTGCTGGCCTCCCCCGCCTGCCTCCCGCCCAGCGCTCTCTAGTCTCCACAGGAAGTGCAGTGGGACTGACAGCGACTTCTCATCAGCAACAGGCAATGGACACGTGTTTTCAAAGCGCTAAAGGAAAATGACTGTCAACGTGGGGTAACTGACATGGAAACAAACGATTGTTCCAAAGTGAAGATGAAACTAAGACATTTCGGACCCCTCCAAAAAACCCCCCGAAAACCCAAGAAAACCAAAACCTGAGTGAGACCCACTACGGCAATGAACCACTGGTCAGCGACCATGATGGTCAACGATGTCCTTTCAGGTGCAGGACGGGACTGGAGGAGGGTGAGTGCCAGCTCCCAGTGGGGACAGCAACTGGCAAATGAGCCAGCGATGCCAGGAGACCCTGGCCGGGGAGGACCTGGCACGTGTTGTGGCTTGGGGCATCCTTCCCTGATTCTCGGGTGTCACGTGGGACCCACCGGGTCTCTCACAGGGGTTTAAGGACAGAGGCTGTCAGAGGCTTTTCCTGGTGCTGGAAGGGCTAGAGGACTGAGATGAGAAGACAAGTCCCTGGAACCCTCAAGGATGGGGTCATCTTTGCTTTCCTGTCTCTGCTGCTGAAGCCCTTTCCCTCATAAACCTCCCCACTTCTGAATGACAGTGGCCCTCGCGTGTGAGCAGGGCTTTCTGTAAGACAGATGTACAAACACATCTCAGGATCACACACCCTCCCCGCCACTCCTCCAGACCCTGGCTTCCAATCCTGGCTGTGCAAACCCCGCTCACCTGTGGCCGTCAGCAGAAGCGAGCAGTCCTGGCCGTTCAGATACTCCATGGCAGTGACCCTCGTGTACCGAGGGTTCCCATTGTGGAAATAATCCAGCTTCTCCCCTTTCTCCCAGTCCCAAAAGCTTAAGGGAAGAAGAGAGGAATAAAAAAGTCATTAGGAAACTGCAAACCCAAATGACAGTGAGATACCTCCTGAAACCCACCGGGCTGCTATCAAAAAACCACACACCACAGCCGGGCACGGCGGCTCACACCTGTCATCCTAGCTACTTGGGAGGCTGAAGCAGGAGGACTGTTGGAGCCTGGGAGTTCAAGACCAGCCTGGACAACAAAGTGAGACCTTGTCTCCAAACAAACAAACAAAGAGAGAATAATAGTGCTGGCAAGGATGTGGGAAATTGGAGCCACAGGCTGTGCGGGTGGGAAGGGAAGAGGATTTCCTGCAGAAAACAGCCTGGTGGTTCCTCCGAAAATTAAACAGAGCATCACCATATGGTCCAGCAATTCCACTCTGGGCGTATCCCCAAAAAACAGAAAGCAGGAACTTGAACAGATACTTGTACACCAATGTTCACAGCAGTGTTATTCACAATAGACAAAAGGTGGAGGCAACCCAGGTGTCCATGAACAGATGAATGATAAGACAAAGTGTGGTCCATCCACACAGTGGAATATTACTCAGCCATGAAAAGGAAATTCTGACGTGCTGTAGCTTGGAGGAACCTTAAAGACACTGCGCTGAGCCGAATAAGCCAGGCACAAAGGGCCAAATCCCGGGTGACTCCACTGGTATGAGGCTCCTAGCGTGCGCCACTTCAGAGAGACAGAAAGTGAAACACTGGCTCAGGCGGATGCAGGAATGGGGAGCTGGTGTCTGATGGGGACCAAGTTTTGGTTTTGTGTGATGAGAAGGTTCTGGAGACCAATGGGGGTGATGGTTGCATAACAATGTGAATACGCTGAATGCCACTGGCTGCGCACTCAGAACGGTTAAAATGGCAAATTTTAGGCTATGTATGTTTTACCACAATTTTTAAAAAGAGGAAAAAGAAATGGAGGTGTGAACCACAGAGATTTTATAAACTCTAAACTCTAAAAGGAACCCCCTCCCACTGCCCTCCCCCATGAAGTGGGTACTCTCTCCATCTCTAAGGGCGATATTTGCTGTGAGTTAAACTCACTTCTCTCCTGGGGCACCTAGCATCTTCTTACTGCTTGTCTATCACATGCTTGCTTCTGCGGGCAGGGCAGCAAGCTGGCCCCCCTGTGTACGCCTCTATTACAAGTGTCACTGGGGAGTCCCTGCCACTCCCCTCTGACCTGCAGGCAGGACTCTGGACTGTCCTTCAGTGACAAGGACAGGGCCAGGCCCGGGGCAGGTGTGGGTGGGGCTCGGTCAAAGAGGAGAAGGTGAGTAGGGCCGTTTCTCAGGAAACAGTGCTAAGGGCCTCGGGGTGAGTGCCTTGTATCTGCTTTTCAAGGAAGAGGAGTGGTGATCGGGGGAGAACAGGGCATCGCTGGGGCTGTCGGTCAGCCGGAAGGGAGGCCTGACCAGCGCGGTGCATACCAGATGCTGTCCTTGTCGGCTACGGCGATGCACGGCGTGAAGGGGTGGAATTTCACCACAGAGGGGACGCCGGGGTTCCTGTTCAGAAATATTTGGTCGTCCAATCTCGTAATGCCTGTCAAAAGAAACACACAAGAGTGGATCCAGGAGCCAGCATCTTTTCCCCCTTATTTATTTATTTATTTTTTTTGAGACGGAGTCTCGCTCTGTCGCCCAGGCTGGAGTGCAGTGGTGCAATCTTGGCTCACTGCAAGCTCCGCCTCCCAGGTTCACACCATTCTCCTGCCTCAGCCTCCTGAGTAGCTGGGACTACAGGTGCCCGCCACCATGCCCAGCTAATTTTTTGTATTTTTAGTAGAGATGGGGTTTCACCGTGTTAGACAGGATGGTCTTGATCTCCTGACCTTGTGATCTGCCCGCCTCGGCCTCCCAAAGTGCTGGGATTACAGGCGTGAGCCACCGCGCCGGGCCCCTTTTTTATTTTTTAAAGACAGTGTCCTGTTCTGTCGCCCTGGCTGGGGTGCAGAGTGGTGTGATCATGGCTCACTGCAGCTTCCACCTCCTGCTCAAGTGATCCTCCCGCCTCAACTCTGCATGTAGCTGGGGACATAGGCGCGCACCGCCACACCTGGCTACTTTTTTTTGTTTTTTGTTGAGACAGGGTCTTACTGTGTTGCCCGGGGTAGTCTCAAATTCCTGGGCTCGAGCGATCCTCCCGCCTCGGCCTCCTCAAGTGTTGGGATTATGGGCATACGCCCAGCCAGTAGCCAGTCTTTTTTTTTTTTTTTTTTGAGATGGAGTCTTGCTCTGTCACCCAGGCTGAAGTGCAGTGGTGTGATCTTGGCTCACTGCCACCTCTGCCTCCTGGGTTCAAGCGATTCTCCTGCCTCAGCCTCCTGAGTCGCTGGGATTACAGGCATCCGCCACCACGCCCAGCTAATTTTTGTATTTTTAGTAGAGACGGGGTTTCACCATGTTGGCCAGGCTGGTCTCAAACTCCTGACCTCAAGTGATCCATCCACCTTGGCTTCTCAAAGTGCTGGGATTACAGAAGTGAGCCACCATGCCCGGCAAGCCAGTCTTAATTTACAATAAATATTCACGACGTATCTTATCATGGCCGACGTCAATACCTTGGGGACTTGGAGAGGCACAAAGGAAGCAGAAGAAAAGCAGGGACTGAAGGGAGGGGCCTGACCACCTGCTGAGGAGCAGGCACATCTGGGCTCTTGGGGTGACGGCAGCCACTGAGTACCCAGAATGAGGGCCCAGGGGCCCTGGCCGCAGGGTTAATGCCTTTGCTCAAAACCCCCAAAGCTCCTGATGCCGAGCTGGACATGTGGAAGCATTCAGCCAATACTTGTCAGCAGTGGTCAGGTTTGTACAAATTTATCTGGGTCAGATTATATGAAGAAAGTGCTAAAGTTTCAGAATAAGCTCGGTAGGGCTCTGATTCGTAACAGACTTAAGGAGGAGACATGGGTGTGGTCGCCAGGATCCACATTGCAGCCAAAGTCCGGGGGTCTTTCAGTCTAGAATGGTAACTATGAACTTCCTTGACTGAGGGATCTATTACAGAATCACAGATTTAACAGAAGAGGGGAACGTGGACTTAACCACCAGGCCCCCAAACACGAGCACTAGGAAGTAAGTCCCTTGTGACTCTAAAAGGCTTTTTTCTAGAAGGAACCATAAAAGGAAGCTAAAAATGCAGAGGGCGCAAGATGGATTCCAACACATCCTGGTGACTGAAAGGGCAGCTGGGGATCTGTGGGTGCATAAGCCTCATTGTCTGTTGTGGCACCAAGGACACAAGCTGGGCTGCCTCCTGGCCTTGGCTGCGGTCACCTGTGTGGCCTCTGGGCAACCAGGAGGGTGTCTTGGGGACCCCCAAGCCTTCCTCAGCCAGAGACATAGCTCCAGGTGGTGCAGAGAGACACCGCCTGGCTCTTACTAACCGTGTCCTCACCTGACTGGCTCTTACTAACCGTGTCCTCACCTGACTGGCTCTTACTAACCGTGTCCTCACCTGACTGGCTCTTACTAACCGTGTCCTCACCTGAACTTCTGGTCTGGCTCAGAGGACCGTTGCCCGCCTCCAGTCTTCCCTGTGGGGAGTGGTGGGCTTGTGCTCTGGCAGGAAGTGAGATAGCCAAGTATAAAGGGGTCCCCAGAGAAACTCCCACCAGCCTGCACACTGGGACAACGGGGGGAGCCACAGAAGTTGGCGCCCTTTGCAGCAGGAGGAGCCCAGCCTCCCGATCTGGGGTAGAACCTGGGATCCAATCTGCGAGGCGGGAAGTGCACCAGCAGGACTCCGGCTTTGCGGGGAGGCCCTGTTTCCCGTTTTTTCCTTCTCACCCAATAAACCCTGCCCTTCCCACCCTTCAAAGTGTCTGGGAGCCTAATTTTTCATGGTCATGTGACAAAGACCCTGTTTTTAGCTGAATTAAAAAGTCCTACAACAGAAGGAGCCTACCGTCGGGGTGCAAGGTCAAAGCCGCGCGACTTGGGCACTCTGCTGCAGGCTGCTCTGAACTGGGCTTAAGCACAGCCAAAGCCGCCCACCTCCAGCAGCTGACAGCCCCTCCGCTTGTGCCTGGCACTGTCCAGGTGGCACCAGGGCCACGGAGTCTGCGGGCTGAAGCCTCACTGATGCCTGGTGTGTGCTCGGCACCTCGGGTGAGCTACTGTTTCCAACAATGTCAGTCCCCAGCAAACACCCAGAACCACGGAAAGGAAATGAATGCCACGTTATACAAGGAGAGGCTGCACTCACAGAGGCAGGCAGGCCCGAAGGCTTTGGTGCGGCGGCAGCACCGTGTTACCCTAGTGGTGCCTCCATTCCCAGCTGCAGGGAGTTCTGGACGGAGTTTGGGCATAATTCTAAGCACTGAAGGACAAAGGGAAACCCCACCCAGCCCACGCATTTGGTACGTTTGAAAATCAGTGCGTGACAGCCAAGGTCGTGAATGTTGCCCAGGAGAAGGCTGAAGAGCCGGGCAGGGGCCTGCGTGACACAGGGCTTTCCCAACCCCGTCTCCTGGGCGACGCCGACTTCTCTGGTTCTCTTCCATCTACAGGCATCAATTCCTCCTTTTTCTCAATGCTCACATCTTTCCCAGCACACAGTTGGCTCCTTAAATGAAAATAAACGCCTGCACCGAATCCGAATTCCGAGGACAGAGGACTGGGAGGAGGGCGCGGCCTCACTCCTCAGTGACTCCCGGCACTACGCCTGCTGGCACCACGCCTGCTGGCACCATCCCCTGTGTCTTGAGGCCTCATTTGGTGGTGTCTCCAGCGGCTCAGCAGCTCCTCCTTTGTGTGTCTGGACAAACTCTGGTTTACAAATATATTCTTTTTTTTGGTCTAGAAATCTCGGTTTTGGGTCTCGAATGCCGGCTCTGTTTCGCACCCTGCTCAATTCTGACCACAGGCTCCAGGCCAGAGCATCACCTTGGCCATCAGGGGCCAGCTCATCTTCAGATGTTGAACTGTGTGAGGCAGACTCAGCTCCCAAGCCTGTCTCAGGCAGCAGGCAGCCCCCGTGTGCTGGCCATCCCAGCTAGCAGGCTGGGGTCCTAGAGAATCGCTAACCTCCAGGAAAACAGCCTCCTGTCGCCGCCACCTGGAGACGCTCATCCAGCAGGGTCTGTTCTCTCTGCTGGAGAAAGCCACCCTGGCTGCAAGGTTCAGCGGCGGCCGCCGGGGCAGCACGCACCGGATTGCAACATGCGATGCTTTAAACCTGGTCTGCCGCCAGCTCTTCAGATGCACAGAGGGCTACAAACAACCACAATTAGCTTTCAGCACAACAGCCACCGTCTGCGTTAATGCGAGATGAACCGCAGTCTTTCACAGAGAGAGCTGCGTGGGAATGCGCTTCAGAAACGTTGCTGGTACCAGAAGTCAGCAGTGTTTTCGGTGATCAGCAGAGCAGAGGTGTGAGCCGGGCCTAGGCACGCTCGCTGAGGACGCGCTCATGGCGCCTGTGCTGCCTGCGGGCAGGGCCCTCGGCTTTGGCAGGAGGGAGGACATCTGTCCTACGGGTCATCAACCTCAACTTCAGAAAGTAACCCATAATAATCTCCAGAATTTTACAGGACAAAGATGCAAGGTCAAAACAATAAACCTGCAGACTGGGGTCAGAGTCCTTGACTTTTGATGGTGCTGATTTGGTTGGGGGCAGCTTGAGGTCCCCCAGCCAGAGCTGGCTCAGTGGTGGGAGCCTGTGGCCGCGAGGGCAGGGGGAGGAGTGCGGAGACACCACTGCTGCTCCGTGCCCTCAGTGGGGCTGTAGGGCTGGGCCTGGGCCCCTGTACTCTCCTGGATCCTGGGGAGAGGCCAGGGTCCCTGGGATGGGGCTGCCTGACACCCTCATTGCTGTGTTGACTCTCAGGGCCTCCCTGCTCCCCACACAGTCTCTGTGACCGGGGCCGCCTGCAGCCTGGATCCCTTCCGCAAGGAGCTCCCTCCGCTGTCTGCGGCAACAGACACCGCCCCCTCCAGGGCTGCTCCCTGCCCCTCCACCCCGGGTGCAGCTGGGAGAGCAAACAACAAGGTAGGTGAAGGGAGCGATTTGGCATCTAGTGGCAAATCTGGGAGAAGGTTTAGGAAAATCATGACTGAGATGTGGGGTGACAGAGCTGGCCACCATTTCAGGGACAAGTGGAGGCCAGCTGAGGAAAGCAGGGCCTGGCATTTTCACTTCCTGTTTCCAGGGAAGGATGCGCCATGTGTAGGGCCTGGCGCAACGACACCTGTCCGGGTGGGGAGATGTGGGCTCTCAGAGGCCTTCCCTTCCGGAAATGTCAACATGCAAAGTTCCGCCTCCATGAGTTCCACCTGCGCTGATAATCCCGAGGGCTGAGGGCTGCCCTTGCAGAGGAAGAGGCAGGGTCCCGGGAGAGCCCTCTTCCCAGGCGGTGGCTGGGTTCCCACCCGGCCCCTCCCCTCCCCACTCTGGGCTGCAGAACCTTGAGGAGCAGCAGCTTCATCTCCACCAGCCTTGATGTGCTTATCTGCAAGGGAGGTGGGGTGCGGGGCGGGTCTGTCGTGGGACAGTGGATGGCTGGAGAAGGTTGTGCGTGGGCCGCGGGGGGCCTGCTCACAGGGGACCCTCGCCCCAGGCCCCACCCCCGGAATGAGCCCCTGGCTGGCTGTGCGGGTGCCCTTACCCTTCTGAATGACTTGCTGGGCCTGCCTCCTGACACGGCTGTTTCGCAGGAACCGCCACTCCCGCTCCTTGCGGATCTGACTCTCCAGGTCGTGCTCTTCTGGGATCTTCAACAACAGAAAACACCCAGTTAAGCCCAGCGATGAAACAGGGTTGTCTCTTGGTATCAATGGGGTATGGGTTCTAGGACCCCTCGGATAGCAAAACCTGCGCGGCTCAGTCCCCAATACGAAAGGGTGTGGCATCTGCGTACAAGCAGAACACATCCTCCGGCACACCTCAAACCCTCGCTAGCTTGCCCGCCATACCCGACACAGTGTCAACGCTGTGTAAATAGCTGCTATGCCGTATTTTTAAAATTTGGATTGTTTCTTGTTGTATTGTTATTTTAAATTTATTTTTGTTATTTACATTTGTTTTTTTATCCAAAATTGGTTGAATCTGCGGATGCAGCACCTGTGGACATGGAGGGTTGGCTGTAGTTATTTTCAGATGAAGGCACCTCTTTCTCAAAGGCTGAAGGCTTTGGGCTTCTCGTCTGGCCAGTGCACCAGAGGCACGGGCTGTTGTGGGTCCTGTGTCTGCTACAAAACACATCGCTGGTCCCTCCCCGGAGCTGGGAGAGGCGCTCTCCACGCCTGTGTTCACTAGTGTGGGGGCTCTGAGACCCTTGAGTGAGTGGCCTGTGAGGCTGACAGGTGTATGATGGGGACCAGGGCCTTGGGAAACGCCTCCCCAGGGAATGGGGGGCACTGAGGTCAGCACTGAGCAGCAGGGCAGGGGGGCACCGAATGCCGCTTCAAACACTGAAAACACAATCAGGAGGCAGGTGCGCTTGAGGAGACACTGCCTTTATTCTCTCTCTAATGCCAAAGGGAACCAGGCAGCTGGCTGGAAGATGAGGGAGCTTACGAGACAGAAGGAAGACAGCCTCATGAGAGGCCAGGCCGGGCCCCGAGAGAGTGTGGGACCTTCCTGGGCAGCAGAGGGGGTGCCACTGGGCTCCTGATGGTGGAAGAGCTAGGAGGGTGCTGAGCTGCAAGCCTGGCTGGGGTTAAACTAACTCGTGAGAACTTCAGTGCCTTCCCTAATGAGACAGCTTCAGAAAGACCAAGTTTATTTTCACTTGAAATATGCAGACGCTAGACATGCTGCTGCCCTCTCTTCCCTGAGCAAAGGTCTTCATTCACTTCAGGGCCTTTGCGTGCATGCGTGTGTGTGCGTGTGTGCGAGTGCGTGCATGTGTCTGTGTGTGTGCACGCACATGTGGGTTGGGGTGTGCACGTTCAGCGTCTAGGAGAGGTCCACACTTGGCAAATACTAACTAGGATTTAATTGACTTTCCGCGGGAGGATGGCCACTTGTCTGGGTTACGCAGATGCATTTCCTTAAGCATACATGCCGTCCAGTCAATCTGGCTAATTCTGTTCCTTGCTAAGAAACTAAGACTTGTGAAGACCCAAAATATAAAATAAATGAAATAAACAAGGTAAGAACCCTAATTCCTTTTGGCTAAAAGCAACTCTGTCTCGACAAAGGAAAAAGAGAGCCTGCATTAGTTATTAAAAAGTCGCTTTCTCTGATAGAAGAAATGGGAATAAAGACTATGGCGCATGGCCGTGTTTGCGTCCTTGCACGTAAATGTGGCGGAGAAAGAAAACGGTTTCTCCGTGTGGAGTTTTAGGCGGTCGTTGTAGGTGGTTATCATGTGCAAATGCTTACAGAGCATTCTTTGTGTCTCTTCCTCGAATGCTTTGTGTCAGCTCTGATTACAAAACAGAAACAGGCAAGCCCCAAACCTCATGTCTGACCCCGTGCTCATGGGTGGCTGTGGCTCAGTTCCTAGCATTTGATTGCTCTGCTTCCTTCTTTTTCTTCTTAAAAGTCACAAAACCACACTCGATAAAACAGCAACAACACAGCAAAAAAGACATCCAAACCCGGAAACAGTAACCACAAAAGGTGTCAAATGGCTCCCTCCGCACATTTTCTGATTTAGAAATAATCCCGCAACGGCAAATGGGATAGACTGTGGATTCTTAGCAACCAGTTTCACTTGACGACAATCCTGAGCTTATTAGAAAAGAAATGACAAATGGTAAATAACATAGAACAGTAATAAGAAAAAACCCGCGGTGGAAAGACTCAAAGCTGTGCAGGAACAGAGACATTGCACTTTAATGAGACTCGGGCTTCTCTGGGAATAAATTAGAGGAAGAGTCTAGAAGGAACTTTCGAGTGGGAAGGGAGAGGAACTGATGGGAATTCCAGCTCCTTGGCCCGGCACTCTATGGTCCTGGGCCTGAGCTCAGGCAAAGAATCCAGACGTGGGGGGTAGAAATGGGGCGGCTTCAGAGCCTCAGCTCCAAAGACAACAAAGACGACTGCAAGGTTGAGAGGGGGCCCATGCCAGAACAGGGAGGGGCACAGGACGCCCGGAGACAGGAGCTGAGGGGTTTCAGGGGGCCCCACACTTGTCCTGTTGCCACGGCACTGCAAGGGCCCTCTCCCGGCCCAGGGGCTTCTGCCTGTAGGGGTAGGGGCCGCCACTTCCCTAATCTGAGCTCTAGGAGAGAGCCCACAGCCTTCCTTTACAGCCCTTGCTGGGCTGGGAAGAGACTTTCTGAACGGGACGCGGTTCCGGAACCACCCCAAGTGTCTGTGTCAGGACAACCAGCTATGACCACGAGGGTCACAGGACAAGCATGGGCAGAAGTGGAGGTGCGGCGTGAGGCAGGAGGGAGAGCGGTGGATGGAGAGGCCAGGGGAAGGCAGAGATGCCGTGGAAGATGCGGGCACCCACCCTGGGAAACTAGGATGTGACCGCCGCTCAGCACGGAGGCAGCAAATGACACCGCAGCTCTTCATCATCGGCTCTGTCGCCTCCTCTCCACCTGTTTCTCTTCAGGCTGAATAAAGGCTTTTCAGTAAAAAAGGGCCCAGGCCCAGTGCAGGCTGAGCCTCCCTGTAAACAGAGCTCCTGGAGGCTGTGGGTGCCGCTGATCCTGTTACATGATGAGGATCTTGACACTCCTGTACCTCTTGGCTTCCACTCAGACAGAAACCAATTACGATTCTGAAGCCTCCCACAGAGGCTTCAGCTGAAAGCCAATGAAACACAACTCCTTTCCTGTTGCAAAGAAAAACCTGGGGCTCAGGAATAAAGGGAGATTAGAGGTTCCCCAGAAGACTTACGGGAAAGCAGCAGTTTGGGGCAGTTTTGGGATAAATTCTTATCCGGGGAATCTGGGAGCCTTAGAGCTGAGTCTTATCTTCAATCCCTCTGAATTTAGAAAGGTTCAAGGTGCAGGGGATAAAATTCAAAACAGGTACATGACTATCAAGATTGAGAAAGACTTGGGTGAAGGCAAAAGGGGAGAGGCACCCATGGGAAAAGATCGCTAACACATTAAACGCTCACACTGCCAGCTCCCTCCCTCTCCACCCGCTTAGCTCCTGATGACCTGAAGTGAGGGCAAATTTGCCTCTGTGATGTGCTTTTCCCCTTGACGCTTTTTATTATTTTCCCCACGGTTTAGCAACAAACTATCCCCTCCCCACTGAACAATAAAGTCCCCTCCGTGGACAGAGGCAGCAGAGGAAGAGGCGGAAGAGGTAGTGGTGTGCGTCGTGAGTCCACAGGCAACAGAGGTGATTTGATTCTGCCAGTGTCTCGTGTACATTACGTCCAAGGACACAGCCTTTGTGTTACCACAAATCGCCAAGCTGTGGAGGGGGGAGAAGCTCTGAATGAAGCTCGGAGCTTGCTATGCACGTTCACTCCTCAACAAGGCATTTACATCATCTTTCATGTGACTTCAGCACAAGAGGGAAAAGAGTTTCTTCTCCCCGCAACATGAGGTTGATGAAGATGTAACTTACGTACAGTGAATTTCGCCCTCTGTAGGTACAGGCGGAGTTTTGATAAATGTGGAAGATATAGAACAGTTCCACACAGTTTTGCCTTCCCTGGAATGTTGTATACATGGATCATACAGGATACAGTCTTTTGAGCAGCTTCTTCCATTTAGCATGATACACTTGAGATGCATCTGTGCCACTGCGTTTATCAATAGTTTATTTAAATATTGTTCTGATGAGTCTTTCATTGTATGGTTGTATCAGCTTCTCTCTTTACGAGGTGAAGGAAACTTGGGTTGTTTCCAGTTTTTGGTGACTATGAATACAGTCACTATAAACATTCACATACAGGTTTCTGAATGAACATGTTTTCACTTCTCTTGGTGAATATCCAGGAGTAGAATGGTTAGGTTGCATGGTAGGCATACGTTTAACTTTGTAAGAAACTGACAACCTTTTCCAAGGTGTCTGTAGCATCTTGTAGTTGCAGTAGCCAAGAATGAGGGTTTCAGATGCTCCGTGTCCCTTGCCAACACTTGGTAGATTTTAAGATTCGAGACATTCTAACAGGTGTGTAGTGGGATCTCACTGCAGGGGTCCGTACTTTCCCGTGATTAAGATCCTTAACAATGAGCATCATTCCATGTCCTTATTTGCCACCTGTATATCTTCTTTGGTGGGGTGTCTGTAAAATCTTTCGCCACTGTTTTTTAATTGGGCTGCTTATTTCCTTTATCATGGAATTTTGAGGGTTATGTATAACAGCCACAAGATCTTAATCTTACGTGTTTTATAATTTTCGCTCTGTCTGTGACTTGTCTTTTCATTTTCTTAACTGTCTTTAAAAAGCAGTTTTTAATTTTGATGAAGCCCAACTTATCGTTTTTTTCTTTTTTGACTTGTACTTTTTGCATCTTATTAAAGAAGACATTGCCTAACCTACAAGGTCAGAAATATTTTTTTTTCTGTTTCCTTCTAGAAGTTTTATAGTTTTAGGTTTCACACTTAGGGCTATGATTCACTCTGAGTTAATTGTTGTATAAGGTGTGAAGTACTGATCGAGGTTCTTCTTTTTATTTTTTTTGACAACTGGTTGTTAATTGCTCCAGTACCAATGGTTGAAAAGAGTATCCTTTCTCCATTGAATTGAATTGTTTTTGCACCTTTGTTGAAAATCAATTGAACATATTTGTGTAGACCAATTTCTGGGCTCTCTATTCTGTTCCATTGATCTACGCATCTAACCTTTCACCAATCCCACACCATCTTGATTACTTTTTTTATAGCAAGTCTTGAAATAAGATAGTGTGAGGCTTCTAACTTTGTTCTTCTAGTTCAAAATTGTTCTGGTTATTTTAGTTTCCTTTTCCCCATAAATTTTAGAATAAACTTCTCTATTTTTACCAAAAAAAATCCTATTGGGGTTTTGATTGGGGTTGCATTGATCTATGTATCAATTTAGGGAGAACTGGAATCTTAATATTATTGAGTCTTCTAAACCAGGAGCATGGTCTCCATTTACTTAGACCTTTTCATTTCTTTCATCAGTGTTTTATATTTTTCAGAATACATATCTTTCACATATTTTGAAAAAAGATTTATACTTAAGTATTTCATGTATTTTGGTGCTATTTTGAATGGTACTGATGTTAAATTTCAATGTCCAATTGCTCATATGGAAATACAACTGATTTTTGTATAATGCCTTTTTTTTTTTTTTTGAGACAGGGTCTTGCAGTGCTGCCCAGGCTGGTCTTGAACTCTTGGACTCAAGCGATCCTCCTTGCCTTGGCCTCCTAAAGTGCTGGATTACAGGCATGAGCCACTGTGCCTGGCTGGAGCTTGTTAATACGATGCTGAGGACTTGGGAATCTGTGTTTTTTATTCTTGTGATATCTTTGGTTTTGATATCAGAAAAATGCTGCCTTCATATACTGAGTTGGGAAGTGTTCACTCCTTTTAATTTTCTGTGACAGGTTGTGCAGAAGTGGTATTATTTCCTCCTTAAAGGTTTGGTACAGTTGCCAGCGAAACTTTCTGGGTCAGAAGTTTTCTGTGTTGAGTTTTTAGTTAAAAACTCATTTTCTTGGCTAGATGCAGTGGCTCACATCCATAATCCCAGCACTTTGAGAGGCTGAGGTGGCTGCTTGAGCCCAGAAGTTTGAGACCAGTCTGAGCAACATAGCGAGTCCCCATCTCTGTAAACAATTTCAAAATTCGCTGTGTCTGGTGGTGCATGCCTGTAGTCCCAGCTCCTGGGGAGGAAGAGGTGGGAGGGTCTCTCGAGTCCAGGAGATTGAGGTTGCAAAGATCAATGATCACACCGCTGAACCCCAGCCTGGGCAACAGAATGAGACCCCATCTCAAACAAAACAAAACAAGAAAACTTCATTTTCTTTAATAGACAGGAACTATTCAGGTTATCTCTTTGCTATTGAATGACGTTTGGTAGTAATCTCTTCCAAGGAATTTGTCTATTTCATCTAAATTTTAGAGTTTATGCACATAAAGTAGTGATGGAAGGTATTGCACCGCTGAACCCCAGCCTGGGCAACAGAATGAGACCCCATCTGAAACAAAACAAAGCAAGAAAACTTCATTTCCTTTAATAGACAGGAACTATTCAGGTTATCTCTTTGCTACTGAATGACGTTTGGTAGTAATCTCTTCCAAGGAATTTGTCTATTTCATCTAAATTTTAGAGTTTTATGGACATAAAGTAGTGATGGAAGGTATTGCACCGCTGAACCCCAGCCTGGGCAACAGAATGAGACCCCATCTCAAACAAAACAAAGCAAGAAAACTTCATTTTCTTTAA
This sequence comes from Homo sapiens, assembly GCF_000001405.40. NCBI lineage: Eukaryota > Metazoa > Chordata > Mammalia > Primates > Hominidae > Homo > Homo sapiens. Next base: position 80,933,923 of record NC_000017.11, on the reverse strand, counting down.
TAGACAGGAACTATTCAGGTTATCTCTTTGCTATCAAATGACGCTGGGTAGTAATCTCTTCCAAGGAATTTGTCTATCTCGCCTAAATTGTAGAGTTTATAGGCATAAAGCAGTGACGGAAGGTATATTTCTGGGCTCTCAATTCAAATCCATTGACCTATATGTCTGCTCTTAAGCCAATGCCATGGTATCTTAATTAGTGCAGCTATGTAGTAAGTTTTGAAATCAGGAAGCGTGAGTTGTTCAGTATGTTTGTCTCTTACATTTTTCTTTTGTTATTCTGGGTCCCTTATATTGCCATACAAATTTTAGTATCAGCTTGTCAATTTTTGCAAAAAAGGCTGCCAGGGATGGTGCTGAATCTGTAGAGCTATTTGGGGAGTTCTGCCAACTTAATGTTAGTCTTCTGACCTATGAATGTGTGATTTCTTTCCCTTTATTTAAGTCTTCTTTAGTATCATTCAATAATGTTTCAGTACAAGTCTTACATTTCTTTTACTAGGTTTATTCTTAAGCATTTTATTATTTTTGCTATGATTATAAATGAAAGTGTTTTCTTGATTGCATTTTTAGGGTTTTCATTACTAGTGTAGGGGATTCTGATACAAATGGTTACTGGATATTGAGCTTGTGGGTACAATACTGCTGCATTGGTTTTTAAGTTCTGATACTCTATTAAAATGGATTTTGAATGATTTTCAATATTCAGGATCATGTCATCTGTGAACAGAGATGGCTTTATTCTTCTTTCCAATATGATATGTTTTATTTCTTTTGCTCGCCTAACTTCCCTGGCTATAATTTCCAGTTCAGTGTTGAAGACAAGTGGCAAGAGAGGATATGTTTGTCTTGTTACCTTCTTTTGGGAAAGATATTTTTGTGTGTACAGAATTCTAGGTTGACAGTTTCTTTCAGCACTTTAAAGATATTACTGGACTATCTCTGTCTTACACAGTTTCTAATGAGAAGTCTGTGGTGATTCTTGTCCTTGTTCCCCTGTAAGTAATGTGTCCTTTTGCTCCAGAGGTCTTCAAGGTTTTCTCTTTATCTTTGGTTTGTGGTGGCTTAGATATGTGTCCAGCTGTGTGTGTATATGTGTGTGTGCACGTGCATGTGTGTGTCTGTATATACCATGATTTGGGATCTTTGCTGGATCTGTGGTTAGATGTTGGACTGCTTTGTACTGTCCTGAAGCTCTCAGATGATCTGCAATCCTGTTTGTTTTTTTCCCACTCTTTGTAGTCTTTGTGCTTCATTTTGGGTACTTTCTATAGACCTGTCTTTAAATTCACTGATTTTTTTCCTTGGCTATTTGAGGTCACAGATAGGCCTCTGGGGGGCATTCACTTGACTCTTTCTTAGTGTCCAACTCTCTGCTGAAATCCCTCATCTGTTCATGTTTGTTGTCTACCTTTGCTGTCAATGCCTTTAGGTCATATTAATCTTGGTTATTTCCACTCCATCTCTGATAGTTCCAACATCTGGGTTGCCCTTGGGTCTTTCTCTGCTTTGTCTCTTGATGGCAGGCGTGTTTGTCTTATATTTTTGGGGGCATCTCATACTTTTCCTTTGTTCTTTTTAGTAGACATGAGGTCTTGCTGCGTTGCCAAGGCTAGTCTTGAACTCCTGGGCTCAAGTGATCCTCTTGTCTTGGCCTTCCAAAGTGCTGGGATAACAGGTGTGAGCCACCATGCCCAGCCTCTCCTAATTTCTGAATGAATTCCAGACTTCATGTGTAGAACAGCAGAGACTAAGGTGTATATATATATATATATATGCATGCCTGGAAATGGGTGTGCCTCTATTACTAGACTGTTAAAGAGTTCAGTCAATCTAGCGAGGCACTGAAATGGGCTTGGGTTTTACTGTTGCCATGGTGACACTCAGCATGTGGCCAGCTTCGGATTCCTCTCACACTACCTCATGCTTCAAGCAGGGCCTGGGTTTCGGGAGGGTTTTTGCCAGGGTTCCCACCCCACCCTCCCTTGGTTTTTGGCTTTCCTCGTGTGTCTGCACCTTGGGGGGCTTCTCTCTCTATGCTCCTGTGCCCCTGCTACAGCTCGACTGCTGTGCCTGCTGCCTGGAGCCTGCTAGCCTGTTGGAAGGGTCCGAAGGGCTCTCTGTTGCTCTAGCCCAGACTCTGACTGAGGCAGGGCCTGTGTCTCTGGGTCTCAGGGTGGAACCTTCTCAGTGACTCTGTCCTGCTCCCTGCAGTGTGCCACACGTGGCAGGTCCTCGCCCTGCTGGAGATGGAAGGTTTTCTTTTGCAGTTCTTCTGTGGCAGTGGGTCTTCGCCTGTGCTCTGGGGGCGACAGGGTTTGCTGTCTTTCATCAGGAGCTGCAGGTTATGTTCTGTGGGGAGCAGCACAGGAGAGCCTGCTGCGGGCCCACACCTCTGAGGGGCTCTTCTCGTGTCCCACCTCAATCTTCTGGGTGAGGGCCCAGTGGACGTCCATGGCCTGTGCAGCCTGTGGCTCCCAAAGGTTTGAGATTCTCCATTGGTCCAGGTTTAGCCTTGCGCAAACCACTGCCAATTTCAGGTGAGCATTTCTCCCTGCTGGCCCCTTCTGCTCTGCTGCAGGGAACTGGTGCTCATGGTCCGGCTCTCCTTGGAGGCACCTCTTCCCTTCCCTGCTGGGCAACTCACTTCCCCTGCCACCTCAGCTCTCTGATGAGTTCAGGAAAAGTCAGAATTTTATAGCTTTTCTGCCCTTTTCTTATTTCCAAGGTGGGAGTGGTGCTCTTTCCAGCTGTCTGCAGGCGGAGGTGGAACCAGGCTGCGGCTTTTACCAGAGCAATATTTCCCATACGCTTGAGGCCGAAGGAACTGCCCACAGGACCCTCTGCACGTGCAGCCAAGCAAAACCAGGATGAAACTCTCTAAGAATGCACGGTTAGAATAACCACGTATTTAATTTAAACAACACTGAATAATCACAGTGTTCTCTAAAACAAGCCTGTCTGACTTGGCTGATAAACCTGACCCCTGACTGTTTAACACTCAGCAGTAATTTACCAGACAGGCGCTGGCACTACAGCCAAGTGTGGAGAAAGGTGAGCAGAATGGCACTGCACGGTCCCTGCCCCAGCTGTGGGAGGAAGCTGTCCTGCTGCCTCGGAGACTGCGAGCACCAGAGTCCAGCTGGTGGTGGCTGAGTGGAAACAAAGTCAGAGAAGCTACGTCTCCCACTTCCACCCACCAAGTGTGTTCTTCACGCAGCTTCCATCCAAAACCAACGACTTATTCTATTCTGGTCTTCCTGGAGGGGAATCGACCTATCCATTTGCTTTCCTTCTGAACTTTCCAGGAAAGAACAGGAAGCACCCATTTTAGAAGCTGCAGCTGGGGTGGAGCCAGCTGTCCTCCTGAGGCGGGTGAAGCCCACAGCAGACTGAAGTGGATAAGCTGAAGATGAGCTGAGGATGAGCTGGGGATGAGCTGGGGATGAGCTGGGGATGAGCTGGGGATGAGCTGAGGATGAGCTGGGGATGAGGATGAGCTGAGGATGAGCTGGGGATGAGCTGAGAATGAGCTGAGCTGAGCTGGGGATGAGCTGAGGATGAGCTGGGGATGAGCTGAGGATGAGCTGAGGATGAGCTGAGCTGAGCTGGGGATGAGCTGAAGATGAGCTAAGGATGAGCAGGGGATGAGCTGAGGATGAGCTGGGGATGAGCTGAGCTGAGGATGAGCTGGGGATGAGCTGAGGATGAGCTGGGGATGAGCTGGGCATGAGCTGGGGATGAGCTGGGCATGAGCTGGGGATGAGCTGAGCTGGGGATGAGCTGAGGAGCAGCTGGGGATGAGTTGAGGATGAGCTGGGGATGAGTTGAGGATGCGCTGGGGATGAGCTGGGGATGAGGATGAGCTGAACTGAACTGAGGATGAGCTGGGGATGAGCCAGGGATGAGCTGAGGATGAGCCGAGGATGAGCCAAGGATGAACTGAGCTGAGGGTGGCACGAGGGGACTTCTCAGGCTCTGCCTGCTGCAGGTTTATATAAAGAATGTCACACAGAGTGTCATTCTCAGAGGAGAAAAACAAAACAAAACAGAAAAAGTCATTTTTGTGGGAGAATCTATGACAGGATGCTCAATGTTCACTGCATAGTGAGAAAAGCGGGACCGGAAGCCATGCAGGCAGGGCAACCCCAGTGCTGGGAGGGAACCCTGCGTGGGGACTATGGCCATCTCAAGTCGCTCCTTCACTGCCTGAGTTTCTAATGGTGCACTGAAACCCCAGCTGCACAGCCGCAGATCTGATGACGGGCAGTGCAGCTTCCGCATCCACCCTAGAGGAGCAGATGCTCTCAGGGCAAAACAAGATCCCCATGCTCTGCGGAGCCGCCAAACGGAAATCCCCACTGTAGCTTTAAGGGCTGTGTGAAATAAACTGGGTTCTGCGTGTGATGCCTCCCAACAGCGTATCGACTCTTAAAGCTTTTTATAATTAAAAATGGTATTTTAGTCTGTTTTAAATTGCAAAACTAATAACTGTTCTTTCTAAAAAATTCAAATCATCCAGAAGTAAATGATGAAAAAAAGAACAGTCCCCTTGCCTGGCTCCAACTCCACCTTCTAGAAGTCACTGTGTGGCCAGCCTGCTGTGTAACTGGCCAAGCCTCCTCCCGTGCTTGTTCCAGTCTACAGAAGCACAGAGCTCGTGCAAGCATTTTGTACAATTTGATTATTTTACCTTTTGGATCAAGGACATCCAACCAAGTCCTCATAGAAAGATACAACTTAAAGAATTTTAATGGTTGTATAGTATTCTAACCCATGGATCCATCATTTTAAATTAACTCTCCTACTAAGTGATTCTTTTCAACTTTTTCCCATTACAAATCATGTTATCATGAACATCTCCGGGCAGAACCCTTTCATGGACATGTATATTAGTGGTTTTTAAGAATATATGCCTCCTAGCAGGATTGCTGGCTTTGCAGGTATACCCTTTTCTAATCCTGACAGTTACTGCTTAATTGCCCTAAGCAAAGGGAGTACTGGACCCACCCACCAACAGTGTCTGAGAGTTCACATGCCCCTACAGCCTTGTAGGGATTGATTCTCTGGATAGAATCAATTTTTGAAACCTTCCAACTGAGAGAAGAAAAAAGTTGTATGACTTTTGTAATCAGAACACAATTCAATACATCTTTTTCTTTCTTAAGCACACGGCAGACCATTTTTAATATTCTTTTGTGGTTTCTAATGTAGACACGAGCTCCGTAAACCAACATGGGAAGAAAGGAGGTTGCTTCACCAATCAAAGGTGAGCCGCAGACAGAACACGGCTCTTTCTAGTCATACGGACCTGTACGAAATCTGACGGTGAACTAATAAAAACGTTAGCAGACGCTGTCCTTACCACGGTGTCCTTGGATGCTCATCCTGCTAATCGCTAGTTGCATGTCAGTGTAAACTGGTCATTATTTTGTGACCTGGTAACTGTTTTAGTTTCTTATATACCTTGAAGCAGTTTCGGGTTTGCAGTTCTTCTGTTCTTTTTTAGGTTCAATCCTAGCCTTAGAGCTATTTTTAGTTTACATGTGAAGCAGGCTAATAACAAGAAGTTCCTAATGCAGCTCGTTACACAAATGTCATTAGATGATGAATTAAATCAGTAAAAGAATACCTTTATGAATACCACCTAGAAAAAGTAGGAAAACAATTTTTTTTTTAAACAAGAGAAAACACGTCCTGCTTCCTCTTCTGAAGTTTGGAAAAGGTCTCTAATGTTAAAGACACTCCTAAGACTGCAGTTGCTATCAGGAGTTACAGACGACGCCGACCACAACACGGCGCTCTTTTCCATCATGACACCCAGAGCCTGTTGTTTCAACGACAACCAAGTGAGCATTTGTTTTCAAATACTTGGCAGGGGCAGAGGAAGACAATCATTTACTCATTCAGCAACCGTTTCCTGATCAACCTCCTGTGTGATGGCAGCTCCTACATGGATCCCCTTGGACTAATCTCCTCTGCAGTGTCCACACAGCAGGACCTGCTGGCAGGGCCAGACCACAAGGCTGACACCCTCCAGCTCCTCCGTGCGGGCGGGAATTCTCAGATGTGCAAATGGAGGAGATGAGGGCAGGCGGAGGAGGGGCTGCTAATCTGAAGAAAGGGAGAGGAGACGCTGGCTTGGGGCTTGCACACACCGGAACAAATAGACACACACACACAGACACACAGAAACACACAGACACACACACGAGATACACATACACACATACAGAGATACACACACACATCACACAGACAGACACAGGGATACACACACACACATAGAGACAGACAGACAGACAGACAGACAGACACACACACGGCCTTCCACATGCCTCTGGGGAACTTCCTCCTGCAATCAGCTGCTGTGTACTTAAAAATGCTTAGGAAAGGAAAGCAAATCCTTTGGGGAAAAGTCAAATTCATTTTTAAGTTTAAGAGCAATGAGTTTTGGATTATCTATGCCATTCCTCTTTCATCATAGGATAGATGACTGAGAATAGGCATTTTTCAAGGACTTCAAGAAAAGCCTCTCGTTATCACACCAAGAAATTACCAACATGTACAGCCACTGCCATCCCAGCAAGAGCGAAGACCAGACCATGTGGGTTTCTTAGTCGCCTGACCTTGTCTGCCTTAAGCACGAGACCGCATCAAGGACACCAAGCTTGTTAACATTAGACTAAATTCCATTGACTTTTCAACAGACTGGGCCGCAGTTCTAGAGGACGGCCTGGCACCCCTGGCACAGTGTCCAGCCACCTCCCAGCTCTGGCTCACTCAGAGTTTGGGTGGCTCCTGCTTCCTGCATCCAATTCCAGGATTTGTGTATGCTTTCCTTTCCTAACCAGAAGCCTCCTAGTGATGGGAAGGGGCACTTCCCTCTGTCTGCAGGGGCCGCCACCCTCATGCCACCCGCAGGTAAGCAGCGGTGAGCCCAGCAGGTGGGCCTGGTGAGGGGCTTCTGACTAGGACTGAATCCACCAGCCTCAATGATCTCCTGGGGTTTGTTTCTTTGATTCTTTTCCCCCGACTCTAAAGGTGCTTCGTGCTTAGTGTAGAAACTGCAGAAGAGGCACAAAAGAAGCCCAATTCAGTGCAGTCGTGGGTGGCGCCATTTGCGAATCTCTAGTTAGGAGCGGGCTCTGCTGGTCTCCGTCGTATGCACATCTGTGTCTGTATGAGAAGCACGGCTGTGATTGTTCTGTAAATCTGGCTTCTTGGTCTGCATTTTGCATTTTTTCTTTTTAAGGAATGTTGTCATGAGCGCTTCCTTAGGACACTATTTTTAATGTTTAACTTTTCAGTAGCTCCAATAATATCTCATCAAATATTTCATAACTTTTTAACTATTCACCCTCTGTGGACATTTAAGTGAATCTCAATTTTCGTTCTTAGAAACAACACGGAAGTCATCTACATCTCTGATTATTTTCTCAAGACAGTATTTTAGCAGATTCATGACTGGGTCAAAGGGAACGGCTATTTAAGGCGTTTGATGCTTCCCGGCAAGACGCTTTCTAGAACAGCCAGGCCACTGTCCACCCAGGTTCATGTGAGAAGAGGGAGGCGAACTCCTCTCTCTTTGCAGTAAAGGGGCTCCGTAGTTCAAGCTTCATGGCTTGCCTGCCTCAGGGGCTGCCTGATGGTTCTGTTTTTATGAACAGAAATCAGCATTCACTATGAAGACAGGACCACAGGGACTGAGCTGTCATGGGGTCCAAATACCATTCACAGAGATGACTAAGACGCAAGCTTGATATACAATCGAGAATAAGCTGAGAGTTTCAGCTTTCAATTATATATGAGGGAAGAGGCAGGTTTGCTCAGAATGCACTTTAGATTTATAGAAAATCTCCACGAGTCCCTGCTGGGCCCTGGCAGAGAGATGAGCACTGGGACTGTGCTGACAAAGCAGCTCCCGCCCCATTCCTCGAAGAGGCCGAGAGCCGCCGCCCTGCCCCAGCCTGCAGGAACACAGCCACTGCGTCCACAGCACACGGCGCTTGTTAGGGCTGTGTCAGGGTTGAGCCTCAGAGATGGTCTTGTGGTGTAACCCCAAATGCGCTAGGATTGGCTGCAGCAGGCTGCGTCTAACAGTCCCCAGACCTCGGAGCCACGCAAGCGTGGCCTTGGGATGGGCCTCGAGTGATCCTCACCATTAGGGAGTGGGAAGGCCTGTGGTGACCCTGTCAGTTAAGGCAAAGTGACACCTGTCACACTGGGAAGCTCCAGCGAGGCAGGTTTTCTCTTTTCGTTTGGCGACAGGAAGGTAAGTGAAGTTTGTTTCTTCTGCGGTTCTACCTCAACCGTGACCATCACTACCACGACCACAATGGGACGCTCCCACAGCCACAAGCCTTGAGCGTTTATGCTCAAAGAAGTGGGACAGACACATGTTCGCTAGGACTCTACTCTGAACCCCACACCCCGGGCGCACCTTCATGACGGGCTGGGCAAAATAGCGGGCGCTCCAGTCGCAGAACCCCGTCTGCACCGTGGCGGAGATGAAACTTTTGTGTCCAGCAGCATCGTCCGCGTCGTCCGCAGTCTTCAGGGTTTAAGCAGGAGGGTTGGAAGGAAAAAGAAACACCAGTCAGTCATGCCACTCCTGAGCTCAAAAGAGCTGCAGCTGGGGACAAAGGCGCTGCCGGGAGCACCGGGCTGCCCCTAAGGACGGCACTTCTGTGCTCTGCTCACTTCCGTATCCTGGTGACCAAGAACCCCTGAACGTCTGGCCAGGGATTGAGGGGCCCGGGCTGTGAAGTGTGAGCCACGTCGGTCCCACCATCCCCAGGGCCGACCCAGCACAGCTCCCAAGTCAATTCTAACTGACTGTTCAGACAATGCCACGTGCGTCCATGTGTGCTGGTTTATCAACCCCCAAAAAGCCTCTGCCGCTTGGTTCCAGGACAGCTCCTGTGATGGCCCCGTGACACCAGACTGAGAGCGGGGACTCCCATGTGAAGTGGCCTGGACGGAGCGCACAGCTTTGCAGGCCGGCTGGAGCTCCCAGCTACTGGAGAAAGAGGATGTGGAGCTGAGGAGGACTGAGCTTTGGGTGTTTCCTGTTGTGGAACCTGTGGCGGCCAGGGCTGTCAGAGTCTGTGTGTGCTTGTGGAGTGAGGCTGGGCACCAGGGGTCTCCTGTGCCACGCCATGTGGCCTGCTGGCGTCTCTCACGCTGTGTCTTGGCACAGGGAGCTCCCCATGATCTCAGGGCAGGTGCAGTGAGAGGTGCATCCCCCCCACCCCGGGGGGTCGGGTGGGTGAGCTGCACGTGCCGGTAGCATTGCTCCCCAGGGCCTGGCCAGGAGGCTGACCCTGCACTTGGGGCTCGGTGGTGATTCTCGCTCCTCCTCTGCCGAGACACGGAAAGTCCAGGTGGGCTGGGGCTGAGCAGCACCTGTGGGGACCTGTCCGCTCTTGCCGTGACAGCTCTTCTACCCCAACATGGCCGTTCCTGCTCCAGGGCATCCTGCAAGGCGGCCGCTAACTTCTTTTAAAATCACTGGATTACCAAGCGAGCCCCGGACCCCACTCATTGCTGAGATGATCATGCTGTCAGCACCCAGAGCAGCTGGGTGTGCTGGGTGCGCCCTGAACCACCTTCTTGAGCCCAGGTGCCCTCAACTGACAAAGTGGCAGCACCTGGACGAGACAGCCGAGGTCTCCGGACCAGCTGCCACCTCACACCACTCTCATAACCCTGGCAAAACAAAGCAGGCATTCCTCTCTCCAGAAATATCTTTTTCAACTTAGTTAAAGGCAAAGAGAGTGTACCTATTTATGCAGCGTACTTGGATGTTCACAGAAAAGACAACACATTCAGAACAAATGCTCTGCAGTGCAGCTGCCCCCAAGCGGACGCAGAGTGCTGTGTGCCCAGGAAGGGCAGAGCCAGGTAACTCCGTGCTCCTGTTTCGTTACATGGAAGCTGCCCAGAATGGTGAAACCAGAACCAGGGGCGGAGAACCGGGACACACCCAGCAGTGCTCCTAAAGAGTGCAGGCAGAGGGACCGGGACACACCCAGCAGTGCTCCTAAGGAGTGCAGGCAGAGGGGTGCACGAGTGAGGACCAGCACCCGGGTCTGCAAAGGCAGAGAGTGGCCCACAGACCCAGGACGGCAGGGTGGGTCCTGCCCCATCCCATGGTGATGTGAGCAGCCTGAGGCTGAGGCCATGAGCCCCCATCTGAGAAGCAACGCTCTCAGTGTCCAGATCACCAGGCAGCCGGGCTCCCGTACCTGCTCTGGGCCCTTGTCGAACATCTTCCGTGTCCGGGGGAACTGGTGGGAGTGAGGGGTGTACTGCGCCCCAGCGGGGCCTGTGGTGCCCGGCCGGCCAGAAGGCAAGTCTCGGCTGACCGGCTGCTTGGCCACATCGTTGGTCAGGCTGGAGCTGCTGGTGCTGGACGCCGGAGGGGAGCCCCTGCCATTGGAAGAAAAACAAACACTGCATCCTCTGCAGAGTCTGGGGCTTCGAGAGGGAACATGGAACAACTTCCTGGGCCACCTGCACCCTCCCAGGTGCCACCAGGGCCCGGGGTGTCCTCAGTCACCCAGCATGCCATCATGGCTCCCGAACCCCAGCTGCTGGTGCCGAGTCCATGCTGCTCGGTTGCCCGCCTGGCAGGGGGCAGGGTTGTCCCTCATTGAACTCCAGCACCCTGGGAGGTGGCGCGGACAGGACGAACCCAGCTCAGAGTCGAGTGGGCCGGGATGTGCGAGCTCAGCACACAGCAGTGCCACGTCCTGAGGTGCAAACACCTGTTGGTTACCCATTTGGAGATCTAGATCCCCTCTTACAAACTCTGAAAGGCCACAGAGACCAGGCTTCATTCAACTTTTGCTGAGATGATGTGCACATGAAGGGTTCCTCAAGATGGGGAGAGCTCAAGGCAGGGCTCAGATCAGGCGGGTACCGGGGTGTCCGGGAGGGAGAGGGAAAGAACGCCCGCTGGAGAGGGGGGAGGAGACGAAGCCAAGACAGGGCGGGGAAGGAGGAGGATGGGGAGGCCGGCTCAGGGACAGCTCAGCCCGTGGGGCCCCGGTCACCACCACGGACCTGCAGGCTGAGCGGGCGGCACTTACCCCGCCTGGTGGATGTGCACGCCCTTGTTGGTGGGGCTGGCGGGGGCCGACTGCGTGAGGGAGGAGGTGTCCAGGACGCGCTGCGGCCGGGCGTTCACGGTGGCCTAGGGGCAAAGGAATGGGGGTGTGAAGGTCAGACGGGACGTGCTCCGCGGAGGCCGCCACACGAAGCAGAGGCTGGCGTGGAGCCGCTTCAGAATCACAGAAAAGGCCTTTGGCCGAGGAAGCACCAACACCAATGGAAGGCCCCAGCTGGATCCCCCGCAAAGGCAATCCTGAAGCTCAAGTGGTATTCTTTACTCTTGGACATGCATCCACTGGGCTAGCCCTGGCGTGGCCGTGTGAGCCGGGATGTCTGGGGAGGAAGCTCTGCCTGAGGCTCCTGAGGGGTCAGGGCCTGAAGCCTCTGAGATGGATGACGGCCCACCCTCCTCACCTTCCCTGCCAGAGGGGCGGCTCCTGGCGGCCTCAGTGTCCTCCCCCTTGCCTGAGGCTGGGCCTCCACACTGTCCCAGCCTTGAGTCCAATTCTCCCCAACACCTCAGCTCTCGGGTCAGAGGCTGCGAGTTGAGGCCCGGGAAGAATCCACCAGCCATGCTCTTTCCGGAGCCGGGCGATGTGGCATTCACGGAGGGTCAGGGAGTGCTTCATCCACCCGGGACCTGGCCGGTGGGCACGGGGTGGAAAGCCACCAGCAGCCTGAGGCCTCCACGCAGGCCACTGTTTACACCCCCGTGTGCTTCAGGAGGCCACAGAAACTGTCAGAGAATGACTGCAGGGGGCTTGGGCTCTCTCCAGTGGCAAAATGGGCTCTGCTGCCTGGACTGTGACGGGGCCTGGAACTCAAGACCGCCCTTAACATCCTCCTGGCCGAGGGGCTGTGGTCATCCTTTCCCACGGGCGCACGCAGGTGGTGCTGGGTGCACTGCATGGACGGGGAACCTTCATCTCCAGGGCAGACATGGCTGAAACCTGCCCTGGGGAGGGGCGCACTGGCAGGGGAAGGGGATGGCTGCTCCCGGAGGGTGGGGAGCAGGGTGGTGCACAGCTGGCACAGCCTAGTGGGCAGCATGAGGCTCCAAACCACCCCTTCAACCCAGCCGTCTGTGGATGAAGCCAAGACCCTGGGCTCTGAGAGCCTCCTGCCACAGACACCTGCAGGGCTTGAAATTCTACCACAGAAAAAGATTTGTACCAGCTTGAGCCCTGGCATTCAGGAGGCAAGAGGTTTTGCTTTTATTTTTTAAAGCAGGGTTTTCTGTGGATCTGGAGACCAGCTGTCGGCGTTAGTGAGCAGCCGTGAGAAACCACGCAAGGCAGGGCGTGCGCTGCCCGGCCACCGACATGACCTCGCGAGGGCCCAGGTGCTTCGGGGTGGTTTTGTTCTGAGTACACTGCTCAGTGGGGGGAATGCGGGTCCCGCTGGGTTCTGGACTCCAGAGGCTGTGCGCGTTCAGAAGGGGCCTGATGGTGCTGGGGCAACCTCATCTGTGTCAGGAGGATGGGGCCAGCTGCTCCATGAAGGTGCCCACTGATCCCGCAGGCACAAGCCATTCCCTGAGCGCCGGCCCATCCCAGGCTGCGCTCCAGCCAGACAGAACCCTGTCCTTCAGGTCCGCATCCGCGTGGAGCCTGCAATGTCTCATGCTTTTAATTATTCACTTAGAATTTAGGAACCTTGAACCTGCAATTCAGCCAACAGAACACCAAGGAAAACAAAACGATCCTGAAGTCTTCACTCATGTAACACCCACGCTTCCCAGATTGTCCTTTCCTTCAAAACGCAAATAGCAAGAAAATGGAACCATAACTTGTCTTTAAGCAACGTTCCTATTTTTTAAATGACAAGAGTAATACATGTTCTTTCTGAGCTTGTTTTGTTTTGGTATTAAACTATTCGGCCAGCCCTAGACACATACAACCATCCCACAGAACCTGCCAGACATATGATCCCTTCAAAAGTCTAAAAAGAGAAAAGCAAGTTTTCGACTGTGAACTTTATATGTGCCTTCTCAAAATGTCTGGAAAAACAGTGGGAGGTGACGGGGAAGACAGAAAACTTCTGGAGTTGAAATGAAGCCTTTAGCAAAACCCACACATGCTCAGACGCTCACGGAGCACAAAGGCTCAGGCGCTGCTGGGCTGGGGCCGGTGACTCAGGAGCCCTGGGACGTCACGCTGAGCCGCCTGGGGTCTGTGCAGCTCCCGCCTTGCCACCCTGCACGGAAGCGCCCGTGGGAGTACCGCATGGAGCCGTGGTGACGAACCCTCTGCTCTGCCCACTCTTCCAGGCAGGGAACTGATCCGGGCCTCGGCATGAATTCTCGCAGCCCCTGGGGTTATAAGATGAGACCATCCTGCTTTCACATGGCTTGTACCTGGGGCTGCTGTCACAAAACTAATTTTCCACCACTTCTGGAAATCTCGTGAGACAGACACACACCTGGATCAGGAGCCCCCCCCACCCCCATTAGTGTAGTGACCACAGGGGGTTGGCCTGGAGGGAGCTTTCTTTAGCTGTGCACTTCTTATTTGTTCAACATTTACTCAGCGTTGATTGCGCTGGGTGTGGGGCCAAGATTGTGAACATGAGTAGCGTGTCCCTCAGAGGTGACCTGGCAGACCTGCCTGCCTGCGGTGTCGGTGTGAGGACAGGGTACGCAGCGAGCAGGAGCTGCAGAGCTGGCTGGGGCAGGGGCAAAGGCAGAGGACCAGGGAGAGTCCTTTCTGCTGGTCCCTGCCACCATCTTAGAGAGCGCAGCACCAGGAAGGGTGAACAGAGAGGGCACGGCAATGGCAGAGGCTGGGTTTGGAGATGCAAACTGGAGGGCTGAGTGCGGCCCGCACAGCCTCTGTGGGCCCAGGCCTGCCTGGAGGACACGGCGCCCTTCTCAGCATGTACACCCCCAGAGCCCCGGCTCACTCGCAGCCTGCAGAGGTCAAGGGTGTGCAAACATGCCCTCTAGGGAGGTCTGCGTCCAGAGAGGACGGCAGCTGTAAGAGGGTCAAGGTCCCGGCTACAAGACAGGGCCTTTCTTCCACTCCCCAAGCCAACCTTCGGTGGTGGCAGATACGACTTTGCTAACAGTCGAATGCTCAGCACAGACACTCTCTTGGGCCAGTGCGCACATGAACACGCCTGGAAGATGGAGGTGCAGGTGTCTTTTATCCACCCCCGACTGTTGCAGCTGCTGAAGCGGGGACTGGAATGAGACCCACCCTGTCTCCTGTTCCGGGAGCGCCACCTCACAAGGACACGGGGGCGTCTGATCCAATGCAGATGAAAATACCGTACATTTCAGAGACTTGGACAGTGAATTTTCCCACTGGATCTTGACACAGTCAGGGCTGCGGATGCCAGCGTCAGCTTCTGGCTGCTCTATCTTGGGAGGAAGTGGAGTATTTCAGAAATGTTCCTGTTAATTTTATATCGAGGATCTGGATTCATGTGTGAGAAACTCTTAAAAAGGGATTCCCAGAGGATTATCCAGAGGCACTTTTGGGCTAAGAATAGCGCAGAGGCCGCTGGCTGCTTGGTGGGGGAGAAGAAACCCCTGCAAAAGCGTGTGCTGCTATTTCTTCAAGTCATTTTCCTGCAAACTGCGTTTCCTAGATAAATCCTACGAACTCTTCTTTTGGAAAAGTAAGTCCTAGGTATTATTCCATTAAAGCAACGTGGTGACTCTTAACAAGATGCCCATTAGTTACAAAGGAAGCCTTAAGGAATTTCACTTGGGGCCACGGTGCCCTCAGTCCTAGGCGCTGCGGGAAGAGAACGCCGCGTCAGTGGAGGCCGAGGTGTCTCAGCCCACCAGCTCCTTCCCTCCTCAGACCCGGGTGTGTGGGAAGGCTCGGGAGGTTCTGGAGTTGCTGTGGCCCCTTTTCCACAGAGGATGGTGAGATGGCCAAGGAGCTGATGGCGACATAGACATGAGTGCTGATGATGCAGCTGGCTGTGTGGAGCCCTCTCTGCACCTGGGCGGCACAGGACACAGACACGAGTGCTGACGATGCAGCTTGCTGTATGGAGCCCCCGCTGCACCCAGGCAGCACAGGGACGGGGCTCTGCCTTTCTTACCACAGCCCTAGGGGGTGGGAGTCATACAATGATCCCAGTTTTAAGTTTTATAGAGGAGAAATGCAAGCTGAGAGGCATGAAGTCACTGGCTGAAAGCTAGCAGAACTAGAATGGGGCTCAGGGCAAAGCTGGTGCTTGTCCTTGCCTGAAGGAGCCCCAGGCTCCAAGAGCCAACCTAGTGCCTCATGGCTATGACCCCCGTGAGGGTGCTCATGGCTATGACCCCCGCGAGGGTGCTCATGGCTATGACCCCCGCGAGGGTGCTCGTGGCTATGACTCCGGCGAGGGTGCTCGTGGCTATGACTCCGGCGAGGGTGCTCGTGGCTATGACCCCCGCGAGGGTGCTCGTGGGGCAGCCGCTGCCTGCAGCTGCACAGTACTGTCTCACTGAGAACAGATTCCCGGCCGCCACCCCAGAGCCTGGAGTCTGCATCTCCGCAGGGGAACAGGGCATCTCTGTCTGGATGGGCGATCCAGGGGTGCCTCTGCTCTAGCTGGGCAGGGGCCCACGGGCCAGCATTGGGCAGCGTGGCTCTAAGGCAGGGCCACATCTGATTCTGTAGCTATGCTAGTCCAGGCTGATGCTGCCCTCGTTCCCCAGGTCTGCAGTGAGGGGAATGAGCATGTGCATGACAAGCTTTCAAGCCATAGGTGTGACATGTGTCCAGGCTGTTCATGTTCATTAGTGCTGCTGGCATGCCACATTCCTGGGGCGGCTCATCCCACTGTTCTGAGCATCCATCCTTGTGGTGGAGGTGCAGGAACTAAGACAGGTGAGGTGAACGCTTGCTGAGGATGCAGAGGGTGTGCACGCCCGTGGCTTGGTGGGAGAGGCAGTCAGACACTTCCACACAGCAGGCCACCGCTGAAACCAGGCAGGGGTGGGATGGGCAGCACGGCCTTCAGGGGCTGGACGTAGAGCTCACGATTCCCGGAGGGGCCCTGAGCTGGGAGAGAGTCCAATGGCTTCAGAGAGGTGCAGTTCTAGAGGGAGGGATCACGGTGGCAACAGAGAACTGTCTGTCTCAGTTAAGGAAATGCCATTTGACGAGGTTAAAAAGAAATCAGAATATCTATATGCAGATCGGCTGAGATCACTGGAAGAGAAATTTCAGAGAATTTCAGAGGTAAAGACAGTTTTAGCAGTGCAGAACTACTTTGGTCTAGAGGTTAATTGCAAACATGCTGAATTAAGAAATCCTTACGATTCAGGCAGCTTGAGAGAACAGAGGGTAGGGAGACACAGACCGGGCTCTCTGGGTTCTAAGAGAGGCTGTCAAGTAGGAGGAGAGAAAATTCTGGCATGACAATGTGATTTTAAAAGAAATGTATCCATGGCCGGGTGCAGTGGCTCACGCCTGTAATCCCAGCACTTTGGGAGGCCGAGACAGGTGGATCACTGGAGGTCGGGAGTTCAAGACCAGCCTGGCCAACAATGGTGAAACCCCGTCTCTACTAAAAATACAAAAATTAGCTGGGCATGGTAGCGCGTGCCTGTAATCCCAGCTACATGGGAAGCCGAGGCAGCAGAATTGCTTGAACCTGGGAGATGGAGGTTGCAGTGAGCTGAGATCGCGCCACTGCACTCCAGCCTGGGCGACATAGTGAGACTCAGTCTCAAAAAAAAAAAAAATGAAACCTATCCATAAGTAACTCATGCTACGAAAGCATGAAGCCAGGCATCAGGCTTAGGATGTTTGGTGCTTTGGAATATGCTTTCCTGGATATCTCAATCTTTATTTTCATTCTCTTTTACTTTTTTCAGATAAGAGTCTCGCTCTGTTGCCAGGCTGGAGTGCAGTGGTGTGATCTTGGCTCACCGCAATCTCCGTCTCCTGGGTTCGAGCAATTCTTGTGCCTCAGCTTCCTGAGTAGCTGGGACTACAAGAGTGCATCACCACACCTAGCTAATTTTTGTATTTTTAGTAGAGACTCTTAGCCAGGCTGGTCTGGAACTCCTGGCCTCAAGTGATCCGCCCGCCTTGGCCTCCCAAAGTGCTGGGATTACAGGTGTGAGCCATCGCACTCGGCCAATGTTTATTTACTTTATCAGTAACTTAGGTCTTCATTTTATAAGTAAATCAAAATGTCATGGGATCCTTGGGGTATTGCTTTGCCAGCCAGAAACCTCTGTGGCTGGTGACGCCTTTGCCCGAGTTTTTACTTGGACCCACTGGGCTTGTTATGCCCATTCAGCCTGGCAGGCTGCGCTTGGCTCACACTGCTGGCCCGCATCTCACACCTGCCAAAGGCAAGCCAGGCGCAGAGTGGTGAGGGGTGTGAGAGTGAATGTGGGGTCCAGCCACTGTGCGCAGCCATGCATGCTGGCTGCAGGGGGGTGGGCAGCTCTAGGCACTGGCATGGGTGCCTGCTCCCTGCAAGGCTGTGGCTGGGCCAGGTGTACTACAAGCAGCTTCAACATCTGGCACTGGGGAACGTGGTGGCACCTGGAAGCTTGGAGACGCCAGGAACTGCAGAGCCCCAGAGATGGCATCACAGCCCTATCTCAGGGAGCTCCTAGGTCTGGGTTCCCTGAAGGGCTGCAGCTCTTCTCTCCTTTTCTCTTCTCTCCTTCTTGTCATCTGCAAAGTGGCAAGCAAGGGGCATGTTTCAGCCCTGTTTGTGTTAGAGCTCTTGTAGCCCTGACATTTGGTGGGTCCCAAGTTCTTGTCCTGCATCCAGGAAGAATGAGGTACACGGACAAGTGGAGGTTAAGCAAGCTGAAGAGGAGCTTTACTGAGCAACAGAATAGCTCAGAGGAGACCCACAGTTGGTAGCTCCTCTCCGGAGGCAGACTGTCCTGATAAGTGTTCTGCTCTCAGCAGAAAAGAGACCCTGGAGTGGTTAACTCCTCTCTGCAGCTGGTTTTCCCGACGTCTGCTCAGCTCTCAGCAGAGAGGAGACCCTGGAGTGGGTAACTCCTCTCCGCAGCTGGTTTTCCCGACGTCTGCTCAGCTCTCAGCAGAGAGGAGACCCTGGAGTGGGTAGCTCCTCTCCGCAGCTGGTTTTCCCGACGTCTGCTCAGCTCTCAGCAGAGAGGAGACCCTGGAGTGGGTAGCTCCTCTCTGCAGCTGGTTTTCCCGATGTCTGCTCAGCTCTCAGCAGAGAGGAGACCCAGGAGTGGGTAGCTCCTCTCCGCAGCTGGTTTTCCCGACGTCTGCTCAGCTCTCAGCAGAGAGGAGACCCTGGAGTGGGTAGCTCCTCTCCGCAGCTGGTTTTCCCGACGTCTGCTCAGCTCTCAGCAGAGAGGAGACCCTGGAGTGGTTAACTCCTCTCTGCAGCTGGTTTTCCCGACGTCTGCTCAGCTCTCAGCAGAGAGGAGACCCTGGAGTGGTTAACTCCTCTCTGCAGCTGGTTTTCCCGACGTCTGCTCAGCTCTCAGCAGAGAGGAGACCCTGGAGTGGTTAACTCCTCTCTGCAGCTGGTTTTCCTGACGTCTGCTCAGCTCTCAGCAGAGAGGAGACCCTGGAGTGGGTAACTCCTCTCCGCAGCTGGTTTTCCCGACGTCTGCTCAGCTCTCAGCAGAGGAGACCCTGGAGTGTGCAGCTCCTCTCTGCAGCTGGTTTTCCCGACGTCTGCTCAGTTCTCAGCAGAGAGGAGACCCTGGAGTGTGCAGCTCCTCTCTGCAGCTGGTTTTCCCAACGTCTGCTCAGCTCTCAGCAGAGAGGAGACCCCGGCATGGGTAGCTCCTTTCTGAAGGCAGGTTATGCCATCGTTTCCTTGAGTCTGGCTGAGTCCAGGGTTTTTATGGGCTTCAAAGGGGAGGAAGTATGTGCTGACTGATTCATGGGCAGCCATGGGCAGGCTTGGAAAAAGCACTAAAAGTTCCCATTCTGGTCCATCAGCCCAGCCCCCAGGCTTCAGGCTGTCCCTGGCTTGAAGGTGGCACTTCACTGGGGACCTGCCCCTTTCTGCCCAGGACCCTGTCTGCCTCCTGCCATCATCCATAACACCCAGGCTGATTGTGCCGAGGGGCACCTGCAGGCCAGTGCCAAACTGCCCTCAGTCCCCACCCTCAGCCTCCCTCCCATGCTCGTTGGTGCCCAAAGTCCAGAGGGGGCTGACATAGCAGGTGGTTGGCATGTGAGCACTGCCCCGAGCGTGTGCACAGCCGGCTGGTTGCAACAGCACCTGGGTACAGCCTCAACTTTGCTCCGAGATTGAAGTGGGTGCCAGGAGCAGGGAGAGGCCAGGGAGCGGGAGCAGACGCTTCCAAGCCTGCAGGGGTAGGGGCACTTCCTGGGCCCCTGAGAGCACAGAGGAGCCATGCCGGGTGGCTGCAGCTGCACCTGGGAGGGTGGAGCTCCTGCCCGCTCCTGGTCCCCAAGAGCAGAGATGGCTGGGTCTGGAGCCACGGCTGGGTGGCTGCAGCTGTGCCTGGGAGGGTGGGGTTCCTGCCTGCTCCCGGCCCCCAAGAGCACAGAGATGCCTGGATCCAGAGTTGTGGCTGGGTGGCTGTAGCTGCACCTGGGGAGCATGAGGCTCCCACCCTGCCAGTTTGGAAGGGGGTGGGATTCCACCGGTCCCTGCCTCCTGCCAGCTTTGTGGAGCACACGGCCCTGGCCACACCTCCCCAGCTGTAGCTGGCATCATGGCAGTGGCCGCTCCCAGACTGGCTGCCACTGCCATCAATTTGACCTTTCGTTAAGTACACCCCTTTCTCATCTCCGTCTGCATGCATGAGTCCTGCAACAGAGGCAGCGGCCAGCGCACATGCACACACACTCTTCACAGTATCAAGAGGCTGCAGCGGTGCTTCTAGGTGAGTTTGTGCATTTATGCTCACACGTTTTCTCATAAATTATAATATAAGCAGTGATCATGAGAACATGTGCCCTGACAGGTGACCACCTGTGGCTTGAAGGTTCTTTCTTGGCATTGTCCTAAAACCACTGAGGTGAGAACTGCTGGGGCCACAGGCAGGCTCCTGAGGGGCATCAGTCTCTTCTTTCTACTTCTACATAGTCTGAAATTTTCCTTAAAAAAACCTAAAAGCAGGCCAGGTGCAGTGGCTCATGCCTGTAATCCTGGCATTTTGGGAGGGAAATGTGGGTGAATCACTTGAGCCTAGGAGTTTGAGACCAGCCTGGGCAACATGGTGAAACCCCATCTCTACAAAAAATACGAAAATTAGCTAGGCATGGTGGTGCGCCCCTGTAGTCCCAGCTACTTGGGAGGCTGAGGTGGGAGGATCGCTTGAGCCCAGGAGGTCGAGGCTGCAGTGAGCCGTGACTGGATCACTGAACTCCAGCCTGGGTGATAGAGTGAGACCCTGTCTCAAAACAAAACAAACAAACAACACCCCCAAAACTAAACCAAGAGAAAAGGGAGCTAAAAGCAAAATGAAAACCCCAAGCCCATGGAATGGGAATCGAAATATATTATAAATACATGAAATCAGACCACAGCTCTGGAGCTGTGTGGGTTCTCTCATACAGAGCTGGTGGCAATTTCTGTATTTGAATATAGAATTCTACAGGGCATTCCATAGTAATAAGGCTGTTTTAGACTCTGATGAACAAAAATTTGGCTTCAGAGTTAAATATCTAAAATAGGCTCGTTTCTCTGTAAAATGAAATGTAATCCCTTCAGTTCCTAGAGCAGGAAAATAAGGCATTTCTTGAAATTAAAATGAAGACAAGAAAGATTTATGCTTCCAAATGCTTTAGTAGCAATGTTTACTCTTAAACCCACACACATATACACTCAGACACACACACACGCGTGCACACACACGCACACAGACACACACACACAAGCTCATGCTGCATTGTGCTATGCATAGCAAGGTCTCTAGCAGAGGCCTTCTCTTGACCTTCTCCACCCCTCTGGCTGTGGCATGTCTGCTGGAGTGATGGCCATGTGCCTTAAGGTCTCTGTGTCATTCTAGAACGGCAAAGCAGGCACAGAAGGCAAATGCCACTTTTATGGCGGTTTCTGGGTCTCAATCGGATAGCACGACAAAGCCGTGTGTTCGAGTTGCTATAACCTGCTAACATGAAAGGCAGACGCAGGTGCTTAACTGCCTTACCGTGGTGGGAGAGGGGGGCGGGCCGTCCAGCTACACTACATGTCACACACAATCCAAAAGGGCGCTGGGCTGTGGAGGCTGTGCTGGGACGTTTGCTGAAGAGCAGAGAGCAGTGGCTTCTGTGCTACACAGGCTCGAGAGCTTCCCAAGAGGAGCTATTTAACAACTGGAGGCCAGGTCCACAGGAACGCACTTAATAGTCCTTATATTTCAAGATTAGGCACTCGGATTACAGTTTAAAATAATTCAGGCTAATTTTTCAGTAAGGTTAAATACACAAAAGCCACTGAAAAATAAACTTAAATAGGCTGAATACTGATTTCATCATGATCAAAATACCCAAGAAGCTAAATTAATTGGGGGAAAACGATCAAACCTCCTAAATAGCGCTGGCCTCCAACTGTGCAGTCAGGACAGAGCAAGGGTGGTCCATGGCCACAGCCATCCTGTGCCTCCAAGAGAAAAGAAGAGGCCACCAGACACTCCTGTGTGTCAGAGAACTGCCAGCAGAGACGCGAACTGGCCATCAATTCTAAAAACTTAAACCATTTATTAATGTTCGTAAAAAGCTTTTACAACTATTTTAGTGAAAACGGCTATTTAAAACCCAACCTTGAAATCTTAAACTAAAAGTGGTAGAGGCTATTTAGAGTCTAAAAGGGCAGTGGTAAGTGGTAAGAACTGATTTTCCCTAATCCGTAGCAGGCAGATGTGACGGTTTCAGTCCCAATCCTCCAGAGCGTCAGCTCATCTGAGAGGCCTCGGGACCGGTTGCTCTGGTCTGGGGCCTCCGTGGGTGGTTTCCTCAGGGGTGTTTGTGCAGTCTTATGACTTTCTTTTCTTCCTTATTTCCTTCCTGTCTGCTTTACTGCCTCCCCTTCTTGGTCTCAGACCATAATGTGTAACAAACATATATTTTTAAACATTATTTTAAAAGACACGGTCTCACTCTGCCGCCCAGGATGAAGTGCAGTGGCACAATCATAGCTCACTGCAGCCTTGAGCTCCTGGGCTCAAGGGATCTTCCAGCCTCATCCTCCTGGGTAGCTGCGACCACAAGTGCTTGCCACCGTGCCCGGCTAACTTGCTACTATTTTGTAGAGACGGGGTTTCACTATGTTTCCCAGGCTGGTCTCAAAACACCTGGGCTCAAGTGATCGTCTCTCGCCTTGGCCTCCCAAAGTGCTGGGATTACAGGTGTGAGCCACCACACCCAGCCTGAGGTTTATTTTTGTATTTATCTTATTCCTAGTTTAAAAGCAAATAATTATATTATTTCTTAGTTTTCTTACCGCATAATGAAAACATTAACTTAATTGACTGGCTATTTTCAACAGGCCAGTAGCACATAAAAGAAACCTGAGGAGATGGCCTGCTGCCTGGGGATGAACGTCTCCAGGTGCCCGTGCAGCTGGCCACACCACACGGTGACGAAGGAGGTGGCAGAATCCGCTGCAGGGATGCGGTGACGAAGGAAGTGGCAGAGTCCGCTGCAGGAGGGGAGGCCGGTGCAGAATTAAACAATCTGGACCTTTCCAAGTTGGCCAATAGGCTACTTGTGACTATACCGGTGATACCATAAAGAACAGGCCAGGCGCAGTGGCTCACGCCTGTAATCCCAGCACTTTGGGAGGCCGAGGCAGGCGGATCACGAGGTCAAGAGACCGAGACCATCCTGGCCAACACGGTGAAACCCCTCGTCTCTCCTAAAAATACAAAAATTAGCCGGGTGTGGTGGCTCACGCCTGTAGTCCCAGCTACTTGGGAGGCTGAGGCAGCAGAACTGCTTGAACCTGGGAGGCGGAGGCTGCAGTGAGCTGAGATTGTGCCACTGCACTCCAGCCTGGCAACAGAGCAAGAGAAAAAAAAAAAAAAAGAACTGAAGAAGAACCAACTGCAGACGGTAAGGTGATTTCCATCTAAGATATAACTAGACCAACAGAAAATAACTTAGTTGAAGGA
The DNA here is from genome assembly GCF_000001405.40 of Homo sapiens. Lineage (NCBI taxonomy): Eukaryota > Metazoa > Chordata > Mammalia > Primates > Hominidae > Homo > Homo sapiens. The sequence goes on along the minus strand of NC_000017.11, from coordinate 80,910,756 downwards.
ACCGAAAGCCACAGAAGTATAATATCAGCAAAAGGAGCTGAGGAGCTGCAGGAACCCTGGCTCGATGGCCGGCCAGGACCCAGAAGGCCACAGCAAATGAGAGGGGGAGACTCGATAGCTCATTTGGAAAAAGCGATGGACTAGGATGGGAAGCCGTGGCTCCTCGACCCTGCAGACCCTGGCACTGAGTGATACCCGAGGCAACGCCATAGCCGTGACGAGGTCAGATGAAGACGTAGAACACCACAGAGGCTGCAAGAGTGTGGCCTTTCCCTGCATTCTTCCTGCAACATTTCTGTAAGCTTTTGAAGTTTTATCAAAAAGTTACCAAAAAATTTTTAAGTGCTATAATGAGTGACTTCTAATTCCACATAAATCATCCAACTTCCATAAGCAACTAGAAAACCAGGACAAATACCGTAAACAATTGTTTTTGGACACTGGGTGCTGGGTGTCACGGGCTTGTGATCCCTGAGAGAACGGAAATAAACAGCTGCCCTGTGTCCGGCTTGCAGGTAGTTTCAGGCAGTCCCAGGCCACAGTGCAGAGACGGGGAGCCCAGCACTTTCAGGGAACAGGAGACAGAGACTGGGGCTCCAGGGAGGCTGAGGTGGTGACAATTTGCAGGACAGAGCACTGGAGAGGGGAAAGCTTCCAAGGTCTGCAGGAGAGGCCCCTGGGGTCTTTGACTAAGTATTCATCTGCTCAAGGGTAGAGTGACAACCCATGAGGCAGAGAAAAAACAGCGGGAAGGCGGTAGGCCAAATGCCCAGAGCTCACAAAAGGGACTGAGAAGAGTTTACAGTCCCCAAAGAGAAAGGACTAAAATCAATGACCTCTGCTTCTACCTTAAGAAACTAGGATGAGAAGAGCAAATTAAACTCAAAGTAAGCAGAAGAAAGCAAGCTTTATTGATGAAAGCTCAATCAATCAAATGGAAAATGGACAAACAACAGAGAAAAACCAATGAAACCAAAAACTGATTCTTTGAAAAGTTCCCTTGAGCTAGAATGGCCATGAATAAGAAACCATTAACTAGAAGGGTTTTGAATGAGTCAAAAATTACTGCTATCAGAAAGGGAAGAAAAGTCTGGGTGTGGTGGCTCATGCCTGTAATCCCAGCACTTCAGGAGGCCAAGGCAGGAGGATCACTTGAACTGAGGAGTTAGAGACCAGCTTGGGCGACACACTGAGACTCTGTCTCTACAAAAAATTTAAAAATTAGCCGGGTGTGGTGGTGTGCACCTGTAGTCCCAGCTACTTCCAAGGCTGAGGTGGGAGGATTGCTTGAGCCCAGGAGTTGGAGGCTACAGTGAGCCGTGATCAGGTCACTGCATTCTAGTCTGGACAGAGTGAGACTGTCTTACAAAAACAAAAAACAGGTGCAGTGGCTCACGCTTGTAATCCCAGCACTTTGGGAGGCTGAGGCAGGAGGATCCCTTGAGCCCAGGAGTTCAAGACCAGCCTGGGCAACACAGGGAGACCCCATCTCTTATAAATAATTAAGTAAAGAAAGAAAAAAAAAATGGAAGAAGGGCCAGCACTGTAGCTCACCCAGACACCAGAGGATCCTGAAAGATAATGTCAGTCCTCCCCTAATTGCCTTGACAGGCATCAGTAAATCCAGCACCCTCTGCCCACGTGGGAGCTGCACAGACACAGTTTGGGGTGTACTGTGTACATCTCCAGATTTAAGATATTTGCTGAAGCTCGTTTTGTTACTTTCTAAACTGTGGTGTGGACCCGGGCACACCTGGAGTTCCTGGCATGCATACTCGTAACCGAGAACCAGCAGCTGGAGCGCGGTGGGGAGCGCCCGGCACGTACCTTGTAGGCGATGCTGTTGAGTACTTTCATGGCCACGTCCGAGACCTCTGGATAGGGGTCAGCAGCCAGGTGCAGCAGGACTCTCCAAATCTGAGTGTAAACACTGTTAAAGGAAACTCCTGAGAGAGAGAAATGGAAGATGTTTTAGTGGAAAGTAGCTGCCAATGAGGCTCCTAAGGCGGCTGCATTTTCTGAAACCCTAACCCTGGTATCAGAAGTGTTGCTTTAAAGAGCCGAGGTTACAGGAAGCCCCCATTTTGTTATTCTGGCAACGGGTCCCGAGATTCAAGAATCCTAGCTGATCACTAGGCTTGATCACATGGATTCATCTACTGAGGCCAAATCTTTCTAAAAGGAAAACTGCGTTGGAAAGGGTGTAACTTTCCTTGAAATGCCTCAGCGGATCGGAGGGCATGACCACACTCCCGGAGGAGCGTCTGATGTCACATCCTAGATTTCTAGGAGCTGCCGCAGCCCATGGGTAGTGGTGCATGTGGCATGGACGTCTGCACTGCACCAAGTTCAGCACGTGCTGCTGTGCACTGTGACCCAGGGAGTGCTTCCTGCCCACCTCCACGTGCTTCCTGTCCACCTCCAGGCACTGGCCCTGCTCTGAGATGCTAGGACTTCACGAAAGGTTGATGTGCTGTGACTTTTGTCCCTAAGCCTCTCCCGACTCACCCAACACTCAATGCAAGGTTCTGTGCTGCATACTCGGATACAAAGACAGACAAGGCAGGACCCAGCAGGGACTCAGACTCATTTATAAATAACACTGGTGAGTCGTGGGCATGGAGGGAAGCGCTGAGGCTTCGTCGGTGAGGATTCGTCGGTGCGGCTGCTCGGTCCTATTTAATTCCCCAGCAATCCTACAGGCAGGTGTTACCCCCAGCGTCGCCAAGGAAGGTGAGGCCCAGAGGATGAAGGATGTGAACGCACACCCATCAAACCTTTGAGCCATGCTACGTCCACGACAGCGTGCGGCCTCAGGGAGATGCAGGAAGGAGCGAGAGTGACTCCTTCTGTCAGCAGTGGGCTAGGAAGTGAAGGCCAGGAAGGCCTGGTGGAAGAGGCACGAAGGAGCTGGGCTTTGAAGGGAAGGAGGATCATTCTCTGGGCAAAGGAGGGGTGGAGCGAGAGGGGGTAGCACAAACAAGATCTAAGACATTGAACAATAAAACACGGAGGTGATGGGGACGCGGAGCCTTGGGGGATACCTGACGGAAGCCTGCAGGAGCCAATCAGAGATTGTGGGGTGGAGGCTGTGAGCACTTGGAAACCAGAAGGGGGGGCAGGCACGGGCTATGTGGGCTCCTGGCACAGTCAGCATTGGCTGAGGCCAGGGAGGAGGCTGATGGAGCAGGCATTGCCGAACTGTTGTCCACGCCACGCTGGACCCAGAGAGGCCGAGAAGGGAAGCAGCAATCCTGGTAGAGGCTGCATGTCCAGCAAGGGCTGGGCCGAGGACCAGAGGCGCTGAGCGTGGAGGGCAGAGCGGGGCCAGGCGCTGCCTCCCCTGCCTGCGGGCACCAGGAGTGCCAGTTTACTGCCAGGCTTCAACCCAGAGGCGGAGGCAGACAGGGCCCTGCCCTCAGTGCTGGGAGCTGAAAAGGGATCCAGCCACACAGAACTCCATCTTCTTTATTTTTGGGGAAGCTAGACAATTTGCTGAGAAGCAAGTGCTTGTTCACTAAATAGAGATTCAAAGGGTTTCGAGTGAGGTGTGATTCCAGTCCACCTGATTGTTGGTGAAAGAGCTGAAGCATCGAAAGCCAGTGGAGGGCCTCGTGTCACTGCAGGAACACAGCTGCGCACGTGGAGTGGGTTTTGCACGACACAGTCAAGTCCACGGAGATGGAGGCGGGTGCGAAAGTCAATGTGTGCGTGGGTTCTGCAGATGCCTGAGGCCACTGGCTCACCTCCACCTATGGTCTCCGCTAAGCGAGCCCAAGACGGGCTCTACTTCAGCTCCAGATATGGCGGGCCAGTGTCTACCCCTGCTGTGCGCGCCCCCACCGTGAGTGCAGAGGTCAGGGAAGCCCCATGCCCGTGGCTCCTGAAGAGGCCCCCATGAGGAATGCGTGTTGCAGTGAGTGATTGTCTCCAGGACTGAGCCGTGTGGAATTGAGCTCAGCTGCCATCTAGGAGGTCACGCTGCCATCTAGGAGGTCACGCTGCCATCTAGGAGGTCACGCTCTGCTGCTGTGCTGCCTGTGCTGGCGTGAATCATGAGAGGCTGGGACCTTTTCTGGGAGCTGACATGTCTCACCTCACAGGGCGAGTTTACAGCCTTCAACCAAAGGAAGCATTCTTCCCAGGGACACGTCCCCTGCGGGTCTTGCCCATACACATGTGTGCCTGGCCGGCGGTCCCTGTGCTTGAGCCTTGTGCCCAGGAGGAGGCAGTGGGAACGTCTTGGGAGCCTAGGGCCCAAGCACACCTGGACTTCAGCGCCACGGTGCCACGCAGATGCACCTTCTGCTCAACCGTGGTCCTGCACCGCGTGTACTGGGACAGAACCGAAGCCTTCCAGCTCTCAGATTGCACAGCTCTGCGATAGCCGTGTAGATCCACAAGCAAGTCTCGGAAATGTAAAATCGGTCCAGACTGTAGGAACATCCCTAGAGTCTCCTCTACCCCAGCGGAGCCGGCTCCTAGGAACTGCTCCGTGCAACACAAGGACATCGGCGATGGCTGCGTCCTCATTTTTTTTTTTTAGAGTGGGTGGGTGGGCTAGGAGATTTGGCTTTGAATTCCCTCCCGCGACAGGCCCTGGTGAGGAGGAGATGCGGCCTCACTGGCGAAGTTCGCTACCGCCTAGCTCCACGACACTCTCTAACATGGGTGACAGGATGGCCCCGTAAGATGCCCGTTGATGACTGCCCACCTGAGACCCACTCCCCTTGATTATTCTGGGGTCCTGGGCTCCCCACAGCTGAGTGAGGCATTGAAGCAGCTCCCCACGAGGCTCGACTGCCCCGTGAAGGGGCTGTGAGGGGCAGCTGGCCTTATATGAGAACCCTCCTCACAAGACCCGGGGGTGAGGACCAGGCCACTGTGAAGAATAGGGCACTGGGCAAGCCCGGAACCCAGGGCAGGCACGGCAGGAGGCCCCCCACTCCCGGCGGCCCTGGCAGACTGCGAGGAGGGTGCAGGCTGGTGGCTGCTCAAGCCTCACCCACAATGTGGGGGCCACAGACGCGGACACCCGGGGTCTAGGTCAGGGCTCCACAGGACACTCCAGGTAAGGACCCTGGCAATGTGCAGGGCGGGGTGGGGGTGTGTGTGAGATGTATTAGCTGCTACTTTCATCTAACTTTTTTTTTTTTTTTTTGAGACAGAGTCTCGCTCTGTCGCCCAGGCTGGAGTGCAGCAGCGCGATCCCGGCTCACTGCAAGCTCTGCCTCCTGGGTTCATGCCATTCTCCTGCCTTAGCCTCCTGAGGAGCTGGGACTACAGGTGCCCACCACCACGCCCAGCTAATTTTTTTTTTTTTTTTTGTATTTTTAGTAGAGACGGGTTTCACCGTGTTAGGCAGGATGGTCTTGATCTCCTGACCTCGTGATCCACCTGCCTTGGCCTCCCAAAGTGCTGGGATTACCGGCATGCGCCACTGCGCCTGGCCACTTTCATCTAATTTTTAAAAACAGATTTTTATTACAGTTGGCCCTCTACATCCATGGATTCAACCAACCGCAGATCGAAAATATTTGAAAACAAAACAAAAAGTAATACACATAAAAAAAAAAACAAGAGAGCATAACCACTGTTGACACACTGTGCTGGGTTTGGCATTATAAGGAAACTAGAGAAGATGCAAGCACGATGGGGGATGTGTGTGGGGGATGCACAGCTGTCACGCCTTTCCTAGCAGGACTGAGCGTCGTGGGCCCTGGGCCCTTGAGTCCCCCACGCGTACCGAGGGCCAACGCTATTGTTGTCGACCTTCGTGCAGACTTCCACTTATATCAAAGTCGAAATACTGTTTGCGACTCAACAGGGGAAAAAAAAATCTAATTTTTGCCAGTCTTTTTAGTGACAGTGGATTTTATAACTATGTACTAGTAAAAAGTATGACGCTGTGATCACGGAACTGCTGTCTTTATTTCACGTCTTTCCCTGGTTTGGCCACAATCTTCTCTCAGGCTCCGTTGTATGAACTGTCCTGTTGTAAAATCTGCCAGTCCCCAAAACAGACCGCAGAGAACTTCCCATCGGATTCGAGTCCACCAGGAAGGAGGTGGGGCTGCCTGGGTCCTGCCCGGCAGGGAGTCAGGGACCGGGGATGTTGAGCTTAGAAAGGGCCCCTGCTGGCACTCACAGAACTCCCTGTAAGCACGGAGAACCTATTTTCATGTCTAGACTAAAAGTAATAAAAGATCATAATGAATGGTTTTAGAAGTTATTGTTCAGAGCCCAATGGCCACAGCTTTCCAAATAGCATACACGGCGGGGAAATTTACTCAGAGCTCTGGCTGACTCTGAATCCCAGAAGCTCCCCGGCTGTCGGAGCAGTTCAGAGAAGACAGAGTCTTCCTGCAGGTGACAGCTGCCAGCCGCCACCCCAAGGCTGAGGGGTTGGCAGAGCGGGTTACGCCCTCTGATGTGCTCACCCAGTCTGTGATGGCCAAGACCCTCTGCCATCCTGGGGAACCAGTGCCCCAGGCCGAGGGCTTCCGCAGCGGCCCCTTTCCTGTGACCCCTCCTGACCCCTCAGGGGCTGCACCCACAACTCGGTGTGGCTGTTACGAGAATCACGCTGACCAGCCGCTCCGCCCTCCCTCCTCCTGGGCCGGCCGGAGCCGTGGGCCCTGCAGCTGCCCACAGGGAAGACGCAGCACCTCCCGGGCCGGGTGGGCGGTGCGTCTGCATCGTTTTCTCAGCATATTCAGTACCCCTACGAGACAAACATCATAATGGCCTTTAGTTAAGGACTTTTGTCCTAAAAACATAATCCTGTAGCATTGGAAAACTGTTGTTCATTTTCTCACCACCGTCTTCTGACAAGAGTAACTCCAGTTTCTGGGTTGTGAAGCCTTTTCCTTCCAAACCTACACAGTTCCTTTGGCAAAAACCCTGCCTAGCTTTTCTTTTGGTTGAGCGAGCACCAGGCTTTTTTTCTGCAAAGGCAGAAACCAATACCTTCTCTGCCCTGAAACCCAGACCTCGAGGCCTGGCCGGAACTCACTACTGGGGGTCTCTGGAGCTGCACGCGGGGCTTGTAAGGACTCTTTCAGCTTCTCGATGCCTTGGAAAAAAGGAAGGAAACTGTAGTTCTAGGTACCCAAGAAGGTGAGGTGGGAGGATTGCTTGAGCCCAAGAGTTCGAGGCCAGCCTGGGCAACACAGCGAAACCCCGTCTTTAAGAAACATTAAAAAATAAACCAAGGGAGAAGCAGTTGCTATGGCCCGTCCTGTGAACACCAATGATGCCGCAGTGCAGCCGGCCGCAATGTGTGCGGCTGAGAGGCCTGGGCAGGCCTGGGGTGCAGGGGCCGCCACTGTTCTGTGGCCTCCCAGGAGCCGGGCAGTGCCCCAGTTTCTGGGCTCGGGTCTCCGGGCTCCTCTTTCCTCCAAAGGCAGTAGTTCTGGCTCCCAGATTCGGAACGAAGTAGAGGGGTCAGGACTTGACACCAGCTCTCCCGCAGAATCCCGTGTTCAGGTGTGGAGAGCACAGGCGGCCTGCGGGGCTTCTGGCTCTGCCGCTGGCCAGGGCCCCCAGCTCCTCCTCTGGGTGAGCAGGGCGCTTGCCACAGCTGCACCAGGGCCGGCTCCAGGCTCCGCAGGGCTGTGTTCCTTTCTCGCCCTCCCCTCCCTTGCATTAGTCCATCCTGGATCCATTTCTATGGTAACTCATTTTCAAAACCGTAAAAAATGTCACCGTATCTAGCAGAGTCGTGAAAACTGGTCCCATCTAGCCCAGGCCTCTGATCTGCGTTCCTGCCAGCGCTCTCGGGATGAGGCTGTTTCTGCGGGAAGAGCCTTCTCAGGCCACCAGAGTCCCGAGCAGAATTAACTCCCGCCTCGCCTCTCAGCACGGGTGTGCTTGGACTCTGGCCGAGACGCAGGGTTTCGGGAGGGAAGGCGGGTGGAGCACACAGCAGCGTGGTCCCCCATGGGACTGCACTCTAGCTGGGAGCTGGGGCTGGACGGATGAGCGTGGGAGTGACATGGTGTGGGGCCACATGCATGGGTGTCTGGGGGTGAGGAGGGCACCTCAGGCTGGGTCCCGGGACATGTGGACACAGGCCACAGACCGTCTCCAGCCATCCTTCCATCCTGAGCAGCTCCACGGCCACTTGTGGCCGTCAGGAACACAGATAAGTGCAGAGGGCAGACGCATGGGCTGGGGGCCGGGACAGGTGAGGCCTGTGTCCACACATCCATGCGTTAGCAAGAAACAACTTTATAGGACTGTGGTGGTAAAAATGGCGACATCATGCTTTGATGTACTGGGTCAGGCACCTACATGGGGATCCTGGCGGTGGGCCAGGCAACCTCCCGGCAAGACCACCTGGCTCTGAGCTGCACGGATGGCAGAGGGGCCGGGCCAGGGGCCAGCCAGGGGTGCTGCGGGCAGGTGCAGTGGAGCGGCTGCTGCTGAGACGGGGGGCAGGAGGCTGAAGGAAGGCCTTGAATGTCAGACAATGGTTTGGCCTCTACAGAAAATGCGGTTTTAACGAAGGCTTCACCTGGAGGGTGGTGAGGAGCTGGTGTGAAAGAGGGCCTGCCCAGTTGTGGTCTGCAGAGAGCAAGACCCAGGGCAACGAGGCCTGGTGGGATGGGGGCACTGGAAATAGGAGGGATTGAGGTAGGGGATTCTTGTGGATGTCAGGCCAGACGAAGGGCTGAGTGAGAAACAAGCAGGATGGAGACATCAAAGAAGATTCTAGAACCTGACACAGTGCTGAGACCTGGGTTCCCATTTAGTTTCACAAACATTTATCCTGCCCCACCAGGGCCAGGCACTGCTGGGGGAACCTGGGCTCCATCAGCGATCAAAGGAAGCCAAGTACCAGCCAAGGGGCTTCATTGCCACGGGGAAGAAAGGAAACACGTGACTGAGGGTGTAAGAATGCAAGTGCTCTGGGGAAGGCAGAGCAGGGAGGGCGCTGGGGGCGGGGCTTCTGGGGGGCCAGGAAAGATGGGGAGGCGCTGGGGCAGGGCTTCTGGGGCACCAGGAAAGATGGGGAGACATGGACTCTCCAGGTTGCCATGGTTCTGAAAGCCTCTGCAATCTTCACTGAAAGGACTAAAGAGATTGCTGTTCTTTGGCTGAAATGAAAGAAGAAATTGGCTGGAAACAGGGAAGTGCTGTGCACAATGGGATTCTGTGTAAGTTATGACTTCTAAACACTTAGGTAAGCACGGTGGTTTCCAGGTGGTGTGAGTGACACCTCACTGAATATGAATGAGGCTGGCTTTGCAGGGGCGACTTTGTTTTCTTTCCTTCCTAAACTCCAGCTCATTGTGAAACTCTTTCCTGTCAAATTTCCTAAGATTTGAATGATATACGAATAAAACTCAGTTTTCTCCAGTAAAAAAAAAAAAGTCAGGAATCACATTGTATAAGAAGGATGGTGGAATGGGGAGTCCAGCTCCTTCGAGAAGACAGAAAAGAAAGAACCGGCAGAGGAGAAAACTCATGGAGGCCAAGCCCCTGTGTCCGGGCCCCAGGCTGCTGTGTGCTTCCCGTCTGGGTGGCCCTCAAATGAAACTGCGATTCTTCGCCCTGTACTCCACCGAGACCAGTACCGAGGATAACAACGGCATTCACTCATCACAGACAAGAGCTAAGTTTCACACAGGAGTTGGGCGGGGCCTCCGCAGTCCCTCTTGCCTGTGGACAGCACCCAGGGCCTCAGGCATGGCACGCGCACAGCAAACAGCAGCCTCAGCAAGTTCAGCCACCTGGAAACTCCACAGCTGTGAACTTTCTGTAGCCTTCGCCAGCAGAAGGGGAGATGCCCATGTGGTATCCAAATGCCCAGGGGGAAAGGGAGGTGCTGTGGGCGTGGGGACCTGCAGACGGAAGCTCTCAATGGTGCCATGGTGACCCAGCGCCACACTGCCTGGCTTGAGCTTCCTGGATCAACAAAAGGTGCGGTTCTGCACACTTGCAGGCCAGGTGCAACTTTTTATTTTGATTCTTACTTGATGGCCAGATACGTGTGAGTGGAGGGACGAGAGTGAACCGAGAACCCCATGGAGCATGGGCCAGGTAGGGTGGCGGGGCCACCAGGCCCTTGGCAGACGGTCACCAGGTGAGCACCGAGGGGTGATGCTGCTGTCGCTTCCTGTGAAAGAAGAAGGCCAGTCGAGCACAGTGGCTCATGCCTGTAATCCCAGCACTTTGGGAGGCTGAGGCGCGCAGATCACCCGAGGTTGGAAGTTCGAGACCAGCCTGACCAACTTGGAGAAACTTTGTCTCTACTAAAAGTACAAAATTAGCCAGGTGTGGTGGCATGCGCCTGTAATCCCAGCTACTTGGGAGGCTGAGGCAGGAGAATTGCTTGAACCCGGGAGGCAGTGAGCAGAGATCGCGCCATTAAACCCTAGCTGGAGTGACAAGAGGAAAACTCCATCTCAGAAAAAAAAGGAAGGCCACAGTGAGCACACGGCCCCAGGAGGGCCACAGTGGAAGCAGGGAGACCCGGGAGAGAGCTGCGACCACCAGGCCAGAGCTGCTGGCTCAGGTGGCTGCGAGGCGGGGAGGAGACGGCCACAGATGCCCGGCTGAGAGAAGGATGTGTTGGGGCACAAAGAGGAGTCCCCGACTCCTGGCCAGGAGTCAACCTGAGTAAACGCCGGTCCCCTTGGCTGCAGAGGGAGGACGCCCACTTCTGCAGGGAGGGGTGGGAGATGCCCAGAGCCGATGGTACTGGCTTCGACACAGGTGGCATTGGGTTTGCCTGTTCTGTACTTTTGTGCCCCAGCATGCACAGTGGGGGCACTGTCAAAATATCTGTCCAATCCGTGGGAGAATCCCAAGCCCTCTGACTCACAGGAGTATCCTTGGAGGCCAGGGTGCGGGCAGGGTGTGCCCTACTGTCAGGCTCTCTGAGCTGAACTCAGCCTTGTTTTTCTATGGCCTGTGTATGGTTCTTATACTTTTTAAGTGGTTGAAAAAAAAATCAAAGGAACAATATTTTGTGATGTGAAGTTACGCAAAATTCAAACTTCAGTCCACACGGTTACATAGCAACATGGCCAAGTTCATTCACCTACACGCGGTCTCTGGCTACTTTTGCACCACACTGGCAGTGTTGGGGAAGTGCCAAGGGGCAGTCCCACCTGCAAAGCTCTTTCACAGGAAGAGTTTGCAGACTCCTGCTCTAACCTACACGTGACGGAAGGGAGCTATCACCTTGACCTTGATGAGCGTGAACTGGGGCAGAGGTGGCACTAACCTGCTGGAGGCGCTAGAGAGCTATTCACAGGAGCTGTGGCCGGGGCCAGGGGAAATGTGTAATCAAAACAGAATACTATGAATTTACATTTTCTAGTACTTAAAAAAAAATTTTTAAATACCTTTTTTCATTGTAGATTTATAAGTAGAATTTCTGCAGACAGGTTTTAAAAGACTCTTGCAGGCTAGCCTGGAAACCTAACCACTATATGTAACATTAATTCTATTTAAAAAGTGTATTCCAGTTCAAAACAAACATCTTACAAGTGACGTTAGAATATATTTCATTGGTGACTTGGCAATACCTTGATTTATACTCGAATATACGGAGTCAACTCTGCGCTTTCTGGGCACTTGGCATATTTTAGTGGACAGCCAAATGCACAAAGCTGCAACGTTATTTCTCAATGAAAATTAACAAGTTGGCGTGTCTGGGCTAAGCTGGCGTGTCTGGGTTGTTGTGTAGTGAACCTTTCAGTTCTCCATACCCTGGAGGGCATGGTGCAAGCTCTGGACTCGTTCTATCCAGAGGTGCTCAAGGCAGCAGCTGGCCAAGGCTGGGAGCACACCCACAGGGTTGCCCGGTGGGAACTGCCTTGGCGGATGCCCTGCGTCTGTTTCGGGTCTTTGGGCTCCTGTCATGCGCTGCTGTCATTGTGGCTGGACCGCCATCCCCAGGAACCACAATGGAAGTAGAAAGAAAGCTTGAAGCTGAACACAAGTGAAAAGCCCATCATCAAAACTCACTAGACGGAGACGGCGGGGTGAGCAGGGGCGGGGTGAGCAGGGGTTGGGTGAGCAGGTGCGGGGGGAGCCGGGGCGGGGGGAGTCGGGGCGGCGGGGGGTGGGGGGAGCGGGGGGGGAGCGGGGGCAGGGGTTGGGGGAGCCGGGGCAGGGGTCCCGCAGACCTGAACACACACATTAGGAAGGAAGAAAAACTCAAAGTTAATGAGCTGTTTTTATTTTCTGTTTGAGAACTGTAACAGGACAAGAGAGTGAACCTAGAGAAAACAGTAGAAAGGAAACAAAATAAAGTACTGGAATAGAAAAATAAAGATAAAATAATGCAGTAAATCCACAAAGCCTAAAAGTTAGAACTTGAAGACACTAAAGAAATGAACAAACATCTTAGAGGATTAATCAGGAAAAAGGGGAAAAGGCAAATAAACAACAATAGGAATAAACGGGGACATATCTAAAGAGGCAGCAGATTGGGAATATCAGTAAAAGCAGCTAAAACAATAAAGAGACAGCAGAGATTAGAGACTCATGAGAATACTGCAGACAGCCTCAAGGGAAAGAATGAGAATACTTAGCTGAAATGAATAAAATCCTAGAAGAATAAAACTTTTTGAAGCTAGCTTATGAAGAAATAGAGAATGTAAATAATCCTATCAGCATTAAAGAAATGGAATACAGAATTCAAACCCACCCTCACAACACTACACTAGCCCAGACAGTTCAGGGGCAAATTCTACTCAGACACCGAAAGAACACATCATCTTTGTCTTATAAAAATTGCCCCCGAGGACAGGGAATGACGGCGCACTCCTGAGCCAGTTTTTTTGGACAGGGAATGAGGGTACACTCCTGAGCCAGTTTTGTTTTGTTTTGTTTTGTTTTTGTTTTGAGATGGAGTCTCACTCTATTACCCAGGCTGGAGTGCAGTGGCGTGATCTTGGCTCACTGCAACCTCTGCTGCCCGAATTCAAGCAACTCTCCTGCCTCAGCCTCCCAAGTAGCTGGGATTACAGGCACCTGTCACCATGCCCGGAGGAGCCAGTTTTACTAGGCAGGTACAGACTCAATGTCTAAACCAGCCAGGTCAGGACAAGAAAAGTCACAGCCCAACCCACTCGTGAATGCCAATGGGGAGCGCCCAAAGAAATAGCTGGTGAGCGTAAGGCAGCGATGTCAGGGGACATTACCACGCTGGGTGCCCCCAGAAATGCAAGGATATTTCACAAGAAATTCAATCATGTAATTCCCTACCCTAACAAACAGCCATGCACAGGGTCATTCTGAGATGCAGAAAATACATTCAAAGAAATTAATTCCATTTATCAGGAAAATTCTTAACTAACTAGAATAGAATGGGAATTTGCACTCATAAAAAGAGTGAACCAAAGGGAAGGGAATTTCTATAAACTGATATAGAGCACCCACTCAAAAAATCTACAGCAAATGTCGTATCAAAGGTAAAAGGTTAGAAAGGTTTCGTTTACTCTCAAGAGAGAAACACAGATGTCCACTGCCATTCTTTTTTTTTTTTTTGAGATGGAGTCTTGCTCTGTTGCCAGGCTGGAGTGCAGTGGTGTGATCTCCGCTCACTGCAACCTCCGCCTCCCCGGTTCAAGTGATTCTCCTCCAGTAGCTGGGACTACAGGTGCGCACCACCACACCTGGCTAATTTTTTTATAGTAGAGACAGGGTTTCACCATGTTGGCCGGGATGGTCTTGATCTCCTGACCTCGTGATCCGCCCGTCTCGGCCTCCGCCTCCCAAAGTGCTGGGATTACAGGCGTGAGGGACCGTGCCCAGCCCACTGGCATTCTTTCTTTTTTTGCCAGCAACAGGTTTTAAAAAAGATATTACTTAAAATTACAAAAACTGAAAGGTAACGTCATGCCTGTGACCTTTATGCAGAAAGTTAGACTGTCTTGAAGACATAAAGAAGACTTAAGTAAATGGAAAGATACACCCTGTTCAGGAGCAGGAAGACTCATGATGCAAGGAAGTCAGTCATCCCAGGGAAATCCACCAATTCAGCGCCATTCAAACAACACCCCAGTGAGGCTGCTGTCGACACAGAAAGCCTGACTGTGAAATGTATACAGCAGAGCAAAGGGCTAAGAGCGGCCAAGACAGTTCTGAGAAACGAACTGAGGAGCGGGCTCAAAGGTGCTGCCCCCGCAGCTGTGGTGTGACGGCGCGGCCGTGTGGGGTGTCGGCGCGGCTGTGTGGGGTGTCGGCGCGGCCGTGGGGTGCCGGGGTGGCTATGCGGGGTGTCGGTGCGGCCGTGGGGTGTGTCGGTGCGGCCGTGGGATGTGTCGGTGCGGCCGTGTGGGGTGTCGGCATGGCCGTGGGGTGTTGGCGAGGCCGTGTGGGGTGTTGCTGCGGCCGTGGGGTGTCAGCGAGGCCGCGTGGGGTGTCGGGGCGGCTGTGTGGGGTGTCGGCGCGGCCGTGGATGGGATGGGTGCTGCTAAGAATGGAGCCCCCACTCAGACCCTAAGGACTGATGGCCAGGGAGACGCTGAGAAGCACTGGCGGGAGGACGGGCTGTCTGATGAAGGGTCTGGGGTGGCATAAAGAAAAAATACAACCTGGATCCCCACCTCACCACAGAGACAAAATGTGGTTCAGGATATACTTAAGACATGAACACAAAAAAGGAAAATTTTAAATCTTGGAAGAAAATGTAGGAGAATATGTTTAGGACATTGAGAATAGGAAAAACAAGACACAAAAGGCCCAAGTTATAAAGAAAAAGAGAAACTAAAAGATTAAGCTTGTGTGGCACCAAAGGCATCATAAAAAGTCATAGATTAGATGCATTTTCGATGGATATATTCAGCCAGGAATCAGCACCCAGAACTGTGATGAATGCTGATTACAAACTACTCAGAGAAAGATAAACGACACAAGGCGAGTCTGTAAGGCTGCAAGGCTGTAACCTCACTGCAATCAAGGCAGATGCAAATTCATGCCACAAGGAGACACCAGGTGTGTCTATCAGACAGACAAAGGCTGGCCAAGACCGGCGTGGTAGAGAGTGGCGAGATGGGGGCGCCTGCGCTTTAGAACAGAGGATCCCGTGGAAGGCCTGGGGCGACATCTACAAAAGCTGAAGGTGCAGGCACCGTTCACGCAGCAGCTTCACTCTGAGGCAAGGTGGCGAGAGGCACTCACGTGTATCCACGCTGAAGAACACGCACCACACACGTGCCCGTTTATGTGTATTGAGCACCTACTGCGTACCAGGCACTGGGTGTGGACAGGGTGGGAGGAGACAGTGGTTAACAAGGCTGGGTTCCTGCACGTGCGGCTCTCAAGCTCCAGGGGAGAGAGATGGGCCGGGCCAATGAACAAGTTACACGTACAGCACGTCTGCAGTCCACAGTCCTCAGGAGAAAAATAAAGCAGGAAAAGGGAGCAGGGTCAGAGGGCAGCTGGGGAAGCCTGATTCCAGGTGGGGCGTGGGGCTGGGGAGGCTTCTGGGAAGGTGCTGCCAGATGGGGGCTCTGAATGAGAGGGGAGCGGCCACCATATGCCGGAGAAGAGCTTCCCCACCGATGCCCAGGCTGGGGGCCGGGTAGGCTGGGGCCCAGCAGAGCTGGGTGCAGCGAGTGAGGGTGTGTTGGATGTGGGGCTCCATGGTGGCAGGGGCTGAATTCTGAGTTTGCTTATTAAGAAAAGGAACAAAAGGCAAGAAGAAACTAGAACCGGCCTCACTGTCCCCAGACAGGAGAATGGATAATGGAGTCACGGCAGATCGCGGAGGTGAAGGAACAAAACCTAGATGACCATCAAAGATACATATTGAAGTCAGAGCCAAAGAAACGGGCTTTGCGGGCCACGCATCGTGCGACGGCGCCAATAGGAGGTAAAGGCCTCTAAGTGGGCACCACGTGTGTGCCAGGGCTCATGGCCAGGGAGGGAAAGTGTAATGTCACCAGAGGGAATGGGACCGGGGTAGGGTCTGGGGCTCGACCTCTGTAATTCCTTAAGCTGGGAACACAACACACACACACACACACGCAGCGCTCTTATATAAGTCTCTGTAAATTTTTACATGGCTAAAATGCTCCTTAACATGAAAAAAATTCAAATGAAGCCGGTAAGCCACTCTGGATAGTCAGAACAAGAGGAGATGAGGCTCATTTGGTTAAGCCCTAAATCTGTTACCAGCAGTGTGAAGATGAACATAGCTACACAATAAGAAAACACGGTGAATTCCTGCTTCTCCTGTTTTACAACAGCAATCCTGGTGGTAGGACCCAGGCACACACCATTCATGGCAGAACAAGAGAAGAATCTGACCCTTCCGTCAGATTTCCATTTCCAGGCAGTGCTGCGTCAAGCTGCTGGGATGGAGGGAAAGTTGTGTGGAGATTCCGCAGGTGAGCAGGGCGGGGATGACAGCCCCCAGCCCGACCGCAGGGCCCTCCGCCTCTCACTGCGGACACTGTGTGGGGGCTGTCCTGGGCACCAGGGGATGTGAGCAGCTTCCTGGCCTCACCCACTGGGACAAGGAGCACCCCTACTGTACCCCAGTTGCTCGTGGGGGGCAAAACCACCCCCGGCTGAGAACCACCGTTCTGCATCACCAGGGTGTCCAGCACCATGAAGAACTCTCACCCGTCTATGGAACAAAGATGGAAGGTTCTGGCAGCCTTCCCACCCAGCCAAACTGGCCAGCTCCGATGGCTCCGGAGCAGCCTGTAAAATACTACCCCAACACAACAGTGATGTCAACTTTCCCGCTTGCCCCAGCAAAACGTTCTCCCTGCCTCGCAGTCCTGTTGACCTTTATTCTTTCTTTTGAACAGACAGTTTTGACACCCACTGACCTGATGCAGACACAGGTCTGTGCTGCTCTGTGTGGGGAGGAGACCCTCGGGGCCCCTCGGAAGCAGAAAGGGGCAGGCGGACTCACCGATGAGGGAGTTGAGGGAGGAGTAGGAGCTGGCGCGGCGCATCTTGTCGATGGTCTCGAAGGACAGGATATGCTCCTCATTCTCGGGGCTGCCCAGGGTGCTGCTGGCGCTGCTGCTGGTGCTGAGGTTTCCGGGGGAGAACGCCACCGCGCCACCAGCTGCCCGAGACGCAACGGGGTCAGTGGGGTGCTCCCGGGACCCTCCTTTTGGTCTTACAGTTAATGGCATGACTGAGATACATATTTTCTTCTAAATAAAGCTCAGCACACCCAGGCACAAACACACCCTGGTACACACACACCCTGGTGCGCACACACCCTGGCATGTACACACACCCGACATACACACACCCTCATACACACACACCCTGGCGCACACACCCTGGCGCGTACAGACACAACCTGGCGCGTATACACACCCAGTACACACACCCTGGCACACACACACCCTTGTACACACACACACACACCCTGGCATGCACACACCCTTGTGCACACACACCCAGCACACACACACCCTGGCGCACACACACCTGGCGCGCGCACACACCTGGCGCACACACACACCCGGCGCACACACACCCTGGTACACACGCACCCTGGCGCACACACCCTGGCACACACGCCCCGGCGCACACACAGGCACAGGCACTCACTGATCTCCCTGGGAGCCAAGCTCCCCACCCGCAGACCACAGGTTACTGGGAGACGGGGGCAGGGCACAGCCCTCCAAGGAGCCACCGCCTCAACTGCGGCTGCGCTTGAGCTCCCTGCCGCATTGGTAACGGGCCCGCTGGCTATTCTGGGGGCTGGCCTACGCCTCCTTGCCATGCTCACGTCTGGAAGGGTGACTCATCACCATGTTGGCAGATGGGACTTCAGGGCACGCACTTAGACGAAGGGGCAGGGGCAGAGTGGTGCTTACTCAGATACAGTGTTTCAGAAAAAACAACCCCAATCTCTCCCAATCCAATAACCCGATTTCCAGGATCTTACATTCCTCTGTCAAACTCAGGTTCTGCAAAGATTTGTTGAGGCTCCTGGCTGTGGCGACAGCACGGATGTTTCCATAGGAGCTCACAGAACGAAGTCTGGGGGTGCACGGGCTGTCTCGCACTGGGGTCAAACTCCCTCCCTCTGGGAAAGAAGGAGAAAGACAAATTACAATGGGCTTCCAGGTGGAGGCCAGCGTGTCTTCTGACACTCAGCAGCTGGGACACTCGGTGACGGCAGCTGCTACCTGTGCTGCAACAAATGTCAGAGCAGGGGCTGCACAGCTCAGGGAGACTCAGACGTGAGCGGAGGCTCTGCGGGATAGCACTGGACAAACAACAACCGCTTGTGGCTCTGTGCATATTAAATTACAAAAGACAACAGGGGAGAGGCTGGTGGCTGCGGCCTGTCCGAGTGCACACGAGGTGCATGGTGACGTGGGCCGTGAGCCGTGCTCCCCGGGAAGCCGCAGCAGAGCAATGACCGTCCACACTCAGTCTGGCTCACCCTTCTCCCCTCCTGGGCTTCCTAGAAGCAGTGAGGCCTCACTGCTGATGACAAGCCCCTGCACGGCAGAGACGGCTGTGTGGAAGCGGGAGGGGCTGCCGGCAGCGATGAGATAGGAACTGTACTCTCCAGTCAAAACGACACGTGTGAGAAAGCACGCCTGACATGACTCACCGAGCCACGGAGCCAAGAGCAGTGTGATGAAATTACTCATCGCAGGAAGACGGCCCCTGCGCTTTTCCGCAAGCTCCTACTGCAGAAGTTTTGTCATACTTCAAGGTCTCTGTGAGTTTAATTTCCAAAAAGGGTAAAAAGAAAGGAAAAATGTAAGAGGGTCAGTGTGGCCCTCTTTCCTGCCCTTTTAAATCTGGCAGGTGCCTAAAAAGATGAGAAAAACAGGGACCCCTTGCGGCAGGTATCTGAGAAACCTGCGCTTAGACTCTGCGAGGGTGAGCAAGACTGGGCCGCGGCCTGCACTAGAACCGCCAGGCGAGGTGCTCTGCGGGTTCACAGGAGAAGACGCCATACCTGTGGTTGCTGGAGAAGGCAAGGCGTAGTTCTTTTCCTCTTCTATGAACTGCAGGGCCACGGTGCAGAAATTGCTTTCATACTGAACCACAAGATGACTCAGAGCCACCACCAGCTCCTGCCGAGAGGGAGAAGGGACAATAACAGTCACTGGGGCTGGAAAATGATTGTGGAGCAGCAGTGAGACTTGAGTCACCAACAGAAAAAAGAAAGGTTAAGACAAAACCGTGCAATTGGCATCAGAAACAGGGACCATCCCTTTTCGAACCGTCAGAGCAGAGGCCTTGGAATAGCAGAGTGCTGGGAGACGGCAGGCCACTGGCTCACGGGGGAAGCCCAGAATGCCTGCCAGAATCCTCCCCACTGCTAGAGGCGCACGACGCATCGGGGGTCTCGTAAGGACACGGTGAGTCACAGGACTCCAGAGAGGGAAAGGTAGGAGGCCTCACAGCCTCTCGCTTACGGTGACCACTGGGACCCTGGCTGAAAACGCCGCTCTAGATCACACCCGATGGCTGGCGGCCTTTCTGAATCTGAGCGCCCCAGGGCCGAGTGCAGCGGACAAGCCGAAGCCTGCTCTTTTCAACACATGTGAAACTTTCATTGGTAGATGTTTCTAGTCCCTAAGAGGGAACGGGAAAAGTTGTAGAACTAAAACATCATCTTTAGGACCAAATGCCTTGGTCCAAGGGAACAGACACAATTTGCCTCTCTTTTAGGACAGTTCAGTGCTGTGACAGGAACAGCTGGAGATCCTAGAAGTCACTGGGGAACAGAAGGGGGATGTAGGTTTAAAAAGCGGAAAGAACGTTTTTTTCCCTACGACAACTTTTTCTGCCTTTTTTTTTTCTGAAAAGAAAAAATACGGATTCTTAGCAGAAAGCCAAGCGCTGTGAGAGGACCCCTTGCTAGTCGCGTGACGCCCCTGTCTCCACAGCGGCTGGATGAGCAGGCTCTGGATGGGCGCCCACCAGGGACCAGGGTCTTCTCGTGGCCACCCCACTCTCCGTCTACGCACTCTCTGTACACGCACTTTCCCACCCCAGCCTTACATGCCCCGGGCTTCCTCCTATCATGCTTTGTGGTTTCCCTGATGCCGGCCCCTCACTCTCCTAGGTCCAGGCTGGCTGTCCAGCTGCCGGCTCTTCACCTGCACCCCAAACTCTCCCTGCCCTATGAACTGCGGGCACCGTCTACTTTCCCTTCAGCCTGCAGCGCCCTCTTGATTTGCGCCGATGGAACTGCAAGTCTCTCACTGCTCAGAATGGAGCCCTGGCATCACCCTCCACCCGCCCCTCCCACCCTGCTGGGCACCAAGGGCCATGGCCCAGTGTGCGTCTTCACGGCCATGGCCCACGCCCCGGTTCTGGCGCTCGTCTCCAACTGCCTAAGTCACTGTCCCAGGCTCCCCTGGCAAACCACAGAACCCCCGCTGCCTTCCCTGTGCAAGAGGAGTGAGGCACTGCCGAGACGGGGCCTCCGACAAAGCGAACACCCACTGGGCCCCTTCCAGGGAAGATCAAGGCTGCACCTG
Organism: Homo sapiens; assembly: GCF_000001405.40. Taxonomy (NCBI): domain Eukaryota; kingdom Metazoa; phylum Chordata; class Mammalia; order Primates; family Hominidae; genus Homo; species Homo sapiens. Next base: position 80,890,303 of record NC_000017.11, on the reverse strand, counting down.
TCTTCAGAAAGCACCGATTTTTTTCCCTTTCCTTCTGACATCAGGTGAGAAAAGCCAGAGCTGGGAGCTGGCATGGATTAACGTGCACCGAGGTGGTGGGCCCTTCGATTCAGGGGAGGCCAACAGGGGCCACGTCTGTTATTCAAGGGGAATGTCCAGAGAGCACTCACTCCCGAACACACATCCTGCTGCGCACGGGGCCTCCCTCGGGGGCCGCACATCCCTCACTCCTGAACACACATCCTGCTGCATACAGGGGCCTCCCTCACTCCCGAACACACATCCTGCTGCGTACGGGGGCCTCCCTCGGAGGCCGCACATCCTGCTGTGTACGGGGGCCTCCCTCGGAGGCCGCACATCCTGCTGCGTACGGGGGCCTCCCTCGGAGGCCGCACATCCTGCTGCGTACGGGGGCCTCCCTCGGAGGCCGCACATCCTGCTGCATACGGGGGCCTCCCTCGGAGGCCGCACATCCTGCTGCGTACGGGGGCCTCCCTTGGAGGCCGCACATCCTGCTGGAGATGGCGGGCCTCGCTCTGGAGGCTGCTGCCTGGCACACAGCAAAGAGCTCTCCTTTGCGTTGGACCCTTCCTGCCCTTCCTGAATGGAGCTGGGCTCTGACAGCAACACACACACGCACTGGCCTTCTTTAGGATATTCATGCAGAACCCATCAGAGGGTCTGGCAGAGGTGCTCAGCCAGGGGTGTGGGAGCTCCCCTCTCTCTCAGCTTTTGCAAGATGAGCTTGGCTGGTGTTGTCATGTGACCCCTTCCCCCTGAGGGCTCCCCAGCAGCACACAGACGGGGAGGCCACATTAGTGGCCACGGGCTCCACACTGGCCAGGCTTCCCAGGTCCTCTGACCGGTCGCTTGTCAAAGCCATTGTCTGTCCTCCTGCTCCCTGGCTGGGGCTGAGCAGCCTTCCTCGAAAGGGAGGCAGCTTTGCCTGGACTCATACTTTCACCTGTCAGCTCAGCCCTTCCTGTCGGCTCCCCACCTTCAGAGTCCATGCGTGATCCTGGAACCTGCTCCTTCATGGCTGGCCCCTTCAACGAGGGGCAACTCTGCTCTTCTGTTGCTCAGACCCAAACCCCCAGGATTCCCTGTCCTCTTCTTTTCTCGTACCCTCTCCACCTGTGAGCAAGTGCTGTGAGCTCCGCATTCAAAGTGCTGGTGCCTCTTCCCTCCTGCGCCGTCCCTGCAGCTGGGCGAGCGGCCCCTCTCACCTGGGCAGCCGAAGGTGAGGTCCTGCCCCCAAACCCCTCCAGGCCTCTGATCACGAACGACAAGGCTTGTGCCTGGCTGGGCCACCTGCCCCACTGCCCTCCTGGCCTCTTGTGCCCACGCCCTCTGATGGGCACAGCCCCTGCACTGGGCCTCTCCCTGTGGCAAGGCCTCCCTGTGCCCCCAGCCCCATCCATACTGGCTCTGCTCAGCTGCCACCCCGGCCCACCACTCTCACACCCAGCCCCTCCCCCAGCTCCAGGGGTAACTTTCTTGAGAGAAGAGGCAGGGTTAGTGCCCTGCGGGGTCACTGAGGCCCCAGCCGGCCCGGCACGTGGCACGTGCCTGACAAGTGTGTTCTGGGTGGGTGCAGCCCTCCCTGCAGGGGTGTCGTCTGTAGCACATGGTTAGTTTCTAACCGTGAACTGGTGCCAGGACTCAAGGACATCTTTCTTGGACACATGTCCTGCCCCGCTGGGGGCCCACACACTTCCCAGTGTTGACACGGCTGCACTGACCATGGGCTACTGGCCCACCTCGCCTCTACCCCTTGCCCACCTGCCCTGAGGGCCACCCACTCCGCTCCAACAACACAGCACTGGCTAATATTTGTCTTGTGACCTGTGCTCAGGCATCATAAAACTCAGCTCCTGTGACCACAGCAGGCCCGAGCAGCGTCCTGGGAAGCATCTTGGGAGACCAAGGCCTGGGATTACAGAGTGGATCACTTGAGCCCAGGAATTTGAGGCCAGCCTGGGGCAACACAGCGAGACCCCATCTCTACAAAAAATACAAAAATTAGCCCAGCATGGTGGCACGCGCCTGTGGTCCCAGCTACTCAGGAGGCTGAGGTGGGAGGATCGCTTGAGCCCGGGAGGCAGAGGTTGCAGTGAGCCGAGATTGTGCCACTGTATTCCAATCTGGGTGACAGAGACTCTGTTTCAAAATAAAATAAAACAAATAAAATAAAATAGTATCTGAACAGTCCTTATTTCCTCCCGAGGCCATGACAGGGAGGGAGTAAGCCCCCATCCAAGCCCCGCTGAGCCCGTCCCTGTGTGCGGCTCCTGCCCAGCCCGGCCCAGGCAGAGGCTGGGGTGACACTGGGGGTTCTAGCCCCGCACCCCTGGCCTGGCCCTTCTTGACAAGGGACGGGTGGCTGCTGACTGCAGGTTTTGTACTTCAAAGACAGGTTGAAGTTCAAAATAATTTGGGGGCTAAGCTGAATTTGCTGACTTTTAAATTTTGTCAAGTAAGCTCATTAAACAAGTCAACAAACAAAACCTACTCGGCCATCGTTATCACCCCACACAGGAGAGGACACTTTTATTATTAAAAAGTAGGATGGATGTAACCTTTTTGGTAACCAGTACACGTTGCTTTTATGGAAAAGCAGCAGTAACACCCTCCTCTCTCCCACCCCAGAGGGTGCCAGGAGCCTCTCAGCCAGTTCTACTCCCCAACCCCAGCCCCACAGCAGGCTCAGGACGGGCTCAGGATGGTCCTTGAGAAGAGGCTGCGAGAATGGGGCCGGCTCCACGCCGCCAGGCTCCTTGGTGCTTGCACCTGTGCCCAAGTCCCCTGCAGAGCACCGTGCCTGCCCATGGTGGTTAGTAAACAGAAGAGAAAACCAGCTGTGATGCGGCAGGACTCTATGACGAGGATGGAGGCGCACCCCTGGAGTCAGCACCCCCCCCAAGAGTCAGCACACCCCCGGAGTCGGTACACCCCCCGAGCTGGCACCCCCCAGAGTCAGCACACCCCCTCAGAGCCAGCGCACCCCCCGAGGTGGCACCCCTCAGAGTCAGCACACCCCCTCAGAGCCAGCGCACCCCCCGAGCTGGCACCCCCCAGAGTCAGCACAGCCCCTCAGAGCCAGCGCACCTCCGGAGTCTGCGCGCCAGTGCAGCCCGCTTGGTCACAGGTGAGTGACGGTGTCTTTCTCTGACTCCTCGCTAGCCTTCCTCCCTCCAGACATCACCCTGCCAGCTGGCGTTATCAGCTCTGTTGGCTGCTTCTCCTGCTCACCCTCCATAACCAGGTAAGAGCTGCCCCTCCACAAAAGCCTCTGCTGACACCCTTCCCGCTCCGATGCAGGCACAGGCACAGCCCTCAGGAGCTCCACAGCACTCCAGGCAGTATTTCTCCACAAGGCTCTGGTGTAATGACCTTATCTGTATCTGCCTCTTTGATTAGACCACGTGCTCCCGGAGGGCAGGGGCTGTCATCCCCCTCTACACGCCCTGCCCAGCATCCCCGAGACAGCTGCGTCCCGGTTGGCAGCACCTCCTCCGAACCCCACGGTGTCCTCGCGGGCCACATCTCCAGGATGCAGGTTCAGCAGGCAGCCGTGCAGGCGAGTGACGCCGGACCGCTCCCGGTGGAGGGGGAGCTTCGTCTCAGTGCCTCAGCAGCCAGGGCCACACCACAGGGCCACAGCCCGGCCACGGGATGGCTCTTGGGGAACGCCTCACAGCTAACGTCCTCTCTATTTTCATATCGTTTTTGTAAAGAAGAAACAAAGCTTTCCTTACTTTAAAAAGAATTTTAGCAGACAAACCGCTGATTTGCTGCTTTGATCAGTGATGTCCACCAAACGTGAGTTGATGTGGGAAAAAGAATTCAGCAGGGGCCAAAAGAAGCCAGGTTCAGAAACCCGGCCACGAGGAGAACGTGATGGCAACAAAGTCAGAACCAACAGAAAAGGCAGCCCGGAACCTCACTTCCTATTTTCAAGATTTCGTTAGAAAATGTAGCATACTCATGACTTGGGCTAATTCTAGAAGGGTACACACGATAGAACGTGACTTTCCACACTTCGTCTGGCTGAGGGAAACCTGTCCGGGTCACGTCCCTCCCAAGTAAAGCAGCGGCAGCTGCTCTCCAGACAAACAACCCCCAGGCCCCTGGACCACGGCCCGTCTCATGATAAAGCCCATCTCCAAGAGGGAGCCACACACAGCCAGCACGGGAACGCACGAGGGTGGCCAACGCCACCTGACGGGGAGACACACTCCCTGCCCATAGAGCAGCTCTGTGCTCCAGCTGTCAGATGAGTTCTCTGCAAGAGCAGCCTTCCATCTCACCAGCAAAGGAGATCAGGAAACCAGTGTCTTCCTAAACGCCCCTTTTGCGCTGGGGTGGGTGGGGAATCTGAGGGTGTGAAACCTTGGACGATCATCTGTGATATTTCTACATCTAAACAGGTAAGTAAGTTTTCAAGTTTATAAAACTGTTTTGGCCGGGCGCGGTGGCTCACGCCTGTAATCTCAGCACTTTGGGAGACTGAGGTGGGTGGATCACGATGTCAGGAGATCGAGACCATCCTGGCTAACACAGTGAAACCCCATCTCTACTAAAAATACAAAAAATTAGCCGAGTGTGGTGGCGGGCACCTGTAGTCCCAGTTACTCGGGAGGCTGAGGAGGAGATGGCATGAACCCGGGAGGCGGAGCTTGCAGTGAGCCAAGATCACGCCACTGCACTCCAGCCTGGGCAACAGAGAGAGACTCCATCTCAAAAAAACAAAAACAAAACAAAACAAAACATAAAACTGTTTTGTTCAGTCGCTGACGTACATGGGGTGTTGGGGGGGACCCAGCACACAAACCTTCCCGCCATCTGTGGGTGGCTGCGTCTCTTTGGAATCGCAGTGGTGCCTGTGTGTGTTGCTCCCAGGCAGGAAGGAGACTACTACACAAGCTGCCGGGAGGCGCAGCCTGCTAGATGCCTTTAAATGAAGCAAACCCATGGGTGTCTGGTAAAGAAACGCAACTTGAAGAGAATGAAACATGTAAAGATCTGCTCTCGCAATGACACGCAGTGGAAACTGAGTGCTCCCTGCTGTGGTCAGGGCCATGCGGGCTTGGCCCCAGGTGTCACGGGGTCCAGCCTGGGTGCCCTGCTGCTGCCGGGCTGGGGGTTCACGCACCTTCCGGACCATGGGGCTCCCGTCGCTGACCAGCTGGGCCAGCATCATGGCCACGTTGTGGTCGATGGTGGTGGAGTGGTCCGTCCTCTCTGCAGAGTTGCCCACGAACGTGCCAAGGGCGAAGACCGCTGCGCAGCGGACCTGCAAGGCGGCGGGGGGTCACAGGCATGTCCCACACCGGGCCATGCTGCAGCCTGCCTTTCTGCCAGGGCTGTGTGTGCAGGTGAATCCAACCCCACAGGCGCTTGCTCAACAGCTCTCCAGGCCCAAGGCTCTCCTCGCACTATCAGAGTGGCAACGGGGAAGGAGGTGGGGAGCAGCAGGGGCAGCCGCCCAGCTCCAGGGGCAGCTCAGACTGCAGAGGCGGGAGCTGCATTGCCCCGGGAACTGAAACACCAAACCAGGCACCAGGGAATGTGCTGATGAACGAGGCAGGAGTTAGACGAGGGGGCTGGGATGGGCCACAGAGCGTGGGAGGGTGGAAAGAGGGGAGGGCGCAGGCACTCCTGGACGCAGAGGGGCATGGGGGCCCTGAAGTGCACTGAGCACACAGGGCTCAGCCAGGGGAGCGACACTGTGCTGGCCCTGGGGTCCGGGGACCCTGGCTTAGCCCTTGCCTCTGACACCATGTGGTCCTGGGGAGAAGTCACTGTCCCTGAGTCTGCTTCCTCAGCTCTAAAAATGAGCAACACCCTGTGCACTGCACAGGCCGGTGGGAAGAGTGAAGGCAATGGTGCATGAAACTCCCAGAGTTCCAGCCCGCGGCCACTCTGTGGGCAGTGCCCCGCACCTTTCCCAGCTGCACCAGGCACGAGCCACTGGCCTGACTCCTTGCCCGTAAAGTGGAGATCTAGTGGTCCCTGCCTTGCAGGCCACAGTGAGGACGCAGAGCGGCACCCGGACAGCGAGCACGTGACCCCTGCCTCTGAGGTTCCCTCTGGGACCCCCGCTTGCAGCTGTGCCACTGTCCCCGGGAGCGCACTCTGGGCCTGGGTGCAAAATCCCCAGTGGTGTGGTTCTCTTCTCACCAAGGTCCCACTGTCCTACTCTTATTAGCGTGCAGCCCCTGAAGTTCCTGGACACGTGGCCGGCCACACCCGCACGCGAGCAGACCTCTGCCTTACCCCCGCAGTCGGCAGCCAGGAGGACTGGACTCTGAGCCCCCGCCTGACTCACCTCGGGAATGGGGTCGGAGAGGAGGCTGTAGAGCTTCTCATGAGCGCTGTCCCTCACGCCGCACCACCTCGCCGAGTCGAAGTTCTGCCAGATCCTGCCGAGGCAGATGGCCACCCACTGGCGCAGCAAGGGGTGCGGGTCGTTGAGCTGCTCCAGGCAGATGGCAATGAGGTTTCCCTGAAGGCAGGCTTCCTGCAGAGGCGGGACCACAGACAGGTTGGCCTCTGCCTGCCAATGGCAGGCACGTGGTGGGTACCTGCACGGGACAACGGTGGCCACCCATTCTTGGGAAGCCTTGATTTGCTCAATTTTCCCCATTTTAGATTCCTCTGATTCATATTCAGCCTGCAAATGGCTGGCTAGATGAAGGGTCAGAGCCTCTGCTGGACACCCCCTGTCCCCCATGTGGCACCACGTTTCACAGTGGGCCCAGCTCCTCTGCAATGCCAAGGGTGAGCTCTGGGGCTGGGGGTGGCTGGGGGGCTCACCTGCCCCGTGTGATAGCTGTTGACGATCACGGCGAGAATGAAAGCCGTCATGGTCCGGTGTTCAGCCTGGAAAACAAAAACCAGTCCTGGTCGTCTCCCCTCAGTGGAAACTCTCATTCCCAAAGTACAACAGCGTGATCCTTTCGGAATCTTCATGACACGCGTGGCGCATAATTAAAGTAACGAGAGCCAGCTTTACTCCTGGATTTTACGTGGACTCTACAAAAAAGAACAGCTGTTTTCAAAGGCCTTAGAGCTCCAGGCTCGCCTCCCGGAGTGAACAGACTGCTCCTTGGAAGCCCTAACACTGCAAGACGGGCACAGACCTGGTGGATGCCTCCTCTGTCACAGGCCAGCCGTGGCTGTCGGTATGAAGCACCCGGACCTCACCTCCCCAGCCTGCCCAGCACTCTGTGAGCACACGGTCCTGCAATCAGGGGCTTTGGCAGCAAAAGGCATGGAGGCAGCGCTCTAGGTTTCACTGGTTTCTCCTTTCTGCTCTACTGTGACTCATTTTCATTCTGTCCTTTCCTCTGTGCCTCCGCTGACCTGGAAACCAGAGTCTATTTGTAACTTTTTAGCGGTGCCTTAGTTTTTTACACACACGTCGCGCGGTCTAGTGTCCTACGCGCCTCTTGGATTATTGCAGGGCTCCTTGGATTATTGCAGGGCTCCCAGGGTACCTGAGTCCTCCTCTTGTTTAACCCTCCAATTCGCCATGAGTATTCTTCATTTTTACAAATCTATAGATGTGCCAACACGTGTGCCAACTTCTTGGCTTTTTGCCGTGTCCTGCATCTTGCTTTCCCCTCCTGGTTCCGTTTCCTCCTCGCTGACATGTGGTCTTTCTAGCCATGGTCTGTGGGGTTCGGAAGGAGTAAACTGTTGGTGTCTGAACGCTGCTTACTACACCCCCATTCCTGAGTGGTGACTGAGCTGGGTGCAGGTGACCCGACCGTGGTCGCTTTCCTCGCACGCCGAGGGCTCCCCTGTCCCCGGCCGAGAGCCGCTGCTGATGAGAGGTCTGCTGTTGGGGCCGGTGCTGTCTCCTCCTTTGCTAATAACGTTTGTTCTGGGGACTTTTAAGGTTTGTCTTTATGCCTTCGATATTTGCTGTTTTCATTATGATGCGTCTATGTACGAATTTGTTTCTCTTTAACCTTCTCAGGATTCATCCTGCTTTTAAAATCGGAACTCTCCTTTCTTCAAATCTGGAAAATTCTCAGCCACTATCTAATCAAAAACTGCTTCTCTACTTATTCTCCTCTCATTCTGAACCATGCTGGCTACATGGTGAACGTTCCCAGCCCGGCTCTTAGCCCGGCTTTCATATCTTCTCGCTTAGCTTCATGGACGGCGCTCCAGGTGGCTCCTTCATGAATTCTCTTCTTGGCTGTCTGTTCTGTGATTTAATTCATCTCCAGAGTTTTCAATAACAGTGCATGTCTTTTCTTTTTCACAGCTTCAATTTGTTTTTTCAGATCTGCTTATGAGTTTAGAAAAATCAATCGTTTCTGAGGATGAGTAGGAAGCACTGAATGTTTTCTCATAACAGGCACAAAGCACTGAAGAAACAAAACAATGGTTGATGGTTTGACAGAATCATAGCAAATTCTTTCTAGTCAGTCATTTAAGAATATTTATATTATTTATTTATTGAGTGGAGACGGGGTCTCACTCTGTTGCTCAGGCTGGAGTGCAGTTGTACAGTCACAGCTCATTGCAGCCTTGACTTCCCCGGGCTCAGGCGATCCTCCCACTGCAGCCTCCTGAGTAGCTGAGACCACAGGCGTGTGCCACAACGCCAGACAAATTTTTTTGTATTTTTGGTAGAAACGGGGTTTCACCATGTCGCCCAGGCTGGTCTCGAACTCCCGAGCTCAAGCAGTCTGTCAGCCTTGGCCTCCCAAAGCGCTGGGATTACAGGTGTGAGCCACCATACCCAGCCTCCTTTTCATTCTTTCAAACCTGGCTGTGTCCTCAAAACTTCCGCAGGCTCGTGGCTGAGGTGGGGCCGTTCATGTGAGCTTAGCTCACCCTCGCGCCCAAGTCGCCAGTGAGCATTCTTCCTCACTTCTTCATGTGGGATTTGCTTTCTTCCTTATTCTTAAGAATGGGAAGTGATGGTTTCCAAAACTGATACAAAGTATCAACTTTAACTGCCTGTGATGTTTCAATACAACACAAAGTGCACATACTGTTTACCTTTTGGAAAATAGTCCTGTTTGTTTTGTGTTTTAAAAAATCCTTTAGCTTAGAAAACCAACTAGGGGGTGAAATTACATACAAAAGTTCCTTTATACAGCAAAGCCACCGAACACTGTGTAAACTAGCTAATATGTTTAAATATTCTGGCAATATTAAGTTATGTTAAAGAATTATTTAGGATATATCTATTTTGTTCTCATTACTAAGCTGGGAGTTAGAAATTAAAACATTATGAAACATTTATAGAATAACTATACACCCTATTCATGGATTACTAATTTTCAAACAATTTAATACAATAAAGTATACTGAAAATTTAAACTTTCAAACAACCTTCTTTCCTTCCTTTCCTCTCTCCCTTCCTTCCTGAAATGGGGTGCTTCGATATCTTCTTGTGCTCCAAGACCTTCCCAGGCGCCTGAACTCTCATATTACAGACGTGCGGCGCTCACTAGTCTAACGCGGCGGACAGCAGGGAGAGTGGATTTGACTATTTTGCAAAGAAGTCCCAGTGAAAAGAGACTAAAATAAACTAAAACCACCCATGTGTCCGGGTTAACTGAGCTCTTGTTTAGAGACAGACACGAAATAACAGCTGCGCTCATGGTAGTAAGCAAAGGGCCATGTCTAACGTGAAGCAGTTGCTGACCCCGTGGACGTGGCCCCTGCTGTGACCCTTGACCTTTCTCCTGTAGCCCCCGTCAAAAGGCCCCACCGCAGTGCAGCGTGTGGGCAGAGGCGAGTGCTGAGTCCCAAGCCCGTGGAGAGCGTGCTGCCCCGTCCTTACTGGCATGTAGGGGTCCGCCAGGACCGACAGGAAGTACTTGTGGCCGTTGTCCTTCACGAGGTCCGCTTGGCACGACTGGACAGAAAGAGACAGAGGAGAGGCAGTGAGTGCAGTGTCCCGCAGATGCCACAAGCTTCTCATGGTGCGTGAACGAATAAGGGCAGGGACTTCTTATACCTCAATTATTTCCTCCTTTCAAGCCCAGTTTTCATTTGAAAAACAGCTGCAGCCGGTGCCTGCAGACATGCTTTCCTTGGCTAAGAAGGGGAGGGATCCCACGAACGCCCAGAGGAAAGCAGCTCCCAGACGTTTTCTTTCACAACGTCCGGGCACCTGCTGGGGAGTGCCCTGCAGCCCCTGCCTGCACCCCGCTCCTCTCCAGGGGTCCCGCTCCCTCCCTCTGCCCTCCACACTGGAGCACATCCATCCAGCACTCACTCAGAACCAGCCTGTTGGTGCAGACCCGGTCCCGCTCAAGCTTTTCTTGGGGGTTTGCTTGGACTTACAAAATGCTGAAAACCAATCGTGTGTGAGGCAGTAATTCCCAGTGATTTGTGTGCACAGTCCCACTTGAGCAGGTGCTTCCCACTGGCCCCACTTGTTCACCCTCAGGGGCAGCCCCAAGGTGGGAGGTTTCCTGGTGCTAAAGCTGCTGCCAGGCAGGCGACCTTCCCACGCTTCAGGCCATTCTGTGCCTGTCTACACATTCACAGTCACGTGGCCATGACTCGCCTCAGTCGTGAGGACCTACTGTGTGCTGTCAGCACAATCACAGCCACACGGCCATGGCTCGGCACAGTCGTGAGGGCCTACTGGGTGCTGAGCACTAGGTATTTGTGCCCTGCTCACAGTTCCTGAAGGAGCAGCGAGAGGCACCATAGGGTGCTTGGAAAGCGGGGAGAGGGAGGGTCTTGTACTTTTTGGAGACCTCTTTACGCTGATGAGCAGACAGAACTGTCCAGGGCAGTGAGGGAAGAAGGGGAAGGGTGGGATCGAGGGAAAAGACTCCTGCTGCTAGGAAATGGCAGGTCCAGGCCCGGGATGTGGGAGTGGGAGGAGAAAGGGGCAGGGCAGGTGGGGGCAGGGCAGGCGGGGGCAGGGGCAGGGGAAGGGCAAGCAGGAGCAGGGCAGGCGGGGGCAGGTGGCGTTGGGCAGGAGGGGCTGCAGAGCCCAGCAGGAGCTGCAGCCGGGAAGGACATGGCAGGTGGGCTACGGGTCAGACAGGCTGGGTTGGAGCTGGGTCAGCAAGGACAGAGGACGGAGATGATGCCAGGGATGCGAGGATCCAAGTGGAGGGCTGCCCACTGAAGAGGTGGGTTGCGTTTTCATCCCGGAGGGGTTACAGTGGGGCACACTGCAGCTGAGGCATCGATGATGAGACACAAGCAGGGCTGCTCCGGGGCGCGCACAGCCGAAACGCAGAACCTGACCCAAGCCAGGCTTCTAAGATGAGAAGTCACCGCTTATCGGGTGGTGCTGAAGACCACTTTCAGAGGGCAAGGCGGGGGACGGGGCCTGGGGAAGGAGGAGGGACGGGCCCCTAGAGGAAGGGGCTTCCGAGGGTCCTGTGGGCGTCCTGGAGGAAACAGGCCGGCTCTGAGGCTGGCAGTGTTACCGGAAGCCACACCAGGCTGCCTAACTTGGGGACACTTCTGCAAGTGCTGGCTCTGGAAGGGAATAAAATGATCCTGCCTTGGATATTCAGGGGTAACGATAATACTTCGGGAAGTATTTGCCCAAAACCCGAGGAAAAGGGGCAAGATTTGAAACAAAACTAAGTTTCAAGTCCAGGTTCTCCCTCTTACTAGTCAGGGACCCAGGTAAAGTTTTAAAAATCTGTGCTCAGCTGGGCGTGGTGGCTCATGCCTATAATCCCAGCACTTTGGGAGGCTGAGACAGGCGGGTCACAAGGTCAGGAGTTCGAGACCAGCCTGGCCAATATGGTGAAATCCTGTCTCTACTAAAAAATACAAAAATTAGCAGGGTGTGGTGGTGCGTGCCTGTAGTCCCAGCTACTCGGGAGGCTGAGGCAGGAGAATCGCTGGAACCTGGGAGGCGGAGGCTGTAGTGAGCTGAGATCGCACCACTGCATTCCAGCCTGGGCGACAGAGCAAGACTACGTCTCAAAAAAAAAAAATCTGTGCTCAGGTCGTGGAGTCAGAGATGAAACCACGCATGTGAAAGCAGTCTGAAACTGCAGTGCGATGTACAAATCATGGATGCTGTGTTTCTTGGAGAGGGACCCACAGAGCATGGGTTTCTAGGATCAATACCTAGAAACTGAGCAGTGACAGACACTGCATCGACAGAGTGAGGCGTGCGTTCTGCCAGCTCCCAGCATGCTCCTTTCCAGAGGACGAAGGCCATGCAAGGACAGAGGGCCGGAATTTTAAGAACTGGATGCCTGAGGATCAAGAAGAGAACGGCTCTCCAGTGCAGCCCTGCACAGCTGGCCCTTTCCCACTGAGGCAGGAGCAGTTTTGCAGAGGGAATCTGCTGGTTATGCAGCCCAGAAGCCCCTAACCCCGCCATTTCTCAGGGGTGCTCTTACAATGAGGTGTTTCTGCCTCACATCAATACACTGATGAGGCGGGTTATGGGCTGGGCTGCTGGAATGAGAGCTGAGCACGATGGGGAGCGGGTGGTCAGGGAGCCAGGCGCCGGCCTCAGATTGCAAGCTGCTCCCCCGAGCTGAGGAGGCCAATTAAGCAGGCAGTTTTCAAGCAACAACTGGCTTTAGCTGAAGGTTTTGACAAATAAACTGAGATGCATCGACCGCCGTCCACGTAAAGACTCAGCCCAGAGGGCCAGGGCAACAGAAAAAGCACTGGGTTCTGAGAATGAAGGCACCTTCCTTTGTTTTAACCACAGGTTCCACAAGTCAAATCGAAGCCCACACATTCACGGTGAAGCTCCTCAAACATGTCTCACGAGAGTGTAATGAAGCATCACTGACTCAAATCTCACTAATTCTGAATTTGAGGCATGCAAATCAGGGTGGGAGAACTTAGATGTGCCCTTGGTATCGGAGTCTGGCAACTATGTGGTGTATACTACCAGATGTCTGTTCTGATACGGTCATTATGCCAGGTGGGAACCACGGATGATGATGCCTTTTCATACCTTCATTTTCAGCGCTCGGCAGGGGTCATTTACATATCTGTTTAATACACACATTTTCACTAACTCAAACCGCCCCCACCCTCCCCGCAGGCAGGAACCTGGGAGCTCCCACTTCGCTGGCTAGGGGGACTGGGGTGGACTCTCTCGGCTGCTGCTCACTCGCCCAAATTACAAGCACACTTAGACCAAGGGCCTCGTTAAACAGAAGAGGAAACAAGACTTGAAACCACACACGCGCAGAACGGCAGCCAGCAGGCAACACACACTCCCTGCGTGGCACGGGCTCAGTGGGAAGACCCAGCAGGCGACACACACACATCCTGGGCGGCACGGGCTCGGTGGGAAGACCCAGCAGGCGACACACACACCCTGCATGGCACGGGCTCGGTGGAAGACCCGGCAGGCGACACACACACCCTGAGTGGCACGGGCTCGGTGGGAAGACCCGGCAGGCGACACACACACCCTGCATGGCACAGGCTCGGTGGAAAACCCAGCAGGCGACACACACACCCTGTGTGGCACGGGCTCGGTGGAAGACCCGGCAGGCGACACACACACCCTGTGTGGCACGGGCTCGGTGGAAGACCCGGCAGGCGACACACACACCCTGCGTGGCACGGGCTCGGTGGAAGACCCGGCAGGCGACACACACATCCTGGGTGGAGGGGCTTGGTGGAAGACCCGGCAGGCGACACACACACCCTGCGTGGCACGGGCTCGGTGTGAAGACCCAGCAGGCGACACACACATCCTGGGCGGAGGGGCTTGGTGGAAGACCCGGCAGGCGACACACACACCCTGCGTGGCACAGGCTCGGTGGGAAGACACGGCAGGCGACACACACACCCTGCGTGGCACGGGCTCGGTGGGAAGACACGGCAGGCGACACACACACCCTGCGTGGCACGGGCTCGGTGGGAAGACACGGCAGGCGACACACACACCCTGCGTGGCACGGGCTCGGTGGGAAGACACGGCAGGCGACACACACACCCTGCGTGGCACGGGCTCGGTGGAAGACCCGGCAGGCGACACACACACCCTGCGTGGCACGGGCTCGGTGTGAAGACCCGGCAGGCGACACACACACCCTGCGTGGCACGGGCTCGGTGGAAGACCCGGCAGGCGACACACACACCCTGCGTGGCACGGGTTCGGTGGGAAGACACGGCAGGCGACACACACACCCTGCGTGGCACGGGCTCGGTGGAAGACCCGGCAGGTGACACACACATCCTGGGCAGCACGGGCTCGGTGGAAGACCCGGCAGGTGACACACACACCCTGCGTGGCACGGGCTCGGTGTGAAGACCCAGCAGGTGACACACACATCCTGGGCGGCACGGGCTCGGTGGAAGACCTGGCAGGTGACACACACACCCTGCGTGGCATGGGCTCGGTGTGAAGACCCAGCAGGTGACACACACATCCTGGGCGGCACGGGCTCGGTGGAAGACCTGGCAGGTGACACACACACCCTGCGTGGCACGGGCTCGGTGTGAAGACCCAGCAGGTGACACACACATCCTGGGCGGCACGGGCTCGGTGGGAAGACCCGGCAGGCGACACACACACCCTGCGTGGCACAGGCTCGGTGTGAAGACCCGGCAGGCGACACACACACCCTGCGTGGCACGGGCTCGGTGGAAGACCCGGCAGGCGACACACACATCCTGGGCGGAGGGGCTTGGTGGAAGACCCGGCAGAGACTCGGGGCTCAGATGAACAGCACGGTGCCGGCAGCGTGAATCTGCCAAAGCCGCCCTCTCAACAGGCTCCATCTTGCTGTGCTTGTTTTCTCCCAGATCAAGCTATGGTGGTGACATGTGAAGGCCAGAGTAGAAAGCAGGTGGGAAGAGCATGAACATGACATTTTTTTTCCTGAGCAAGCCCCCTTCCCTCACCACACACTGAAGCCAATTTTGATTCTTCTGTGTCTCAGGTTTCAGGAACTTATATTTTTTTAAATGGGGAAAAGGGAGGTGAAGAAGAGAAGAAGAGCAAACACAAAGTGGGAAGATGCAAGCATGTATTTGTTGTTGCAGCAACTAAAGATGTGGTTTGCAAGCAGACACGACAATGGGGCAGAGACCAGGAGGAGCCCCTGGCCAAGGCCCTGCCTTCTACAAGGTGCACCCGTAAGGCCGGGGCGGGCTTTCTTCCTCTGAATATTCTGGCAAAAGATGCCATGGGAAGAGACCCTCCCTTTATTCTCCTTAACAAAGATTTTAAGGATTATTTTATGGAGAAGCAGGAACACAAGAATTACGCCCAGGCTAACAGACCACCGTGCCTGACGGGGAAGGCATAAGGAGGCAGGATGATGAGCCAAGCCCTGAGCCATTTCACGCGAACACCCTACCACGCGCGATTTCACGCAAATACCCTACCACGTGCGTTCTGACGTGAACACAGAGACAATCACAGAGATACGGGCCGTGTTTCATGTCCACTGGGTAGAAGAGTTTAGCCCTTGTTATGAGCGGGGTGCTGGGAAGGAAAAAAGTTTCCAACAAGAACACAGCTCCTGAGTGAGCCTTCGGTGGTGTGTTACCGTAACGTGAGGATGCTACCGGGGAAGTCATCTGCAGGCAGATGGAGGGCTGTGCTGAGATGTTGATATGTGCAGCGTTTTCACAATGGTGGGTGCCAATAAAACTGCTAATGCCTGGGGAAATGATACCGAAGCAGGGATTTCTGTTTACCGGTCACAAGAGCTCACTGCTCTTCACGACTTCAGCAGAACATCCACCGAGCAGTGCAAGACAAGCTTTCCGCCTCAGACCTTCACCCCCAGGCACAGTGTATTCCCCACTCGCCAAGTGAGGCAAGATATTTCAACATAAATATATATATTAATATAGACACATTGATTTTCTGTAAATGGTTAATTCTAATCCCAGCACTTTGGGAGGCCGAGGCGGGTGGATCATGAGGTTAAGAGACGGAGACCATCCTGGCTAACACGGTGAAACCCCATCTCTACTAGAAACACAAAAATTAGCTGGGCGTGGTGGCACGCGCCTGTGGTCCCAGTTACTTGGGAGGCTGAGGCAGGAAAATCGCTTGAACCCGGGAGGTGGAGGTTGCAGTGAGCTGAGATCATGTCACTGCACTCCAGCCTGGTGACAGAGCAAGACTGTCTAAAAAAAAAAAAAGCCCTTTAGTTATTCTCAGGCCAGACATACCCACGTCTACAGTGGCCCTGAATGCTGCATCTGATGTCCATAGCAAAATCACTGGCATGCTTTCCATCTTTTTCAATCTTTTTCAAACCTGTCCTAAAATTTGTAGGTATCAAGGCTCAAACATTAAAATGCTATAGACAGGTACAGACTGAGACGTCCTCTGCCCCTACATGTAATCCTTATTCCACTGCCCATCCCTTCTGGGGTACCCGCTGCTCAGTCCGGGGCTGACTTGGGTCCACATGTCTGTATCTCTGCACGTCTGCACGACTTCCCCAGCACAGACCGAGTGCTGTCCTGCCGGGCCTGACGCACTGTCCCTGAGGCCACGCTGAGTCATGGTAAGCAATGCCCTCCCACATGTGGCACTGACAGTGAGATTCTTCACATTCTGGTGTCAATAACCCAGCAGTGTGACAGTGGTGACTGAGAAACATCTCTGCACAAAGAAACTCATCTTCCCCTTTCTCCTCAGCTCCTCAGACTTTGGGGCACACCGAGCTCATTGTTTTGCGGCTTTGGGAATGTGGTGAGCTCCCTCTGCCTGCTGGGCCTTTGTCCTCTCCGCCTGGGGCCCTGTCCCCGGGCAACAGCCTCTGCAAAGGCTTCTCTCCCCACCCTTTGCAGGGACTTGGACTGCACTTCCCAAGCTGCTGCATTTGAGTTAGCCATTTCCACCCTCCACCTTCCGGGCTAGATTTCAGCTCTGTGAGGACAAAAACATGCATTATTAGTCTTTATTAGTCCCAGGAGGCAGCACGTCCTGGTTCCTATTAGGCGCTCAGTAAATGTTGGATGAATGAATAAAAGAACCCATGTTTGGGCTGTGGAGAAACATCACAATTCCAGATCACGTATGCCAATCACTCCCAGGACCTGCTTCCCACTGGAGAGCTGCTCTGTCTGCGGTGAGTAGTGGAGGGGCTCCCTGTGCCCAGTGGCAGGGCTGGCAAAGGAGCCCTTGGAACCGCACAGAGCCCCGGGCATTTCTGGCTAGAGTAGGTGTCTGAGCTGCAGCCTTCTGGACCTGCAACGAACCCAGCCTTGACCTCAGGTCAAAACTGTGGTGCCTTTCTCATCCAAATTCTAATACTAAGAAGAGGAAATACAGTAGCGAAAGAGTGTGGGACAGGAGCCAGCCATGAGCAGGGAGAAGTCAGGCTGGGGGTCCCCCCCGGGGCCTCCTCAGTGGTGGGGGGCCCGCTCTAGGCTGACCAGGCTCCCCATCCCCTCTCCCTTGCTCACACCCAGCAGGCTGAGCTGAGATTTGATCAGGTTCCAAGCAGCCTAACCATCAATCATGGGGCCCTGAAGTTGCCACACAGAGACAGCCTCTGTGGTCGCCCTCGGCACAGCCTGCCGTGCTACCTCCACCTGCCAGGGCCCCGTTGTGCCCATCCATCTTGCAAAGGGCGAGCCGTCACCCCTGCCAGGGCTCGGTCTAGTCTGCCTGGGTGCAGGCGAAAAGAGCCTGGAACTGGGATGGCTGGGCAGACAGCCCCCTCCGGGTTCCTCTCTCTTTTGTTCATTTCATTCTTGGCAACCCGGAGGCAGCTGATACAACTGTCTCCCTCCAGCCAAACACCTCCCACCTTCCCAGGGGGCACCGACAGACCCAGTTCCCTGCAGCCTGGCCTGTCACCAATGTGCATGTCACCTAGCCTGGTCTCTTCTGGGGTGGGTGGTCTCCCAGGACCGACCCAGTGCTGGGACAGCTGGGTGGCCCAGCTCGTGTGGTCTGGCTTCCATGGGGGTGGGAGGAAGGGGCCTCTGCCTTCCTGGTCCGCAGTTCTCCCGGGATAGCATGAGGGTGTGTTGGAATCTGCCCGGAGTAAAACCCATTCTGAGGGCTCCACATGGAACTAGGAGGATGGCTAAAAAGAGGCCATTCTGCACAGCAGTGCTACTTTCCAAACGACGAAAGCATCACCCGGAGTCCCCTCAACGGCACCTCCTCGCTGATGACAGCTTCTGTGAAAGATGCTGGCTTCACAAATGTGTCCCCTCAACAGCCCCTCCTCGCTGATGACAGCTTCTGTGGAAGACGCCAGCTTCACAAACGTGCTCCCTAGCAATGCAATCTTGTTGATTTTCTGCATATCACAACCTCTAGTTTGGAAATTCCATGGACCATCAAGGCAATTAAACTATGTTAGATGAGCAGGGGGAACGCTAGGTGACATTTTTGCCGTTCCTGGGACTCACCCAACTGTGGGCACAGGCGCGTTCCTGACTACTCCTGAAGGGTCCCTAACTGGCAAAGCTCCCTGCAGAAAGGGTAAAACTGTTTCCACCTCATCCACTGACAGTCAGCTGGAAGATGGTACTGCAGGAAGGTTAGCTCAAGAAGGGGCAAACTGAAAGAAGGAATACTAAAAAATCCCAGAAATGCAAAACAAAATGTAATAAAATAAAACAACTCCAAGACTAAGCCTTATACAGTAAGCCTATATAAATAACAAGAGGAAATTAAAAGAACTATATTTAGACCCTAAAAAGATAATGAAACTGCAGGAAGGAATAAGTTAACCACAGACATAAAGCAGTTTAGGCAACAAAAGCCTAGCACATCCAAGCGACTTCCTTCCAAAGAGCAGCCCATTCCGGAAGGGGCGGCAGCAGCGGCTTCACCCGGGGGACGCCTGACCTCAGCCGGGTCTGCTCCACCTCAGCCAGGGACCCAGGCCAGCGCCACCAGGGATCTGCCATTCCAACAGCATGCACCCTCATTATGACGGGACCAGAAGGGCACTCCCCTCTGTGGTCTTCCTCTCCAAATCCCAATCTAATCAGGACAAAAACATTGGGCATGGCCGGGAGCGGTGGCTCACGCAGTCAGGAGATCGAGACCATCCTGACTAACATGGTGAAACTGCGTCTCTACTAAACAAAATACAAAAAAATTAGCCGGGCGTGGTGGCGGGCGCCTATAATCCCAGCTACTCGGGAGGCTGAGGCAGGAGAATGGCGTGAACACAGGAGGCAGAGGTTGCAGTGAGCCGAGATCGCGCCACTGCACTCCAGACTGGGTGACAGAGTGAGACTCCGTCTCAAACGAAAAAAAAATTGGGCAAATCAAAACAGAGGGCCAGTCTACAAAATCCCTGACCAGTACCCCTGAAAGCTGTCAAGGTCATCAAAAACAAGGAGAGTCTGGGAAACTGTCACGGCCAAGAGAAGCCCAAGAAGACACGAGGACTCAATGTCATGTGGGATCCTGGGACAGAAAAAGGACATTAGCAAGAAAATCTGATGAGAGTATCAACTGCAGTTAATAACTGATCAACATAAGTTCATTGACTGTTGTGTCAAACATGTTGTACTAATAGAAGATGTCAACAGGGAAAATTGGGTGTAGGGTACATGAGAACTCTATTTACTACCTTTTCCAGTTTTCTGTAAATCTAAAACTGTTCTAAAAAAATAAAATTTGTTAAGATAGAAACTATAGGAACAAGAGTTCGGGACACAAGTAAAATGTTTGCTCAGGTCCTAACTAGACTAGCCCCCACCAGGGCACTGCCTTCTGCTGTGGGACCAGCAGGGTCACACGCTCTAGATGGCACTCTCTTGCCCCCTTGGTGAGACTGAGTCATCGCTGGATGACAGAGAAAGCTAACCTTGCACATTTTTTGAATTGAGTTTTGCGTGTACGTGTGTGAGGAAGGGGGAGTGGGGAAAAGTGGAGAAGCAGGAAGAGGAGAGGCTATCAACGCCAGCATACACGAACTGTGGTGAAACGACTTTGCAGAGAAAACAGTAGAGAATTTGAGCACGGGTAGGAGAACCAGCACAGACGTGGGGGCTGCAGAAACAAAATTCTATGACTCTCTCATCTGCCTTTTCTTCATAGTGCGGGTTCCTTCCGGGGACCACAGCAGCCTGTTCCCAGTGGGAAGCCTCTTTGAATTTCCAAATCTGGATTTACTTCATGAATACCATCACAGAGCATCTTTCCAGATCCACTGAC
Organism: Homo sapiens; assembly: GCF_000001405.40. NCBI lineage: Eukaryota > Metazoa > Chordata > Mammalia > Primates > Hominidae > Homo > Homo sapiens. The sequence goes on along the minus strand of NC_000017.11, from coordinate 80,870,205 downwards.
ATTACGCTCTTGGAGTTCCCTGGTGGTACCATAACCACAACTTTATTAACTATAACTCAGAAGGTCAGTCTGGACTGAGTATTAATTTTATCTATGAAAAACCCTCAATTAACTGGAACCTTGCCTACGGGAGTCCTTAATTAACTCTCCCCCTCCTTAATCTTGCTAATTAGCAGATACACAAATGCTAACAGCAGGCTTGAGGAACTTATTAAAACAACCACTACCACCATCCTTGCAAAGTGTGACCAGCGGAAGACAGCTGTGGCCACATCTCCTGGACTTTCTCATCATGAAGTTCTGCTGCTCTTGAGCTCTGGTCCCATCACATGACCCTAAGGACAATTTCAAAAAATACTCTGCCATGTTTGCTTTCTGCCCCCTGATCCCCTGTGTTTTTCTGCACTGTGTGAAAGTTGCAGATAGCATGACGCTTTGCCCAGAAATATTCCTAAGGAAAAGGACATTTGCTTCCATGAGCACAAAGCCATGATCACACTCCAGACACGTGACAGCGACACAGTCCTCCCTCCTGACACGCAGTCTGGAGTCAAACTCCTCCCAATCCTGCTGCCTGACACGCAGTCCAGAGTCAAATTCCTCCCAATTGTTCACAACTGTCCTCTGTGAGCCTCTGATTTTTGATCCAGGATCCAACTAGGAACTGCACTTAGCTGATACACATTAGTCTTGAGAATAAATCCCCCCACATTTTTGGGGGTGTTTCTTGAATTAAAAATCTAGAAGGGGGGCCAGGTGTAGTGGCTCACGCCTGTAATCCCAGCACTTTAGAGGCTGAGGCACGCAGATCACTTGAGGTCGGGAGATTGAGACCAGCCTGGCCAACATGGGAAACCTCGTCCACTGAAAACATAAAAATTAGCCAGGCATGGTGGCAGGCGTCTGTAGTCCTAGCTACTCGGGAGGCGGAGGCAGGAGAATCGCTTGAACCCGGGAGGCGGAGGTTGCAGTGAACCAAGATCGCCCCACTGCGCTCCAGCCTGGGCGACAGAGTGAGGCTCTATCTCAGAAAAAATAAAAAAACAAAATAAAATCTAGAAGGGAACAGTACAGTTCTTTGTAGACTGTCCCACAATGAGAAGTTTTTTAGCCGCTTCATTGATGTATAAGCGACATATAAATTTGAAGTACGGAATTTGAAGATTTTGGACGTACGTCTACACCTGTGAAGCTACCGCCACAGTCTAGGTGGGGTCTGGCCCCTCAGACATTTTCTTCTGCCCCTGTGCCCCCACCCTCACCTGCCCCCAGCAGCAGCTCATCTTCTTTCTGTGACTGTAGTTTGCATTTTCTAGAGTTTTAAATGAATGGCACCATACAGCAGGTACCCTTCTTTAAACTGGCTTCTTTCACTCAATCTAACTATTTTGAGATCAGTTCATGCCTTTTCATTGTTGAGTACGATTTCATCGCATGGAAAGATTGCAGTTTGCTTATTCATCCGCTTGTTAATGTATATTTAGGCTATTCCCAGTTTTTGGCCATTATAAATAAAGCTGCTAGGAACATTCATGTACAAGCCTTTGTGTGGACATGCTTCCATTTCTCTTGGGGAATACCTAGGAAAGGAATGGCTGGATTGTATGCTGAGTGTGTGCTAATCTTTATAAGAAACTGTGAAATAAGTTTGCAAAGTGGTAGTGCACACTTTGCACTGCCCTCAGCAGCATACGAGGGTTCCAGTTCCTCCACGGCCTTGCCGACACTTGATAACAGCAGCTTCTTAGGCATCTACTTGGTGTGCAGTGGTATATGACTGTGGGTGCAGTTTGCATTTCTGGCATCTACTTGGTGTGCAGTGGTATAAGACTGTGGGTGCAGTTTGCATTTCTCTGGTGACTAATGATATTCAGCATTGTTTCATGTGCTGATTTGCCATTTGTACTTCTTTGGTGAAGTGTCTGCTCAAACCTTTTGCCCAATTTTCTTTGTCTGCTTGTGTTTGTTTTCATATTGATTTTTGAGAGTTCTTTCTATACTCTTGCCACAAGTTTTTAACAGAAAAACGATTTGTCAATATTTTCCCAGTCTGTGTCTTGCCTTTTCATTTTCTCCATGTCATCATAGGGCAGGTGTTTATATGTATGGGTCTATTCCCTGACTTTCTTCCTGTTCCATTATCTGTTTGTCCATTTGAAGCTATTTCCGATCTTGAGTACTGTGGATTTACAGTCACTCTTGTAATCAGGTAGTATTAGTCCTTCAACTGTGTTTTTCTTTTTCAAAGTTGTTTTGCCTGCTGTAGGTCCTTTGTATTTCCATGTGGATCTCAGAAGCAGAAATCAAGATAACGGACGATCTCTTCATTTATTTAGGTCTTCCTTCATTTCTTTTCACAATGGTTTGTAGTTTTGGTGTACAGATCTTGCCCACCTTTTGTCAGAATGTATCCCTAAGTATTTCTTTTTTTTTAGTGGTATTGTAAATGTTCTCTATTTTAATTTCAACTTCGAATTGTTGATTGCTAGTGTATATACATAAATTGATTTTTGTATATTGATCTTATAACCTGCAAACTTACTAAATTTTTTCTAGTAGCACTTTAAAATAGATTAAACTGGATTCTCCACATAGACAATCATGCTGTCTGAAAATACAGTTAAACCTCTTCCTTTTGAACTTGAATGCCTTTTTTTCCTTGACTCACTGTACTACCTAGAACTTCCAGTACAATGTCAAGGGATGTGACAAGAACAGATGGCTTCATCTTGCATTCAGTCTTTCACCACTGTATGGTGTTGGCTGTAAGTTTGTGGAGATGCTGTTTGTCAGGTAGACGAAGTTCCCTTCTATTAGGAGTCTGCAGGGAGTTTTTTTTTTTTAAATCAGAAGTGGATCTCAGATTTTGTTAAAATACTTTGCCTGCATCTCTTGAGATGGTAATATGGTTTTCATCTTTTTTTAATATGGTAAATTACATGGACTTTTCTCTCTTTAAAAATAATTCTTTAATAATCTGAAGAGGCATCCATTGATTTTTCAATCCTTAAACAGGTTTGCATCCCTGAAATAAATCCCACTAGATCATGTTTTGTTTTTAAATAGCATTGAATTTAATTTGCAAAAATTCTATTTAGCATTTTTGTACCTGTGTTCAAGAGAATACTTATCTGTAGTTTTCTTTTCTTGTAACGTGTGTCTAACCTTTGGTATCAGGTAATGCTGGCCTCATAGAACAATATGGGAAGGTGCTTAGATGTCATCCAAATACGTCTTCCTTAATGTTCAGTAAAATTCACTGGCGAAGTCATCTGGACCTGCAGTTTTCTTTGTAGTAAAAGTTTTCACTACAAATTCCACTTGTAGTGACAGGCACAGTGACTCAGGCTTTAATCCCAGCACTTTGGGAGGCCAAGGTGGAAGCATCGCTGGAGCCCAGAAGTTCAAAACTAGCCTGGGCAATGTGGTGAGACCCAGTCTCTAAAAAAAAAAGAAGCATAGTGCTATTCAGATTAATGATGTCTTCCTCAGTGAGTGGTATGTGTCATTCAAGGAATCAAAGTTATCAAATGTTCTCCCATCAAGTTGCTCATGATATTTGCCTATCATCCTTTTAATATCCCTAGAATCTTTCATGATGTCACCTCTATCATTCCTGATGCTGGAATTTGTGTCTTCTTTGTTTCCTTATCAGTCAGGGTGGTGTTTCACAGTTTTATTCATGTGTTTTTTAAAAAAATGTTTTGTTCAACAGATTTTGATGTTTCACTGTCTTCTTTCGTATTAGTCTCCAGTCTGATTTGTATCATTTCCTTTGGCCGACAGCTTTGGGTTTACTCCACTCACGCTGCCCTCTTCAGGTGGAAGCCGGGATCTCCGGTTGGAGACCGTCCCTCTTTTCCAATGCATTGTCTAGCAGCTGCTACACACTCCCCTCTCAGCACTGTTCAGAGCTGGGTCCACGTATACTCAACCTATTTATTTTATATCTTAATATACATGTTTATATAATGTATTTATTTAATGCAAGTATTTATAATTATATGTACATTATATTATATATTATATATACATACTTATAGTAATAAATATTTTATATAAATCTTTGTTATTCACGACTTATAATATCTATGTATCTTAATATTACATATTTATATTCTATTTTGCATTAAGCACATATATATTAATTTACTTAAAATTTTATGGAATGAAATGAAAATCATTTATTTATCTAAAAGTTTCTGTTTCTAAGTGCTTAGAGACATTCCTACTATCTATTATTGATTTGAGTTTGACTCCACTGTGGCTGTAGAACACGCCTGTAAGGCTTCAGTTCTTTACATTTGTTGAGGTTTATTTGGCCAAGGGTCGGGCCTATCGTGGCACAGCCTCTGTGCACTGCATGGCTGCTGTGTGGCGTGTTCTATAAACGTCAGGGCCCAGCTGCTGGAGAGTGCTGCTCAAGTCCCCACTATTCCTACTGATTTCTCTTCTGCTTGTTCCGTCAGTTACTGAGAAAGGAGCACTGAAACCTCCAAATGTAATTACGGATTTATCTACTTCTCCTCGCAGTTCCATCAGTTTTGTTGGATGTATTTTGAAACTCTATTATTAGGTGAATAGACATTTAGGACTGCGACGTTCTCTTGATGAATGATGAATGGACTTCCGTAGCATTATGAAATGTCTATCTTTATTGTTAGCAACGTTCTCTGCTCCCAAACCTCCTCTGTCTGATATTAACATAGGCCCTGCAGCCTTCCTCTGCTTAGTGCCTGCATGGCAGAGCTCTTCCCGTCCTTTTGCCTTCAATCTACTCGTGTCTTTATGCCAAAAGTACATTGCTTGTAGCCATGGTATGGTTTTTTCTTGCTCTTCAACCTGGTGGCCTCTGCCTTCTCATTGTGGCGTTCAGTCTCCACACTGCAGTGACGGGCAGGATTAGGTGTCCATCTATCATCCTGCCTTTTTCTATTTGTTACATCTACTCTTGGTTATCTTTTTCCTTCCGTGTTGTCTATATTTATGACTTCATATCATCTCTGTTGTCAGCTAATTAACTGTAATTCTTTTTAAAATTTGAGTGGCAGCTTTAGGGTTTATGGACTACTGCAGTTCATCTTCAGGCAGGTGATATGAGACCACTTCAAACAAAGTCCAAGAATCTTACAATAGTATTTCTTCATTCTCTCTCCTCCCCATCTTTTTGTTACTGTTAGCATGCATTTTGCTCTTACAAATGTTATACATTCTGTGGGGTGCCGTGGCTTGTGCCCGTGATCCCGGCTACTCGGGAGGCTGAGGCAGGAGGATGGCTTGAGCCAGGGAGTGTGAGCTTACAGTGAGCGGTGATCAGGCCTGGGCAACAGAATGAGACCTTGTCTCGTAAGGAAAAAAAATTAAGAGTGCAAAAGGCTTATTGAAAAAAATTCATAGTACACTGTTATTATTTTTCTTAAAACAATTATCTTTTAAAGAAGATTTAAATAAAAAGAAAAAAATCCCATATTTATCCACATAGTACTCATTTCTGCTGCTTTGAATTCCTTTGTGTAGAACCGTGTTTCCCTCTGAAGAGTATTCTCCTCAAGGCTAAAGGACTTCACGTTTCTTGTAGTGTGGATCTGCCGGGGATAAGCTTTCATCTTTTGTATGTCTTTAAAAGTCTTTATTTTGCCTCCATTTGGAAATATATTTTCAGTGGGTATAGAATTCTAGGTTGACAGTTTTTTCTCTTTCTCTGTCTCTCTCTCTGCTTTAAAGATGCTGTTCCGCTGTCTGCCTTTTCCATCTGTAGGAAATCTGTGAGAAACCTGCCATCACGCTCACCTTTTCCATCTGTAGGAAATCTGTGAGAAGAAACTTGCCATCATTCTCACCTTTTCCATCTGTAGGAAATCTGTAAGAAGAAACCTGCCGTCACTCTCACCTTTTCCATCTGTAGGAAATCTGTAAGAAGAAACCTGCCGTCATTCTCACCTTTGCTCCTTACTGGCTTTTTACTGGCTGCCTTTAGACTTTTGAATTTCTCACTGTTTTTCAAGTAATTTGATTGCGATATGCCTTCGTGTAGTTTTCTTGTGCTTGGGGTTTGCTAAGCTTTGTGGATCTGTGGGTTTATAATTGTCATCAAATTCAAAAAAATGTTAGCTATTGTTTCTTCAAATACTTTTTCTGCTAGCCTCCTTTATGGACCCCCAAATAGTACGTTATGTCACTTGCCGTTGTCCCGCAATGGAATAATATTCTTTTAATTAAATTTTTTTTTCTTTTCTTACCATGCTTCATTTTTGTTAGTTTCTATTGCTATTTTCTTTCTTTCTTTGAGGCAGGGCCTCACTCTGTTCCCTAGGCTGGAGTGCCATGGCACAATCACGGCTCTTTGCAGCCTCGACCTCCCGGGCTCAAGCGATTCTCCCGCCTCAGCCTTCTGAATGGCTGGGACTACAGGCACGCGCCAACATGCATGGCTGAGTTTTGTATTTTTTCATGTGGAGTCGAGGTTTCACCATGTTGCTCAGGCTGGTATTGAAATCCTGGTTACTCAAGTGATCTGTCTGCCTCAGCCTCCAAAAGTGCTGAGATTACAGACGTGAGCCCCGTGCCTAACCGTGTACTGTTTTCTCCTGCAATGCTTAACTGGTTGTTAATCCCATCAAGTATATTTCTTCCCATCACATATTGCAGTTTTCATCTCTAGAAATTCAAGTTGGGTTCTTTTTATATTCTCCGTGTCTCAATTTAACTTTTTGAATATGTAGAGTAGACTTCTAACTTTTTAATGTCCTGGCCTGCTAATGATAACACCTGCAGCAGTTCTGAGCAGGTTTTAATGGGTTGATTTCCTTTTCTTCATTACGGGTCATATTTTCCTGATTCTATCTGCCTGGTAATTTCTGGCTGGTAGTGTGAAGTGGAGTGTAACCTGGCATGGGGAGTGATGCTGGGGGAGGCCCTCTGGGATCAGAGTCCTGGGAGAATCCTGGACAGACGGCTTTCTTCATGTGCCCCCCTTGGTGCTCCTTGTCCTGTGCGGTACCATCTGTGTCAGATCAGTGTCACCACTGTGCCCTGCTCTGTCTCATGTAAACGGCACACACTTCTCCCCGGTGGCACATGGTGTTCTTCCGTCTTTTCTTCCGCCCGAGCCCACCTTCTTTAAGGCCTCCCCATGAATCCCTCAGAGCTTCTGGCACAATGGGACACACGGTGTGCCCCAAAGGTGCTTGGGAAATGAGGGGAGGTCCCAGGCTCGCCCTTCCGCTGGGCCCAGCCTGAGTGGGCTCCGATCCTTCTCAAACTCTTAAGTGTGTCCTGAGGGCCGGCTGGCGGCAGCAGGGGGATGCTGAGAACACTGGGGGAGTGGCTGGCTTCTGTCTGCACCTCTGAACCTCTGAGCAGGCTCTGCGATCTTCACAGGTGGACCCGTCTGTACACCATGTGCACCCCGATCTGCACAATGGCAAGCCCCAGGAGTCACAGGGACGGCTGAGGGCTGCAGGAGGCACTCATCATGTGGGGGCGGAGCCCCGGAGGACCACCAGCAACACGAGGAGGGGGCGGAGCAGACATCATGGTGGGCGGAGCCCCGGAGGACCACCAGCAACACGAGGAGGGGGCGGAGCAGACATCATGGTGGGCGGAGCTCCAGAGGACCACCAGCAACACGAGGGGGCGGAGCAGACATCATGGTGGGCGGAGCTTCGGAGGACCATCACCAACACAGAGGGGCATGCACACATTGTAGGGGGTGCACACATCATGGGGGGGTAGGGGTGGAGATCCGGAGGACCGCCAGCAACATCCATGGCCAGACGTGGGGAGGGGAAGGGAGTAGAGGAATGACCCCTCAAAAACACAGGGAACTTTCATCTCTGGGAAGTTATCGCCAGGGTAACGATGGAAGGAAGGGCGAGGCAGGTGAGGTAGACGAGGCTCAGTTTCTACCGGAAACACTTCAAAATGCCCCTCAGTGGAATGATTGCTTTTAAACATGCAGGTGCAACAAGCTGGTTAAGAAATTAATTCACAGGAAGGCCTGTGATGCCTGCAGGCAGTTACAAGAACACTGCAGGCAAGGGCATGCCCAGCTGGCTGTGGGAACAGCTCCCCAAGCAGTACTGAGCAGATGACCCCTTCAGCAGCATGAATAATAAACCCGAGGCCCTGGTATCTGCCTGGAGCAGGGTGTAAAACGAAGGCACGCTGCAGCCTCCGTGCTCATGGCCACGTTCTGCCATTTGGGGCACTCGAGAGCAACAGGCCCTGGGAGATCCACGGGACCAAGAGCCAGTTTTAAACAAGACGCCCTGCACTGCAATACCATGATGGGCTGTGGATGCAGTGAGAATGTCACGAGGAAGGTACGAGGAAGGCTGTCCCCTTTCACCAAGAGCCACCCCTGAGACTAAAAATAAAGACATCATCAATTTCCAGGTCCTAAAAGGTACTAAAAACACGAAGTCTGAGAATCAAAGTTGGCTTAGACACGTTCCTGCAGCACTGGCGGTGCTGGGGAGCAGGCTCAGGCGGCCGTAATCCCAGACCTCTGCATGCAGATGGCATCTCTTCCTCCCTTCACCCTGGGCTTTGTGTCATGTGAGGGTCACCGTTTTGTGCATCCCAGAGCCCCTACACATGGTCCTTCATCCGTGGCCAGGTGCCAAGATATTTCTAAGTGTGTCCATGTAGATGACGAAGATATGGGTGTAGGACAGAAACCACGTTTCAAAATGACTTCCTGCCAAACACCCTTTGTTTACATAATGTGGCTCTTCAGTGAATTTGAAGAAGAGTAAAATAGAAATGACCCACACCTCTCGCGTCCTGATCCACAAAGCCAAGCTTTCTGTTTAGCAAGAAAAGGTTTTAGTGTAACAGGGACAGGCAGGAGAGATGTGAGATTTACGTGGTGCCCCTTCCTGGTCCTGTTCCTGTTCCTCTATAATTTACACAGCAGTTTTCCACGTCCTGGTTCTGAGCTCTGGAACTGTGGCTGAAGGCAGACGGCCGAAGGCTCATGATTTTACAGAGGCAAATCATGGCCAAGGGAAGTGAAAATGACTTGTAAGAGCAAATGCGGTGATGGGATCAAACTCAGGGTTTTAACCTTAAATCCAGTGCTTTAGCCAATCTTTCAAAGCAGTCATTCTTTATCTGTAGTTTAATGGGTAGCAGGGAAAATATTTTGCTGAAATATATGGTATTCAGGTCACCATTATGGAGCGTTCTCTGGTCACAGCCAGGTGCAGAGCACTGGGCCCAGGAGGGTTCAAGGTTGAACTGAGGTCAAGGTCAACCTCAGCTGTGCTGAGAGGAAGAGCAGCAGCTCCCCGCATCCAGCTCAGGAAATCAGGAGCAGCTGGGAGAGATGGCAAGCACGGTAGCCGACCCGTGCCAGCAGAGCCATGGTCAGTGCCCCAGGCCCAGAAAAAGAGTGAGAGATCCCAGAACCGGAAGAGGGGCTGGAAGCTGCTTCTGCTTGGAGAGAGCATATACATAAAATCCTAGGGAATCTACAAGAACCAGTGAACTAGCAGAAAATCCCAGGGAATCTACAAGAATCAGCGGAACCAGCGAGAGGTCAACTGGTGCTGGGTACGACTGACGCCTGCCTCCAAGGTGGAAGCCCTCACCGTCCGCTTCGGCAGCAGCCTCCCCACTGCCCCCTGACTTCAGCTGTGACACCAAAGTAGTACGTGAGGACTTGGGGTGTGGGGAGGCTATGGTCAGGGCTGGGTGCAGGGAGCAGAAGGGCTGAGCAGGGGCCCAGGGGTCCGTGGGCAGCACAGTTGGGGACCTGATGGCCTGGGCTGGACTTGAATCAGCAGCGGCTGTGGGTGGGAGACACAGCAGTGGCTTTGTGTGGGGTGTGCAGGGCTGACGGGTGAGAGCGCACAGTGCGGGGTACGAGCCTGTGGCTCGGGGTGCCTGCCAGTGCCTGGACAACAGGGTCAGTGAATTTGGCTGAACAAAGCCCAACAGGGCAGCTTCAGCGAGCACAGCAGGTCCTGGTGGCCAGTGCGACATGGCTGACAGGGCTAAGGATGAGGCTGGGTCTCAGTGCCAGTGACTGGACGGAGGAGCTGACAGAATGTGGCCTGGGGAGCGCCGGGCAGCAGGCAGGAGCCCCGGGGGCTTAAGCTCCGTCCACTCTCCCCTCACCTGCCACACAGAAAAGGAAAGGGTGGTCTTCCCCGGCTCCAAGCCATGGCCTCTCCAAGGTGTTCTTGGCACTCTCCTGTACTTGCTCTGTGACTTTGCTAGACCTTCCATTTCCCTGTGTGGGCAAGGAGCTCCAGACCCGGCGCAGGGGCCCAGTGGGGTGCCGGCCCCTCGCATGGCAGCTATGTGGCCCCTGCTCCCTCCTGTGGGCGGCGCCTCACCAGTAAATAGGCTGCAAATTCAAGCTAACTTCACAGGGGACTTAGGAATTAAGAGACTTTGCATATGAAAGCCGCCTGACAGGGCGCCACACACACATGCACGCACAAGCGCCCACATACATGACCACCCCCGCACACACGTGCACACAGCAGCTGGCCGAAGTCCGGGGGGAACGTGGACCTGCTCCTACAGGCCTTCTAATGAGTTGCTGGGGCTGGTTTGCTTCAAAACCAAGCAGGGAGCAAAGCCAGCCTTGCCCTGATGCCGGCTCCTCCGTCCCGCTCTCCTCACCCGTGGCGGCACCCCCAGAGCAAGACTGACTTGGCTTCTTCCCGGGGCTCCCTGCCAACCTGGCTCCGAGCCCAGCTCTGTATCACACACGTGTGCCCCTCCGCACACGGACAGCTAAAGGCAAAGGCATCTCTGGGAAATCTTTGTCCCCAACAACCCTGCAGAGGGCAACATATCCCCCAACTCCATTCTCAGCACACACCCTTTGTTCTAGAATCTTCACGTTCTATAAATGAGCCCTTCCCAGACCCTTTGCACCACTCTGTACAGCTCTCCTCTCCACTGTGTCACACGAGGAGCTTTCGAGAGTTCTCCCGCAGCTGAGCCTTCCACATTTTCCTTCGAGGGTCTCGCCTGCCATCACCACTGGGTAGACGAGGTCCCCAGTCTTGGCATCGGGCCAGCCCTGCTCCTAGGCCGCACAGGGCTCCTGACCAGTTGTCTCTGGAAGGCTCCCCGAGCCCCAGCCGGCCACACAGGCTTCAGCCCGAGTCGCCTCTCCCAACCCAGGCTTGGTGCCGCCCTCCCAGCCCTGCAGCCCGACCTCCTCTGCCCACCCTCCTGGAGGAAAATGCTCTCCACCCCGTGTTTCCCTACAATCCACTTGACACCGAGGCCAGGCAATGTTTATAAACCACAGCTTCATTCTTTGATGTCTTTGTTCCAAAATCTGTAATAATCCCCATGCCTGCTAAATGAAGTTCAACTGTGTCTACCGGGAACCGTGCACCGTCTGCGTGGATGGGGCCTCCCTGCGTGTCCCCGCACACAGCCACAGGGAGTGGCCTGCCCTCCTCTAAATGTCTTCCCAGCCCTCCCTGCCACCTCCATGTTTGGACCCCCGCCCGACATCCACCCCCTCAAGGCCCTTCCTGGCGTTTCCAGTTCAGCATAGGCCGGGTCTCGCCCACACGACTTCTCAGCCCCACTCCTCTGACCCATCTCGCTGGTAGCTCCTGCAGGAGGTGACCCTGCCTCACAACAGGGCTGGTGTCACCTGCAACCCCTGCCAGCACCCAAGCATAAGCCGCTGGGGACAGGGACAGCTGACCTTGTGTCTCTCTTAACATAGCTAAATATGGGTCCCTGGCCTAGATGATTGAGGGGCGAACACATGGCTGCAGGGCCAGGGCTGATGCCCGTCAGAGAGGACAGAGCTGGACAGCCCCGTGTAAGGGGGTGGCCCCTAACACCTCGGGGCCTGGCCCAGACCACCTGTGCAGGGTTGAGGAGGGGGAGAAATGCAATGGTGGGCACAGGAGAGCCAATGCGGGGTCTGGGCGAGGCAGAGGCCAAGTTTATGCCATGGCGGGGTTGCTTCCAGTCAGGGTCAGGAGCACGGGGACAGCCTTACGGGGGTCAGACACAGGCAGGGGGACTGAGTGCAGGGCACCAGGGGAAGGCCAGGGACAGGACGGTGTGGGGGGACTGAGCGCAGGGTACCAGGGGAAGGCCAGGGACAGGACAGGTAGGTGACAGCCCCCACGACCCAGAGGTGGCTGCCGAGGCGGGCGCGTCCCACTTTACCCCAGAAGAGAGGAAGGGAACGGCGGTGCCTGGAGAGGGAGCGAGGCTGGAGAAAGGGCAGGCTGGAAACGCAGGGCTCGGCATCCCCAGAAGGGCCGGCAGGTTCACATCACTCTGGGGAGGAGGGCGGGGATACTCACGCTGTCCACTGCGAGGATCTTGGCCCAGATGAAAACGAGAAGTGGCCGCAGCTCTCGGGCCGAGCTCTGGAGCAGCTTCAGCACGTAGGGGAAGATGCCGACAGACAAGGCCTGGGGGCGAGGGAGGGCGTCAGCGCACCTGTGCCGCAGCAAGGGAACGGGCAGCAGCAGGGGTGCCACGCGGGACCAGCTGCGGTGCTATCTTCAGCACATATGGGAAACGCAACAGGAATGAATGGGCCTCACTTAAAGTAAAGAGGGGCTTCCTCCAGATTTATTCATCTCTGATTTATTCCTAGAAGCTGCCACATACTGCCAGCCTTGACTGGTGTCAAGAGACTGGAATGAATCGGGTGGCAGCTTTTCCTTGTGGAGGCGCAGGCTGCTTGCGCCTGGGGCCCTTGCCTGCCCTCAGTGGCCTCGTCTGCTCTTGGCAGCAGAGCATCAGGCACCTTCACTGTGTTGCTCACGTACGAGCCACGGCCACCTGTGACGGCACGGCCACCTCTCCGTGACGGCATGGCCACCTCTCCGTGACACCACGGCCACCTCTCCGTGACGGCACGGCCAGCTTGCTCAACACTCATGTTTGCACTTCAGATACACCTTGGGAGAAAGATGCCTGCCCTGGGAAAGGCAGGGAGGAGCGGGGGTTGCCCAGGGGCTCACTGGCGCCCAGTTCTGGCCATGTCATTCTCAGGGGACTCTCTGCCCTCAGAGGCAGGGGAGGGAGGGCGTGGAGGGCACTGCAGTGTGGAGGATGCCTGGCAAAGTACTGCTGCACTCCACAGCCAGGGGTTTCTGCTGTGTCCTTATCTCAAAGCTGCTGGAATTTCAAAGATATCCTAAAGGTATCACCTTCCAATAAGTGAGGTCCCCTGTAACCAAGACAGGAGGTGGTGGTGGGACCTAGGCCTGGGTCCCTTCCCTGTGAAAGGCCACATTTAACAAGGTATGAGCAGTTTCTCTGGTTCGGGTGGCTGGGCCCTCACCTGAGAGGCAAAATCTGTACCTGTAAAAATACCTCGTTTATCCAGCCTCGATTCATGTATTAGGCAAATTTCCAATGAGCAGAAGCTTAATTCTTTAAAGGGAAGAAACTGGTTTTAAAAAATTAACCTTAAAAATGAAACTCTTTCTAAACTGTTATGAATACATGCTTCCTGTCTTCTTAGAGTGCACGCAATACCACGCAGGCCTTTCCAGGATGACTAAGCGACACCACCACGCACACACCAAGTGACCGAGTCACGCCAGCCTTCCTCCGATGACTCAGGCCCTGACTCTGTTACAAGCTATTTGTGGCCTCAGGCACCTGGAGTGAAAATGGCCCAGTGGTGAGTGCTGAATGATTCTTCCAAGTTTTGGATGTTTTCTCTCGTCCTTCAGTGCTGGACTATCAATTACCACTCTTTGTCAACATTATCTGATGAAAATACTTAAATACACCAAACCCAGGTACTCACCACCCAGCTAGTGACAGCGGTTCCGCACCCACCGCCCCACCGCACCGCTCCCAAGCACAGTAAATTAAGGCTCATATGTCATGTGATTTCATTGGTGAATATTCAGTGTCTATCTCTAAAAAATTAGGTCTCTTTTATAAAAACATGATCCAGTTACCACACCCAAGAAAAACGAACAATGATTCTTGAATAACATAAATCCAGCACCTGTAAAATTTCTAATTGTTTTATGAGTATTCATTTTTGGAACTTCAACAGAACCAAGTAAGGTTTACTGTACATGGCAGCTGGCCATAGGTCTCTCGAGTTTCCTTGACTCTGTGGTTCCCTCTCAGCCTCCTTTTACTTTCCCTGTGAGTTATTTGTTAAACGCACGTCGCTTCTTGATCCTGCCTCTGCCAGGGTGTTTTTAGTGGCCATTACTACTCTGCTATAGAATGAGGAACCAGAAGAGCGTTTCCGAATTGTGCCTGCCATGATGGTGAGCAGACAGTGCTGAGGATCCAGACTCCTCCTGGGGGAAGCAGCACCACGAGGTGGGTGCTGCGTCAGGCTCAGGGGCGCCCTGCTCCTCCGCAGCGCTGGGGGCGGCTCAGGAAAAGGTGACCGGCCGACAACACACTCACTCCTATGTCTAACATCAGACATAAAGAGGGGCGACAACCCCAGACCCCCAAACGCCAGGCAGCACTGCAGGCTGCACGGGTACAGAGTGGGCTCCTTGAGGGCCTCAGGAGTGACAGGACACCAACACGGTGGACACACTCGCCCTGGGTCTCACGGCTGGGGGTGGCTCTGGATCATGAAATACGTGCACAGACTGAAACACGGAGCCTAATCTCTGTCCCACCTCCCTCAGCCCCCAGGTTAATGCGGAAGGCACGCACCAGGCTCACTGCCCAGGGACCCAGGTCCAAAAATCTTCCAAGCAAGTCCAATGCTCTCAGCCGGTGCACTTGGCTTAACAGCACCTGGAAGAACAAGAAGAAAATGGTATCACTGCAAACCATACTGGTGTGCAACCCCGAAACGCTGCTGCATGAGCTGCCAGCTTTGGAGCGGTCTGACCACAGTTCAGATCTGTCTGCTGCTTCAGTTACCTAGAGCTGGTGCTCCTTTCCTTACAAGTTCATGCTTTTAGACAGGTGAAGAAAACACGCTTTATGCCTTTATTACACAGATAAAAGATGCTCAATGTAGAAAATACTAGAACAAACATGCTTTAATTGCATTTAAAAAGCTAACCCACTGGTGACATTTAGGTATATGAACTCAGACATTGTTCTTTATGTCCACACTTCTCTTACTGATCTTGAACTAGATAATATGTGATTCTATTTCTCAGCTCCTTTTTAAACTAAACAATGCACTGTGAACATTGTTCATATCAGTAGGTATGTACTGACCATATTATTCCCAAAGGCGGCACAGTACTTCCGTTATGCAAATGTACACAATTCTTTTAAACAACTTCCCCAGTGATAGATATTTAAATTATCATCAAAATGTTCCTACTTTTACCATTTTTATTTATTTATTTTTGAGATAGGGTCTTGCTCTGTTGCCCAAGCTAGAGTATAGATGCCAGATCATGGCTCACTGCAGCCTCAACCTCCTGGACTCAAGTGATCCTCCCACCTCAAACCCTGAGTAGCTAGGACCGCAGGTATGTACCACCATGCCTGGTTAATTTTTGTATTTTTTATAGAGATGGGGGTCTCACTACATTGCCCATGCAGGTCTTGAACTTCTGGCTCAAGCAACCCTCCCGCTTCAGCCTCCCGAAGTGTAGGGATTACAGGCGTGGGCCATCATGCCTGGCCAAAATGCTGCTCTGATAAAGAAGATTGTGATCAATATCCTAATGGGTACATCGGCACATGTACATGATTCTTTTCCACTAAGATAAATGTGAGTATTAAAAAGGTAAGGTCGGAGCATATATACTTAAGTTACCAAATGACCCTGAGGCTGAACCCACTCACACTCTCGACGGCACGCACGTGGGCACCAGCTTCCTGCTGCCTGAGCTGGTCACCCAGCAGCGCTCACTGCGGTGTGACTCTGGGCAAGTTAACGTCGCTGAGCCTTGATTTATTAATTCATAAAACACATATAACACAACACCTGCCCACAAGGGTTTCATTAAATTAAATAATAAATTTAAAGCTTGTGGGACAATACTAGCCCATATTACACTATTATTAGCCAAAAGGACAGGTGAAAATACATCCTTTTCATCTGGATTTCTTGGATTTCAAGGGGAGTACATTTTGCAGGTTGATGGGCCATTTCCCCAGTAAACTTGCCCTGCATGCGTTTAGTTTTCTACTTCAAAATGTGGCTTTTTCTTATTGACATGTCAGAGTTCTTTATAAGTTAGAGTGGGCTCTGCCAGAGGTTTTGCACATACTTTTTCTGTTATATTAAAGTTCTACACTTTTTTTTTTTTTTGAGACAGAGTCTCACTCGGTCGCCCAGGCTGGAGTGCAGTGGCGCAATCTCGGCTCACTGCAAGCTCCACCTCCCGGGTTCATGCCATTCTCCTGCCTCAGCCTCCTGAGTAGTTAAGACTACAAGCGCCTGCCACCATGACCGGCTAATTTATTTTTGTATTTTTAGTAGAGACGGGGTTTCACTGCATTAGGCAGGATGGTCTTGATCTCCTGACCTTGTGATCCACCCGCCTTGGCCTCCCAAAGTGCTGGGATTACAGGCGTGAGCCACCGTGCCCGGCCAAGCTTTACACTTTTAATGGCATTACTTCTTTTGATTTTTTCCTTAATGGTGGCTATGCTGGAAGGCATGTGCATCGACTCCCTCCAACCTACAGCATTTCTATCCACGATGCCCCAGTCATCCAAGGGGTGTTTATGGGGCAGGTGCTGCGCTGGGTGCTAGGAGAGTGACCACAGACAGTAGGGACCACCTCACCCATCCTTCATGTGGCCTGGGAGACAGACATTAAACAAATGACCGCCCCATCACCATGCCTAAACACACAGACCCTGGGAGCCCCTGACCTGGCCTCGCTGCAGGCCTCGGAGGTTTTCCCTCCCCCCAGGAGAAGATGCACAGGACACAGCTGGGCAGCGGGTCCTGGAGGTGACATGAGGGGGTTACCGCGTTGCAGGTGGAGAGGCTGGAAAAGCCCGGGTGTCTGAGGATGCACGGGCTACCAGTATGACTGAGGTCAGTGATGGGGGAGGGGCCGGATAGGGAAAGGCCCCGCCGACGGCATGCAGAGAGGTCAGTTTGTTTTGAGATCCAGAAGCCACCAGCCGACGTTAAGCAGCAGTGACTGGTCCAGTGTGCTCGCTTTGGGGACAGGCCTGGCAAGAGGCTGGAAGTCGGGGAGGCGAGTGGAAGGGGGTGGGTTTGACCAGGGTGCCAATACGGAGATGGGGAGGAGGAGACTGCAGCACTGGCCAGAGGCTGAGAGAAGAAGGGGTGAAGGAAAGCAAACTCTAGAAAAGAAGGTTTGGGATGAGTTTGAAAACCCTCAAGAGAGGCAGGGGAAAGGGACGAGGAGGCCAGTGAGGGTGGAGGATCGGGGGAGGGGAGAGGAGATGGCGGCCACCTGGGTCAAGCTCCTGGGGGTCGGCCAGCACGACTTCCACGGAGGAGCCACCGAGTCAGGAGCATGGGCCCTGGGGAGCCGTGGAGAGGGAGGAGCTTCCCTGTGGTGGGAGAAGAGCACTGGCAGGAGGATGAGGGGGACAGGGAAGGTCACAGGTGGCAGCAAGAGGAGGTGGCTAGCCAGGCTGGAGGGGCAGATGGGGTATGGAGGGGATCCCAGCATGTCCAGCCTTGGGGGCAGAGAAAGAGCAGTGGGAATGTGGCCTCACTTCCCTTCTATGTGCCCGGAGCCAGCTCCCACGCTGGGTTCACCATGGACCCAGGAGTGGCAGGTTCCCCGTGCTGGTGATGCTGAGAGTCTCTGATTAAGAGGCTGGGAAAGGAACGTGGGACTGCTCGCAGGATATGTGAACTGGAACCGGATCCCTCTCCTATGCTTAACTCGGGGGCTGTCGCATGCCACTGCTGCCTGGAACTCAGGTTTGAGGGGCCAGTCGGAGGAAAAGCACTGGCTCTGGGGCCGGCTAACCTGATGTTAACCCTGCCTCCATCTCTGCCCAATAATTGGCTTAGATTCCTAACTTCTGGAAACTTCAATATCATTATCAAGAAAAACGGAGACAACAGTACTTGACTTGGGCTTATTCTCAAAGTTCAATGAGGCAGAGTCCGTAAAGCGTCTAGCACAAAGCTGTGTGCACCAAGGTGTCCAGCGGATGTAAAGTCAGCATCATAGTGTTCGGCTACCAGATGTCTCCACCACCCAAGGTTTTAAGGACTGACTCTCTGTGTGTAGGGAACACTAGGCTGCCTGAGGCTCAAGTTTCTAGATGACCCAGGGAGAGGAGAGGAGGCAGGTCTCGCCATGGCTGCAATCGTCAGAAATCAAAGACATCATCAGATCTAAAGCTTACAAAGATTGTTTTCTGATTCTTTTTGTTTTTTTCCAACACTGTAAATAAGGACAAGGCTGTTTCTAAGGTAAATAGTTGCAGAACAAATGGAAAAAGTGGCAGGACGGGGCGAAGAGGTCTAATCAAGGCCAGTTCCTGTTACTGTTTTACCAGGACACTAGCCCAGCAATAAAGGTCTCCTTAGAATGTGCTCCTTACAAACAACAAAAGCAAGCGGGACGCTGGTTCACAATCACCACCGTGATGTGGTCCCGAGTGTCCCACTGTAGGAGCTGCAGGTGCTGATGAAACACACGCGGGGGCCTCGGGGGCCCACCTGCCTGGGAGTCGGCGTCGGAGGTCCTTGGGCAGCATGGGATTTGGTGCTACAATTATTTCATTTGCAAAGAAACATCGTCAATAAAGAGTATTGGCGGAAAGGTTAAGTACTGTTTTTTTTTTCTCAAACATTACATCATCTTCCTGCCACCTTTTGTTGATTTACGATTTTTAAAAACTGAAGCCAACATAAAGCAAAGTTATTTTTAAAATGGGATTGGCTTTTAGAAAAAAAGCCAATGTTGTTTCTGTACTTAAAAACAACAAAACAAAAACCTCCTGTTCCGGACCATCCCACGATCTATGGAAATTATAGAAGTAAATGATGGTGAGCTGAATGAGTTACTGAGATTTATTTTCCACCTGTGGTAGCCCAAACTAAAGATTAATCATGGTGGCCGGCATAGAGGCTCAATACTGTAATGCAAACACTTTGGAAGGCTGAAGCTGGAGGATCGCTTGAGGCCAGGAGGTCGAGACCAGCCTGCCCAACATGGTGAAACCCCGTCTCTACAAAAAATACAAAAATGAGCCGGGCATGATGGCACATGCATGCAGTTCCAGCTACTCAGGAGGCTGAGTCAGGAGGGTGGCCTGACCCCAGGAGTTGGAAGTTGCAGCGAGCTATGATCATACTACTGCACTCCAGCTGAGGCGACCAAATTAAAACAGAATTGCTAAGGTTATCAAATTTCATTTGCCTTGTATATGAAGAGAGTGCTCAGACAGGCATACTGGAAGAGCTGCTTCATAAGAAAAGATTCTCCAGTTCCAGCCCTGGAGTGCCAGGTGCTGCAGGCCAGGGTGCCTCGGGCACCTGATGAGCAGGGCGGTTTTGGAGTCCCCGATGTACATGGTATGTATAACATCACTCTAGTTTGTCATTCTGCTGTCACCTGATAACAATCCTGTACTTTCAGACCCCACATTCTATTTGTAAAAAAAATGATGCACGGAGAGAGAGCAAATAGACCTCCTAATGAAATGCTCACACTGATCTGTGACATCTAGGAAAAGGGACTAAAACTTCATCCTATAAAATCACTCTTGGCCAGGTGCGGTGGTGCACACCTGATATCCCAGCTACTCTGGAGGTTGAGGCACAAGAATCACTTTAACCCAGGAGGCGGAGCTCCGGCTGCAGTGAGCCGAGATCACCCCTCAACAGAGGACTGGATGAGGAAACTGCAGCGTCTGTGCATCATGGAATACTACTCAGCCAGAAAAAGAATGAAATCGTGTCTGTTGCATCAACATGGGTGAAACAGGAGGCCATTATGCTCAGTGGAATAACTCAGAAACAGAAAACCAACTGTTGCATGTTCTCATGTATAAGTGAGTGGGAGCTAAACAACGGGTCCACAGGGACACACAGGTGGAATAACAGGCACCGGAGACTCCAAAAGGTGCGAGGGGCTGAGGGCTGAGAAATTACCTATGGGGTATAATGCCCACTATGTGGGTAGCAGGTTCACCCAAAGCCTAGACTTCACCACTACGCAGTGCATGCATGCAAGAAACCTGCACCCGTATACCCTGGATCTATTGAAAAGAAAAAGGGCCAAGTAAATAAATGAACACATAAATATCACTGTCACCTTTTTCCTGAAAAAGAAAGAAGAAGAAAAGTCACTTTCTCCCCTCTCTTCCATAACCTAGGCGCTCTTCGTTCCCCTGCCTGGGCTTCCTGAGCCACCTGTTGGGGGCACACAGCACTGAGTTCCGGGCGAGCTGCCGAAGCCAGAGGGCAAACGCACCCCACAGGCCACGAGAGTCCAGAGCTCCTCGTGAGAAGACGGTGTTCAGGGCTGGGTGCGGTCGTTCACGCCTGTAATCCCAGCACTTTGGGAGGCCGAGGCGGGTGGATCACAAGGTCAGGAGTTCAAGACCAGCCTGGCCAAGATGGTGAAACCTTGTCACTACTAAAAATACAAAAAATTAGCCGGGCATGGTGGCGGGTGCCTGTAATCCCAGCTACTTGGGAGGCTGAGGCAGAGAATTGCTTGAACCCAGGAGGCAGAGGTTGCAGTGAGCTGAGACCGCGCCACTGCACTCCAGCCTGGGCAACAGAGTGAGACTCCATCTCAAAAAAATAGACACCATCAATCAAGGGTCTGGGCAAAACAGCAATTTTTTTAAACATTGTATCTTCCTTCTTGTTCCTCTGTTGATTTATATTTTTAAAAGGCAGAGAGGATATTGAGGCTGGAAAGCAGGAAGGGCCTGTTCCATGCTCACGTTTACAGGAGGGGCTGCGAATCAGCCGGACCTGATGAGACACCGTGCGTGACCCTGGAGGGCCACCAGCCACTGCCTCTGGCTTAGGGATGAAGTGGCAGGGATTCGGAAAACCGGAAGCGAGTGAGAAAACTCCCTTTCCCTTAAGTGATGTTTTCTGACTTGCCAAGGCACTAGAGAATAATTTAAGGATAACAGGGCCCAGGCTTTGGCAAAAATAAAGGCTTTTAAGAGAAAGCGCGGGGAAGTGAGCCGAGTTAACGAGAAAGAAGCCACTCCCGGGGGGTACGTCAAATGAAGCCGATACCCCATTACACTTCATCTTTCCCTACTTTTGTGTTAGGTGGAGGTCCGCCCATTGATCCCGGCTGGGCACAGCCAGGAAACAGACCCTCCAGAGGGAGGAGGAACCTGCCACTCACACCTGCTGGAAAATCATGTGGGAAATGCCCCACGCTCCGACCAGAGCTGTCTTCGCATACGTCACCATCAGAAAGCTGCCTCCAGCACGTCTTCTCCTTCCTTGAGGGAGTGTGGGTGGCCAAGGGAACATTGAAAGAAATCAACAGAAGGCCATTTACAAAAAGATTATTTGCTGGACCCAAAAGAACTGGATTTAACGTGCTTGGCATCGGGTCCTGCTTTGGAGAGGGCCGATTTTACTCCATCACATTGCTCAAATAGTAGGAAGGCCAGTAAGAGAGCCAGTGTCTCCTGAGGGACATCCTGGTAACCCAGATGACCAACAGGAGCCGTGGGGCCCAGCATGGGCAACCTGCGCTGTGGCCACCCCCGGTCACCCGTGGCCACACAGCCAGCTGCCTTTCTACAGTCGCACGAAGGGAAAACGTGGGCTTCTGTCAAATGTTGTTTGGTTGCGTTGCTGCTATCACTGCGTGTTCTTGGTTTTGAACATGAGCTGGTTTATTTGTTTACACCTCACCCTGTAATCTCAGGATAGTCTTAAACGAATCTAGGTACATACAGGAAGAACAGTAATAACGTCTGCATTCTTTTTGCAATGTCCAAAAAGCAACTGTCATAATATACTGACAGCAGCAGAAATATATACTGTGAAATGTGGTACAATGTTATTTTATTTTGTAGAGATGGAGTCTCCCTATGTGGCTCAGGCTGGCCTTGAACTCCTGGGCTCAAGTGATCCTTCCCCGCCTTGGCCTACTGAGGAGCTGGGATCATAACACCAGGGCAGCCGGCTGGCACACTGGTTCTTTGTTGCCCGCCTGAGACAATGCCGGCGAGGACAGGCCGGCGGTACTGTCTTGAGCACGTCCATGTGCACTGTTCCTTCTCCCAACTCCTCTTTCTCTGGCTGAGATTCTTGGGGCAAAGTCCTGAACGAGGTGAAGCCTCAGTCCTACAGCACGCCTGCGACGCTGGCTGCCACTGCTGCAGCACAGACTGAACGGCGGAAGGGAAGGCTGCTGAGGCCATGGCCGTGACAGAGATAAACTGGCCCCGGTTTTCTAAATGATCTCTCAGAGGTGGGATGAACACCTGGTCTAGTGAAGATTGGTGTGCTGTCTGTCAGTGTGGTGAGCGGCCCTAACCAGAAAGCACGAGCTCTGGAAGGAAGAAGGGCAGGTGGGCGGCGCCACTCACGCCCCTCTCCATGGAGGTACCACCACCCGATCTGCTTTCTAGGAAGGCGAGGACCCAACTCTGCCGACTCTCAGAACTCAGCACCACACCCGGAGGTGGGGCTCTTCCTGTGTGTGG
Organism: Homo sapiens; assembly: GCF_000001405.40. NCBI lineage: Eukaryota > Metazoa > Chordata > Mammalia > Primates > Hominidae > Homo > Homo sapiens. Next base: position 80,847,645 of record NC_000017.11, on the reverse strand, counting down.
GGGGAGTCACCCAGCTTTAAACCAAAAAGGGCGGGGCCTGCTCATTCCCTGCCTGCTGCTGGGCAGCCCCTCCCCACGGCCATGCACAGCTCCTCGCCAAAGTCCAACTGCACCACCCCAATCACAAAAACACTTTTCCAGCTTTTAAAGTGAGTTCTTAGACCTTGATATCTACACTGACCAGTGGATTTTAAACTCCTTTGACTCTGACTCAGCCCACACACTTCCCCACAAACACACATTCACCGAAACAAAAGTTCTGTGGAATCTTTCTAACTTCACTACCTGTGACGAACTCCTCAATTTCCATGGCCTCCCATCCTATCTCAGTGACCAAAAACCAGCCAGCAGGACCCACGATGCTGACCTCCCAACCCATGAACAGGTCATGGTCTGCACGTGAACAGCACTGACATGACACGGGCCCCGTGGGCACTGGCATCTGAAGGACGTGCCCCAAAAGGGCCTATTTGTTACAGCAGCTGTGACAGCCCCGTGCAAGGGAAGGGCTGCCGGCTTCCGGATCTGTGTGTGCTTCAGTGCATAACCTACGGCGCTGGGCCACAAAGCCGCTCTGCCCGCTTCGCCGGTCAGTATCCGCTCAGGGAGCCTCCTCCCTCCTCTCCCGGATTCACTGCCATCTCCTGTCCTTCCCAAGAGAAGGAGGCAGTGGTGTCGAGAGCCTGCTCTGAAGCAAAGCCCATCTGTAGCTGAATCTCAGCAATTCCTAAAGTGGAAATGGTAGCCAGGGGAGAGGGGGATGATGGACTGGCTGATGACTCCCCAGTCCCAAAGTTACACTTATCTGAGGGTGGAGGAGGGAAATCAATGGCTTTAGAGGAAACCCTTTAGGAATGAATGTGCGATCAGCCCAGTGACTCCTGATTGGATCTGTGTGATCCGTTTGCCCGAATGCGACCTGCCCATGCACCATCATCTTCGGGGCAGAGGGGCTGGGATGTCACAGACCCACAGGGCTCAGGGAGAGAGAAGGCACTCCCGGGGCTGTACAGGCATCTGGCTTCCTTCCTGAGGAACCTCGGCTGTCTGGCCCGGTCTGAAGAAACTCACCTGCAGGACGATGGGCAGCTGTTCGGGTGGGTTTCGGTTCTCCACGCCCATGGTGAGCCACACCTGGAATGCGGTCAGCTGCTCGGCGAAGAACGGGCTGTGCTGCGGGGCAAGCAGAACAGGTGCTTGTTAGGGCCATGTTCCCAGATGGCCTGGTCTTGCCCACCCCTGCCACCTGCCGGGCATCCAAGCCTTCACGAAGGGCCCGCCCTGCAGGGCCGCGAGGATGCCAGGCGGCTGAGAAGCGGGCGCTCTGGGCATGCCAAAGAGGGAGAGCCTGCGGGGTGCACGAAGGGACCAGAGGCAGGCAGGAGAAGAGAGCAGCTGAGGATGACTCCAAGGCTTTTGGCCAGGGCACCGAGCTGGGGCCGCAAGAGGAGCGTGCTGGGAACCAGCTGTGGACATGTGGTGCTCACGACAGTGGCTGGACAAGGGAGTGAAGATGCCGGGGGCAGGGGACCCCGTGAGTGTGTGGATCAGCAGGCAAGTCTGGCTGGGGACACGCTTGGGAGTCATGGTGTGTGAATCTTTTTCAAGTTAAGTGAGAAAGGAAAGGGGCCCAGGACAGAGCCTCTGCTATGGAGACCAAGGAGATGAGCTGGGGCCGCGCTGGGGCCGGTGAGGGCCCGGCAGTGGAGGGAAAGCAGAGCTCAAAGGTCTGGACGCCAGGGAGCAACGTCCAGGGCAGAGCCACAAACCAGCACCGGGCCAGGCGAGATAAGGATGGAGAGCTGACTGGGCCCCGGATCAGCAGCAAGAACGCTCTGGAGTTGGGCAAAAGCGCAGCCAGAGGGGTTTCGAGACAGGGTGAATTTGGTTTTGGTTGCAAAGGGGAACAAGACAGACAGGTGGTGGCTGGAGAGGGATGTAGGGTCAGGAAGTGCTTTTTGTAGATGTGGAGTAATGGGGACAGGACGCTGGTGAGAAAGACCCAGCTGGGGGCACGGAGGGTGGGGAAAGGCTGCTGGAGGGCATCCTCGGGCAGGCTGGGGGATGGGACTGGAAGCACAGGCTGGGCTGGCAGAGCAGGGCTGCTCCCCAGGGGAACCAGGCAGGCGGCAAAGCAAGGGGGCCCAGATGCAGAGAAGCAGGGGGAGGGCTGGAGGACCCGGCAGAGGCGGTCATGCGACTGCTTCTTGTTTCCTCAGTGAAATGGGAAACGAGGGTACTCTCTGGGGTGAGGGCGGGAGGAGGGGTTGCAGCTGGACAGAGAAGGCGCGCGGGTGAGGGAGACCAAAAAAAATGCTTGGGGTCAGAATGTCAGGCGGCATCAGGGCCCCTCGAGGGGGTGACACGAGTTCTCCGTGGGCCACACCGGGTGGGCCCGAGCTCCCAGTTAGCCCAGCCACGTGAGTGCAGGCACAGAGTGGAGGGGGATTCGCCTGGGTGCCATGGAGCAGGTGGGCAGCAGGGCTGCTGGGCCTGCGGCTGGAGAGCGTGAAGGCTGCAGGGGAGGCTGCCGTTGGAAGGTCTCGGAACTGAGCGGCCAGGCAGGAGCAGTCCGGCCTGATTCCCTCCACGGAGAGTCACTTCCACTTAACACACAGCTCTGCCTTCCCTGAGCCCCCGATACAAAGAATTAAAGAAAAAAAAAAAAACAACTACCAGCCTCTCTCTCCCATCCACTATCCTCTCTTCCCTACGTTGTTTGATTTTGCTCGGGGGGAAGGTGGGTGGCCGCAGTGGAGGTGCGTGTCTCTGAGAGGAGGTCGGGAGGAACCCTCCCTCCGCTCATCTGGCCGGGGTCGGCTGTGCCCCGGGTTCCAGTGAATGTGGACACATGTGGACAGGCGAACGCCAGGAGCAGGACAGGGTGCCTCCGTGCGCCCAAGTCCAGGAGCGCTCTCGGCAGCCTCCACAGAGGAGCCTGGCGGGCAGAGCCCCGTGGCCCGACTTAAAAAGTCAGCCGAGAACATTCACCACGTAGGAATCCGTGCTCCTGTGCAGCCAGCTTACAGAAAGTTAATCACACTTGGAGGGCAACCTGTGGAGCTGGCTTGGAGCCCCCAGAGTGATTTTCCTGTTTTCAAGTGTGAATTATTCATAAATTGGTTAAAAAAAAATCTCGTTAAGTACCCCCTCCTCCACATCCCGCGAGAACGTAATTCTCCTGAGTTAGAGAAGGCTTGAGTCTGTGAACAGAAGTCAGGTAATTCAGATAGTTACACCTCTTCTTTCTATCACATTAGCTTTGCCTGATGGATTTTCACATGTTCCTCACTGCTGGAGTCACTACTCCATGCAGAAAGAGAAAAATTCCTGACTATTCACCTCAAACTGACAAAAAAGGAAAAGCACACCTTTGCCTGGCAGGTGCGCGGTGAAGCCCGTGAAGCTCCCTAAAGCCACGGGGAGGCTGACGAATTAGAGCAAGCGCCTGCGGAAGAGTGGCCAACACTTTATATGATATTCCGGAAAACATCTCGAGAGCGGCCCGTGTCTCCACCCATGATTCACAGGGCTGATGTTTTGGGCCAAATCTCTGAGATTTTCTCCACCCCATGAAGAGCTCCTGAGCTGGCCCCTGCGTGCAGGGGAGCGAAGTCCATTCAGCGAGACAGAGAGCTCACAGGTCCTGCTGGGCTGAGCGTCTGGGTTGCCCGGCCAGGACCACATACCTGGCTCTCCCAGGGCGATTTGGATGCCAGGAGTTTTGCTCTGTTGCCAGCCTGTGTGCTAGGCAGTTTGACATATTCTAAAAACAGGGGCAGCAGACTGAAAATGGGAAGGCCGGCTGAGAGGCTGGGAGCCTCCAAGTCACACCTAAGTGGAGCCCGTCCGGCTGGACTTCTGCTACCAACAACCTGAGCATACCTGCCGCCTTTCTCACCATCTGGACATTCTGAGATGGCTACTCTCCGTCCTGACAATGGCACAATACATTTGCCACTTACGACAAGCTTGCTGCTTAAAGAGGGGACTTAAAGTTCACTGCCAAGGGGACATTCTACCCCTCTGTACGGCTCTGTAGGGACATTCTACCCCCCTGTACGGCTCTGTAGGGACATTCTATCCCCCTGTACGGCTGCTCAGTTTGCAGAAGGGTTCTCTTTAACACCCCTAAGAAAGTCAATTAGCCCGAGCTTTCTACTGCAGGGGAATCATTCTGGCTTCTCCTACTATCTCAATAAACCAAAAAAAAAAATTTTTTTTTGAGACAGAGTCTCACTCTGTTGCCCAGGCTGGAGTGCAGTGGCATGATCTTGGCTCACTGCAACCTCTGCCCCTGGGTTCAAGAAATTCTCCTGCCTCAGCCTCTGAAAACCTCAATTTTTATAGGGTTCTATGTCACTGTTAGTAGAGAAAAATCAGAAAGTGAAATTTTAAACAATACCATTTACAACCACGTTGAGGGAGGAGAAGGCTCAATATTATAGAGGTGGTGACTTCTCCCAAATCAATCTGTAGATTAACTGTAATCTCAACAAAAATCCAGCAGGTTCTTTGCAGAAATTAACACACTGATGGTAAAATTCACATGGAAATGCAAAGGACCAAAAGTAACTGAGGCAAACTCGGGGAAAAAAACGAAGTTGTGGGACTTAGTCTACCAGCTTAGAAAGTGTCACGTAGAGTTTGTCATTACAACTGTGTGGTCCTGGTGCAAAGAACAAGTGAGCAAAGGGACAAACGAGGGAACAGAGGCAGCCATGTGAACATGGCCCTTGGTGCAAAGGAGGGAACAGAGGGAGCCACGCGGACACGGTCCTCAGTGCAAACACCACCAGTAAGCCGAGCATTCACGGGGGACGTGAAATGTGAGCAGATGCAGGTCCAGATGTGAAAGGGAAACACACAAGCTGCTAGCTGACAAAGAGCGTAGCGTCTGCTCAGAATGCTCATCTCAGAGGAAATAAAGGTTTCATAAAACAGGATACCAAAAGCCGGAACCATAAATGGCCAGTACAAGTATAGAACAATGCTCTATTAACCATCGGGTAAATACACGATTAGCTCTTAAGGAAATACCTTTTCATACTGAACCATCATAGCCAAATAAATACATAGCAACTAAAACTCTCGAATGCTGCAGGCAGGAGTGTAAACTGACTCAGCCACTTTGCAGAGTGCTCTGGCACCATCTGTTAAAGCTGAATATGGGCAAACCCTGGGACCCCGAAGGATCACTCCGAGAAATGTGAAGGAGGGAGCAGCCCCTGAACGGGAGGCCAGCCAGGAAGGGGAGGCCTTGGCCTCAGGCACAGAATTGGTGCTAGCAGGTGGGGTACCAAAAAAAAAAATCAGTAATCAAGACAAATGATATTTCAGTGCAATATTTACAAAAATAAAAATTAATACAAAAATCCATACTGAAGAAGATATCGACATTTCAAAGGGAGGACCAATATCACAGAATTCCCTTTTGTCTCAGGCTCTGATGTGACAGAGTCTGGCTCTAGCCAGCACTGTTAGTGAGGACTGAAAACTGAAAATGCCCAGTGGCCCTAGAAGGGACACATGAATGTTGGGACACTCAATGGTGTCCACCTTGCAATGAATGTGAGCTGCAGCGCCGTGAGTGTGAGCTGCCGTGTGGTGAGAGTGAGCTGCCGTGTGGTGAGAGTGAGCTGCGGTGGGGTGAGAGTGAGCTGCGGTGCGGTGAGAGTGAGCTGCCGTGCGGTGAGTGTGAGCTGCCGTGCGGTGAGTGTGAGCTGCCGTGCGGTGAGAGTGAGCTGCCGTGCGGTAAGAGTGAGCTGCGGTGCGGTGAGTCAGCTGCCGTGCGGTGAGTGTGAGCTGCCGTGCGGTGAGAGTGAGCTGCCGTGCGGTGAGTGTGAGCTGCCGTGCGGTGAGAGTGAGCTGCCGTGCGGGGAGAGTGAGCTGCCGTGCGGGGAGAGTGAGCTGCGGTGTGGTGAGAGTGAGCTGCCGTGCGGTGAGAGTGAGATGCCGTGCGGTGAGTGTGAGCTGCGGCGCGGTGAGAGTGAGCTGCCGTGTGGTGAGTGTCAGCTGCCCTGCGGTGAGAGTGAGCTGCAGTGCGGTGAGAGTGAGCTGCCGTGCGGTGAGAGTGATCTGCCGTGCGGTGAGAGTGAGCTGCCGTGTGGTGAGAGTGAGCTGCCGTGTGGTGTGAGCTGCCGTGTGGTGAGAGTGAGCTGCCGTGTGGTGTGAGCTGCCGTGTGGTGAGAGTGAGCTGCCGTGTGGTGAGTGTGAGCTGCCGTGTGGTGAGTGTGAGCTGCCGTGCGGTGTGAGCTGCCGTGCGGTGAGTGTGAGCTGCGGTGCAGAGAGAGCGAGCTGCCGTGCGGTGAATGAGCTGCCGTGCGGTGAGTGT